>NC_000003.12:118857089-119160119 GCF_000001405.40 Homo sapiens | reverse complement strand
GATATCTGTAATTGTTATGTAAATTTTACATAGATATTCTATAGATTTTTTACTTAAAAATTAATAATGCATTCAGGTAGAGTCACCACTAATGTCTATTCAAAACCATTTTTTTTTCAGATGGAAAACAGAACATAGTATTGACACATGATTGTAAACAATACTGAAGAGAGGCTCGTTCTTTGTAGATTTCACATTTTGTCTCTCTTTTTCATCATTTCCTGCACCTAGGGAGAATGAAAAACAATTTTTTTCCACTAGCAATTTTGGTTTACTTGGAATTACCATATTTTGTGAGGCTAAAATATGTAGAGATTCAAAATACAGAAATCCTTATATTGAGATGGTGCAAATAATTTGTACTTTGATACATCAAGGACATATGTTACAATCTCTGTGGGAACCATTATAAAATATCGTGAGGATTATAAGAGCAGTGACCACATTCTGGATGAGACTGTAACAGTAGATCCATGTCATATATATATGTCCAAAACCCACAGAATGTACAACACAAAGAAAGAACCCTAATGTAAACTATGGTCTTTAGTTAATAATAATGTATCAATACTGGCTCACCAATTTGTAACAGGTGTACCACACTAATGCAAAATGTTAATAATAGGAGAAATTAGTGGTGGGAGATGAGGGAAGGGTAAGGAGATATATGGAAACTTCTTTCTGCCCAATTTTTCTGTAAATTTAAAACTGCTCTAAAAAATAAAGTTCACTAATTTAAAAAATTTCCCCAATAAGAAACAACAAAAAATAAAAGTAGATAGCTTCTAAGCCAACAGAGGGAAAAAATGGAATGATAAAAGAAGGCAAAAAGTAAAGAAAAAGAAACATAACAAGTAGGGCAAATAGCACATAGCAAAACAAGAGATTGAACCTCAAATATATCTTTAATTGTACTAATTGTAAATGGTTAAAAACTTGCCATATTTGAATACTAATGATAAAAAAGCAAAAACTCAACTATATGCTATTTATAAAAAACATATCTGAAACCTAAGAACAGGGGAAAATTAAAAGTAATAAGGATAGAAAAATATAGTACCATTTACATGTTAACAAAAATAAATCTGGTATAGCCACAGTAATGTTGAACCAAGTAGTCAGAGTATGTGATATACCTCTTTATAATAAATAGTTAAATTTACCAGAAATAAATAAGAATTCTAAATTCATATACACTTAATAACATAACCCCAAGCACATATACACAGCAAAAACTGACTGAACTATAGGGAGACAGACAAATTCACAATCATATTAGAAGACTTGAACAACATGTTTAGTAAGCCTGACCCAATGGATACATTCAGAACACTTGCCAATGATTGCAGAATAAACCTTTCTTTTAAACTACAAAAAATTTATTCACAACTATTAACCATATGCTGTATCATAAAGCAAGTAAACACATTTCAAAGATTTGATGTTATACGAAGTATGTTCTATGAGCAAAGTGCAATTGACTTAGAAACCAAAAGATAACTACAAAATCCAATATCTAATAATTTGTACAAATAATATAATGTCCCCAAACCCATAAGTTGAAGAAGAAATTATAATACATATTAGAAACTATCTAGAACTAAATTAAATGAAAATACCACATATTTAAATTTATGTGATAAAGCTTTAAATGCAAATATTATTTTTTAACAAGGAGGTTCTGCTTCCTAAATACACGAAAGGCACTTAAAAATGACTCCTGCAGGTAACAGCTGTATACAATGGACAAAATAAAACACCCACCTCACCCACTACAAACAAACCAACACAAAAATCAAACCAAACCAAAACATAACTTCCTGAAGGCTCTGGAGCCTAAACAAAGACAGATAAATTTTAAAGGAAAGTCTAAACTTGGACCAAGTGACCAAAATGAGTTCTTCATTTCTTCAACTTTGACCCAATAGTAATAACAGTCATAGACAGCTGTGGCAGTGCAAGAACGCCTAAAACTCTGATAAGAAATCCTGCTGTCTTTCTGTATGGAAGAATCAGGGGAAGTAGCCTGGCCAAATATGACCAGATTCTGAAGAGTGAGGGAGAATTCTGAAAGGGGAAAAAGATTCTCCAATATTGTGTATGAACTTCAGGCTGACCCCTAGAACGTGTACTCATAGGACAAATTCAAAGTAATGTGAATTGATCTGAGCGATGACCTGTTAATCACATGAGGCAAGAAAGAACTTACTTTGAATCTAACCATATTAACTGCCATTTTAAAAAAATCAACATTTATCAGAAGACTATAGCTAATCTCAGTCTACACAATATAATATTAACGATATCCCAGGTTATCTAAAATTATTCTACTTATAGAAAACATAGATATTCACTTTAAATGAAAAAGACAATCAATAGATGCCAACTCCAAGATGATCTGGTATTGAGGTTACTAGACAAGCACTTTATTTTTGAGACAGAGTCTCACTTTGTCACCCAGGCCGGAGTGCAGTGGTGCAATCTTGGCTCACTGCAACCTCCACCTCCTGGGTTCCAGTGATTCTAGTGCCTCAGCCTCCCAAGTAGCTGGGATTACAGGTACACACCACAACACTCAGCTAATTTTTTTTTTTTTTTTTTGAGACGGAATCTCGCTCTGTCGCCCAGGATGGAGTGCAGTGGCACGATCTCGGCTCACTGCAAGCTCTGCCTCCCAGGTTCACACCATTCTCCTGCCTCAGCCTCCTGAGTAGCTGGGACTACAGGTGCCTGCCACCATGGCTGGCTAATTTTTTGTATTTTTAGGAGAGACGGGGTTTTACCATGTTGGCCAGGCTGACTTCGAACTCCTGGCCTCAAGTGATCTGCCCACCTTGGCCTCCCAAAGTGCTGGGATTATAGGCATGAGCCACTGCACTTGGCTCTAGACAAGCACTTTAAAGCAGCTGTAATAACTAACTATGCTCAATCAAATAAAGGAAAATACACCAGAAATGAAGGAAAATGTAGGAAATAGAAGACAGAAAGTAAAAAAAGAGGAACTGAAGAAACCACATGGGGACCTATCAAAGGAGTGAGAGGACATAGAAAACAGAGAAGAGCAAAGCTGAGCAGCCAGTCACCTGGGACTGGCCTGGAGGCAAGTGAAGCTCCCCAATAAGGGGAAAAGGTGAGAACCCACAGGGGATCCACACTACCCACAGGGACTTATGCAATCCTAGGAATGGAAGAACACCCATGACTCCCACAGGACCTCTAGACTGATACTGAGAATCATCTAGATTTCTGCAGAAGCAACATTAAAGTCCACAGGGACACCCACAGGCCTTGGGTGCTGGAACAGCCTGCTGCAAGCTGCCATAGCCCCAATAAAGGCCACAGTCATGATGCCAGAGAGCAGTCAGATTGCTCCACTCCCCCTCAACAGATAAGGCTCAGTGTCAGCTTCCAGCACAGTGGTCCCACACCTGCCTGAACTCTGGCAGGAGACACAGTTCCTGCTTTTTCTCCAGGAAGCACCCAAACAGCAGATGAGGTTACTCTACCCACTCCTGCTGCTCCTAGGCAAGTGTGACATGCTGGATGGGGCTTCCAGCAGAGAAGACCTGCCTCTGCCTAAACTCTGTGGGCAGGTGCAGCTACATGTTCTCCCAGGAAGCACCTGGATGGTGGGCCAGATTACTCCACCCAACCGCTGCTCCTAGACATAAAAGACTCCCTGGCTGGGGCTTCCACACAGTGGCCACACCTCTGCCTGAACTCTGTGAGTGGGTACAGCTCTGTGTTCCCCCAGGATATGCCTGGATAATGGACCAGGTGACTTCATTCACCCCTTCTGTTTCTAGCTAGGTGGGACTTACTGATTTGTGCAGCTCCCAAGCAAGGGGGAAGCTCCCACTCTCAGAGCAATGAAACTGGTGAGACGCCCAGGTTCTCAGGCTGGTTGGGGAGCGGGTGTGCCTCCCTCCACAGGGCCAGTTAGGGAAGGGTATGGCCTGACTGCCAGCTGTGGCCCCTGCCTGAGGGAGTCCTGCAGCCCAGAACACCTAACAAAGGAAAGGCAGGTACAGAGCTAGTGATTGGTGGTGGCTCCCCCAAAGCCCAGGAGTGAACCTAGTTGAGGGGGAGTGGTCATCTCTCTCTTCTCTACTGCGGAGCACTACTGTGAATGTGTCAAAATACAAAAGAGCAGAGGGCTAAGAGCCTATCTGCTGGCTACTACTCTTAAGCACCGTCTACTGGATTTCAGCCCAAATTATAACACTAAAAATATGTTGCCAGTATACAGCATCTGTGAAACCTAAAGTAAAAACCCAGCCACAAAAATTCTGCACAGAGCTTTGGACCTCTTAAAGCAAGCAGAAATGAAGCCAACTGACTATACTCAACTTCCATCACAGTTAAAGAAACACTAGCCCTCACACATGAGAAAGAATCAATGCAAAATCTCTGGTAATTCCAAAAGCCGAAGTGACCCTTTACCTCCAAATTAACAGACTAGTCCCCCAGCAATGGTTTTAAACCAGATTGAAATGACAGACAGAATTCAGAATCTGGATGGCAAGAAAGATCATTGAGATCCAGCAGAAAGTTGAAACCCAACCCAAGGAATCCAATAAAATGATCCATTTTAGGAACTGAAAGATGAAATAACCATTTTAAGAAAGAACCAAACTGAACTTATGGAATTGAAGAATTCACTTCAAGAATGACTAATACAGTTAGAATCATTAACAGCAGAATTGACCAAGGTGAGGAAAGAATATCAGAGCTGGAAGACCAGTTTTTAGAATAAATTCAGTCAGACGAAAATTTTTTTTAAATTTAAAAAATGAATAAAACCTCCAAAAACATGTGGGATTGTGAAGGGACCAAATCTATGACTCGCTGACATTCCTGAGAGAAAAGGAGAGAGAATAAACAGCTTGGAAAACAGAGTGAGGATATAGTTCATGAAAATTTTCCCAATCTCACCACAGAGGTGGACATATAAATTTAAGAAAAATAGAGAACCCCTGTGAGATACCATACAAGACAAGCATCCCCAAGGCACATAGTCATCAGATTCACCAAGATGAACATAAAAGAAAAAAATCTTAAAGGCACTCAGAGAGAGAGGTCAGGAACCTACAAGGGGAACCCAATCAGGCTAGCAGCAGACCTCTCAGCACAAACTTGGAAAAACCATTACCAGCCACTATAAAAATACCCCAAAGTACACAGACCAACGACACTATGAAACAACTATGTTAACAAGTCTTTAAAATTAACCAGCCAGCATGATGATGACAGGACCAAATTCACACATAACAATATTAGCCTTAAATGTAAATGGGCTAAATGCCCCATTAAAAGACACAGAATGGCAAGCTGGATAAAAAGACAAGACCTATTGGTGTGCTGAACTCAAGAGACATCTCACATGCAAAGACACACACAGGCTCAAAATTAAGAGATACAGGAAAATTTACAAAGCAAATGGAAAGCAGAAAAAAGCAGGGGTTGCAATCCTAGTTTCTGACCAAATAGACTTTAAACCAACAAAGGACAAAAAAGACAAGGAAGGACATTACAAAATGGTAAAGGGTTTGATTCAGCAAGAAGAGCTAACTCTTCTAAATACATATGCACTCAATACAGGAGCACCTAGATTCATAAAACAAGTTCTTAAAGACCTACAAAGAGACTTAGACCCCCATAAAACAATAGTGGGAGACTTTAATACCCCACTGTTACTATTAGACAGATTGTCGAGACAGAAAATTAACAGAGATATTCAGGACTAGAACTCAGCTCTGGACCAACTGGACCTGATAGATATCTACAGAACTCTCCACCCCAAAACAACAGAATATACAATTTTTTTTGGTGCCACATGGCACTTACTCTAAAATTGATCACATAATTGGAAGTAAAACACTTCTCAGCAAATGTAAAAGATGTGAAATCATAACAAACAGTCTCTCAGACTGCAGTCCAATCAAATTAGATCTCAAGGTTAGGAAACCCACTCAAAACCACACAACTACATGGAAATTGAACAACCTGCTCCTGAATGACTTTTGGGTAAATAATGAAATTAAGGCAGAAATCAAGAAGCTATTTGAAACCAATGAGAACAAAAAGACAACATACCAGAACCTCTGGGATATAGCTAAAGCAGTCTTAAGAGGGAAATTTATAGCCCTAAATGCACATCGAAAAGCTAGAAAGGTCTCAAATCGTCACCCTAACATCGCAAGTAAAAGAACTAGAGAACCAAGAGCAAACAAACCCCAGAGCTAGCAGAAGACAAGAAATTACCAAGCTCAGAGTGAAACTGAAGGAGATAGAGACACAAAAAACCCTTCAAAAAAATCAATGAATTCAGGAGCTGGTTTAAAAAAATATCAATAGATAGGCTGCTAGTTAGAGTAATAAAGAAGAAAAGAGAGAAGATTCAAATAAACACAATCAGAAATGATAAGGGGGATACCACCACTGACCCCACAGAAATACAAACAACCATCAGAGAATACTAGAAGGTATCACACTAGGTGAATTCAAAGTATACTACAAAGCTACAGTAACCAAAACAGCATGGTACTGGCATAAAAACAGACACATAGACTAAACGGAACAGAATGGACAACTCAGAAATATATCCATGCACTTACAGTCAACTCATTTTTGACAAAGATGCCAATAACATATTTTGGGGGAAAGAACAGACTCTTTAATAAATGATGCTTGGTAAACAGGATGTCCATATGGAGAAGAGTAAAACTGCATCCCTATCTTTCACTGTATATAAAAATCAACTCAAAATGTATTACAGACTTAAATGTAAAACCTGAAACTTCAAAAATACTAGAAGAAAACATTGGACAAATGCAACAGGACATTGATCTGAATGAAGATTTTCAGGTAAGACCTCAAAAGTCCAGGCAACAAAAGCAAAACTAGACAAATGAGATTACATCAAGTAATCTCAAGTAATCTAGCCTCATTAAAAAAAGCTTCTCTGCACAGCAAACAAAATGAGTTAAGAGACAACCTACAAAGTGGGAAAAATATTTGCAAACTATTCATCTGACAAGGGATTAACAACTAGAGGAACTCAGACAACTCAGCAAAAAATAACACAACTTTAAAATAAGCAAAAGATCTGAATATACATATCTCCAAATAAGATATACAGATTGTCAAGATGTACATGGAAAAATGCTCAACATCACTAATCATCAGGGAAATGCAAATCAAAACCACAATGAGATGCCATCTCTTCCCAGTTAGAATGGCTATTATCAAAAAGACCAACAAACAAACAAACCAACCAACAACTAAAACAAAAAAGCAAACCACCAAACAAACCAAGTGCTGGTGAAGGTATGAAGAAACAGGAATACTGCACACTATTGGTGGAAATGTAAAGTATTACAGCCATTATGAAAAATATATCAAGTTTCCTAAACAAAGCTAAAAATAGAACTACCATATAATTGAGCAATCCCACTGCTGGCTATATTTCCAAAGGAAAGGAAATCTGTTTTGAAGAGATACCTGCACTCCCGTGTTTACTACAGCGCTATTCAAAAATTCCAAGGTAAGGAATCAACCTAAGTGTTTATCAACACATGAATGGATAAAGAAAATGTGGCACATATATATAACGGAATACTATGCAGACATAAAAAGAAGGAAGTCCTATTATTTGCAGCAACACGGATGGAACTGGAGGTCTTTATGTTAAGTGAAATAAGCCAGGCACAGAAAGACAAACGATACAATAGAAAAATAAGTATTTCCAAATGGCCAATAAACAAATGAAAAGATGTGCAACTGCCTTAGTAATCAGGAAAAAGCAAAATGAAACGGCAATGATATATTACTATTCACCTATCAAAATGGCTGATGCTAAAAACACTGATAGTAGTAAGCATTGGTAAGGATGTGGAACAATTGGAACGTTTACACACTGCTGATGGGAACACAAATTGGTATAATCACTTTGGGAAATTGTTTGAAATAATCTACTAAAGCTGAGGAAACACACACCCTATGATCCAGCAATTACTCTTCAAGGTATGCACTCAAGAGAAATGTGTTACCAAAGGACATGTGAAAGAAGGTTTACAGCAAATTTTTTGTAATAACTCCAAGTTGGAAACAACCTGAATTCCCATCGAAAGTAGGATAAATTCTGGTATTCTACACAATGAATACTGTACAGCAGGCTTGTCCAACCTGCAGTTTGTGGGCTGCATGTGGTCCAGGACAGCTTTGAATGAGGCCCAACACAAATTCATAAACTTTCTTAAAATATTATTAGTTGTTTTTTTTTTGCGATTTTTTTTCTCGTCAGCTATCACTGTTAGTGTATTTTATGTGTGGCTCCAATTTGTCTTCCCAAGTGGCCCAGGGAAGCCAAAAGATTGGACACCCATGCCAATTAAAATGAATGAGATATAGCCACATACAACAGCATGGATCAATCCCAATGACATAATTTTGAGCATAAGAAACCAGATACAATTGATTATATATGATATGGTTCCCTTTATATACAGTTCAAAAGCTGACAAATATAAACACAAGTGTCTCATGATTCAGGTTTAGTGAAAAATTATAAAGAAAAGTGAGGAGGTCATTGTCATAAAGGTGATAAAGAATCCTTTTGTGGGAAGTAATAACTGTGAGGGAAAGGAAGGGGGCTTCTGGGATGCTGGTTATGTTTTATTTATTTTTTAAAAACTTGAATGGTAGTTACAGGTATGTTTACTTCATAAGAATTCAGAGTTGTACGTACTTTGTTCTATACACTTTGCTGTATGTGTGCTGTATTTTACAATAAAGAGAATAAAAAGGTTGTTCTTTTTCTCCAATTCTATACCTGGCACAGCATAAAATTCAGGGGGTCCTCTGGCTTTTCATAGACTAAGTTTTCAGTAATCTGCTGAGAAAGAGAGCATAAGGCATCACATTATGGTTCTGAGCAAAATTATGTGGTCAGGTTATATTTGATGCTATCTTTCCCACTAACCTAACACATACCATAGCTTTTGTTTTTTTCAGAGATGGGTTCCCACTCTGTCACCCAAGATGGAATGCAGTGGTACTATCATAGTTCATAGCTCACTACAGCTTCAAACTCCTGGGCTCAAGGAATCCTCCTGCCTCAGCATCCTGAGTAGCTAGGACTATAGGTGCACACCACTATTTCTGGCTCACTATGGTATTTTGAAGAAATTCGTGTATTTCTACAAAGTAACAGCTTACTTTATTATTACTAATAAAATTAGGCAAATTAAGGTAAAATTTAGAGAAATAGAAATTTAGTATAAATAGCAATTGATATTTTTACTAGTTTCCAAGATCACAGAGATAGGGAGAAAGTTTGGAAGATAATATTTGTTTTGAGAACTGTGGTCTTGCTAGATTGAGAAATTAATAAATTATTTGCTTTGAAGAACAGTACAAGAAAAACCTTCTGAATAAAAATTTTAAAACACTGCACAATTTTGCATAGAAACTTCCTTCTGAGACATTTGATTCTAAATGGCAAAAATGATGTTCAGTATTATAATATTATGAAAAAGTATATATAAAACTTTAGATTCACTTCATACTTTTGTTGTTATTGAATAAATTAAAAAATTATAATAAAGTAAGCACAATTCTCACTTGCAGGGCATAAAAATCAGGCAAATTTCAGGATAAAATAATCAGGTCTATTTAAGGCACCAACATCATTCCATTATGTATTTTATATCTATTTCTGTTGAACACACATTTAATTACCATTTTTTCCTATAACAATGTTGCACGCATAAGCAGTTTTTTTCTTCACAGGTGAAGAAAATTATAAAATGATTAAAACTCTACTGTCTCAATGGAAGTCTCAACAGGTTTCATCCTTCAGTTTAATAATTAGTAGTTCTTTAATTAAAGCCAGAAACCCAGACATTAGTACTCTTCCAACAAAAAGACGTTTGAAAAAGGAAAAGGCATAGACCAAGGTTAATGAAGTAGACATCACTTATCCTTACTTTATATGAGGAATCTTAGGTTCACAAAAGTTAAATAATTTTTCCCAAATCACAAAGATAAGAAGTGCAAAGTTAGGATTTGAGACTTGGGCTAACAGATTACAAAATCTGTGCTCTTTCCTCCATGCTCTACTTCTTTGCATTCAAAAATTTTCAGTTTAAAGGTTTTCATTTGAGGTAAGCCATTCTTATTTTACACCTTTCTAACCACAAGTTCCAGCACCACATTCTGAGGTCAATGAGATTTGTAATTTGAAGAATTAGAAGCAATTTTAAAGTATATCTTTTCCCCTCTAGAGAATGTGCCTTCTTAGATGGTCACGAGATTGGTCATCTTTTGAAAGTATAGTCGTGTTCCATATAGTGATGTGTTTCAAGATTTTAATGGAGTTGAAAAATTCCTATTGTCTAGTGACGTCATAGCTGTCATAATGCCATAGTGCAAAGCATTACTCATGTGTCTGTGGTGAAGCTGGTGTAAACAAACCTACTTTGCTACCAGTTGTATAAAAATATAGCACACGAAGTTATGTATAGTACATCCTACTTGAAAATAAATGACTATGCTGCTGGTTTATGTACTTGCTATGTGATTTATTTAGAATGTACTCTGTCTACCTATTTAAAAAAGTTAACTGTAGAACAGCAGGGAGGTTTTTCAGGGGGTATTCCAGAAGGCATTGTTATCACAGGAGATGACAGCTCCATGCATGTTATTGCCTCTGAAGACCTTCCAGTGGGACAAGTTGTGAAGGTGGAAGACAGTGATATTGATGATCCTGATCCTGTAGGCATAGGCTAATGTGTGTATTTGTGTCTTAGTTTTTATCAAAAATGTTTAAAAAGTAGAAAAATAAAAGTAAAAAAAATTTAAAAATAGAACCACGGTTACAGAATAAGAATGTAAAGAAAAACATTTTTGTATAGCTGTACTATGTGTATTTTAAGCTAAGCATTATTACAAAAGTCAGATTAAAAAAAATTAAAAATTTATAAAGTAAAAAAGCTACAGTAAGCTAAGGTTAATTTGGTTTTGAAGAAAAATATGTTAAAAAATTTAGTGTAGCCTAACTGTATAATGTTTCTAAAGTCTACAGTATTGTACAGTAACATCCAAGGCCTTTACACTGACTCACCACTCACTGACTCGCTCAGAGCAACTTCCAGGCCTGAAAGCTCCATACATAGTTAAGTACTCCATAGAGGTGTACCATTTTTATCTCTCATATGGTAATTGTACTGTATGTTTTCTATGTTTAGATACACAAATACTTCCCATTGTGTTACAATTGCCTACAGTATTCATTATAATAATGTACAATACAGGTTTGTGGCCTAGGAGCAATAGGCTATGCCATATAGCCTAAGTGTGTGGTAGGCTATATCATCTAGATTTGTGTAAGTACACTGATGTTTACACAGTGACAAAATTGCCTAATGATGCATGTTTCAGAACTCTCAGAAGATATCCTTGTTATTAAGCAACACGTGATGGTATAATACTTCTGCCTGGATTGCCTTTTTCTCTTCTTTTCAATTGATAATATTTTGTCCTTCCTTCCTAGACTGGCTATTTAACCCTTGGCCAAGTTTTTCCCTATCAACCAACCTACCTGATCTCTAATCCCTCTGAATGGCTTCATATGATGGTATCATCTATTTGGTGTTTATCATTTACTACTTATGGTAACTACATCTTAATGCACTTATTGTCTTCTCAATTAGAATATATCCCTTTTTACAGAATACACTCTTTCTTGTACCTCTTGAAAAACTTATAATTAAAGAGAGGAATTGAGAGGTTTACCTGGAATATTTGCAGAATGTGGTGTTTTTCCATGTATTGGAGTGAAACTTGGTAAGGATCTTCATAAACTATAGAAGGGAACCTTCTATAAGTTTGATTGCGTATATGATAACCCTTTCCTTGGTCAATTTCTGAAAATTCATCCTGAAATTTAAATCCCCCCACCAAAAAGTCCTTAGTAAACCTGAAGGGCCTAGGAATTGTCATTATCAGTGAAACCTGATGTTGATGAGATCTTAACACAAGGAGTTGGAGAAAATACACATTTTTAAGAGAGACTTGGATAATCCTCCAGGTCTCCAGGTGCAATATAATGCACCTCATGTCCTGGGAGGTACCTTAGGCATTGCCAATCAACTTCAAGTACTTTTTCCTTCACAGGGATGTCTAATCAACTCCAAATTCCCTTCTCCTGGTAGAAGCCCAGAGAGGGAAAATGACTTAATATCACAGAGTTAGTTGCAGAACTAGGACTTAAAATGCAGGTTTCCTGAATCCTGGTTTATTAATCCTTCCTGAATGGCCTTTGGGTAGTAGAGAAGGCAATAATTCTCTTTTATTTCCCATCCTTCTCTTGCCCTTCCTGAAATTATGGGTCACACATACCACAACATGTGGGTTTATTCTTTATCCTTGATGCAACATGTGCCCTTCCGTTGTACCCCTATTTTTACTCTCCAGGCCCCGTCTAGATCTCTGATCTCCCAGGTAGGTATCAAATGCCCATTTAACTTACAGATTTGGTTACTATGGCTTGAGTTTTTTCTTGACTGCTGGTATAGTTCAATTTGGATGAGATGGAGGGGAGTCTTGGGAAAAGAGCTTGGTCTTTTGCTTGGAAGTTACTGGTGAATCTGGCATCAACTGGGTTGTAGGGTGGGATAGTGGTTGCATTCTGAGTTTCCATTTCAACTGAAGGCTTGGAATTGAGGTCTACTTGGCTATCCTCAAATTTGCAGGGTTGTACTCTGTAGTCAGCCTCTTTGTCCTCTTTGCTGTTGCCTAACTGGGGAAATATTCTGTCTTCAGACTGGCCACGTGTTTCATAGTAAGACAGCTGGTCTTTATGATTAGCTTGTCTGTCTGCTAAGTGGTCAGTCTGGTCAGATTCAGTGTAGTGAGCATTGTCAACTGGAGGTTGATCAGCATTACTATGAGCTTGGTCAATAGCCTGGTGTTCAGCTAGTTCAGTGGCTTGGCCGTACACTTGGTGGTGAGTCTTTACAGATGTTTTGTGGTCAACGAGGCCATACAATCTGAGGTCAGTCTGCTCAGAAGTTCCTGGGTCAGCCAGGCCAGCCAATCTGTAGTCAGTCTTCTCAGAACTTCTTCTCCTAACTTTCCCTGACATTCTGCGGTCAATCTGTACGGAAGGTCTTTGGTCAGATGGTACGGACGATCCACTGTCAATCTGTACAGAAGGACTTTGGTCAGATGGGACGGATGACCCACTGTCAATCTGCACAGAAGGTCTTCTCTCAGATAGTTTGGATAATCTGTGTGTAATCTGCTCAGAAGTTCTTCGCTCAGCCTCGCCAGACATTCTGCGGTCCATCTGCTCGGAAGCTCTTCTCTCAGACTGGCCTGCCATTCTGTGGTCGGTCTGTCTGGAACCTCTCTGGTCAGATGGCATAGCCAGTCTACCATCAATCTGCCCAGAAGTTCTTCTCTCAGCCTGGGTAGGTAATCTTCGTTCAGTCTGTTCAGCAGTTCTTTCCTCCGTCAGGCCAGACACCTGACCATCACTCTGTTCATGCTGTACATTATTAGCTTGGCTAGATGCCTTGCCTTTAGTCTGTTCAGACGGTGTTTGATTAACCTGATCATCTGCTCTAAGGTCAGAAACATCAGCAGGGTTGGATGCTCTGCGGCCAGCCTGACCAGGTGTACTATGCCCATTTTGTTCAGCTACTCCGTTGGTAGCTTGGCTAAATATGCTGGATTCAGCCTGGCTAGGCACTCTTAGGGCAGTCTGGTCAGCTATTCTGTGAGCAGTGTGGTTATCTGCCTTCCTTTCGGCCTGGTTCTTCTGGTCGTCTTCTTCCTGGCCCTTAGTGTGGCCAGCACTTGAGGGAGCGGCTGGGCTTTCATGTTTCAAGGGTTCAGCCAGAGCCTCTTGCGGAGGCTCTTCCATTTCCTGCCGCGTCCCTGACTGGTCTAGGTTGCCAGGCACTGTGGGTGGGGTTGGGCTGGGTCGTCTAGGCGACCCTCCAGGAACGCCCCATGATTCCCACGGGCTTTGTTCGGGTCACTGCGTGCGTCAGGGAGAGTGGCCGTCCCGCTGTTGTAAGTGGAGGGACGGCAGTCAGCTGACCCTGCAGTGTGCAGGCGAGCGCAGGGAGTACGCCATGTCCTGAGAAGGGGCGATTCTCAGGCTCTGGCAGTTACAGCTTCTCCTCACCCTGCCGAGCAACCAGGCCACGGGGCTCCGTGCATCGCCACCTAGAGTGTTACCCTCTTCCTTGTTCACAGAGGTTCTCCGCAGTGTGTGAGAAAGAGGCCCTCTCTCAGGTACTGCTCCTCTGATTAACATCCCCCACCGCACCTCCAAATGTCAACAGATGAACACACAACCAGCTGCACGAGGACCACAAAACTGAACAGAGGTTGTTGCTATTGCCATCCCCTTTGGGTATAGCTGTCTTGGCAGTGGAAACTCCTGCCCCAAGGTGTTTTCTTGCTGGATTAGACATGTGATCTGTGGCGGGAGAGCCAGAGAGAGGAGAGAAGATCCAGTGAGAATGGGTTCTAAAACTGCACCATCTAGTGGTCTTACAGCAGAGAGGCGAGTTAGAAGGAGGCCAAATCAGAGTTCCAGAAAGGAAGGGAGTAAGGAAAGTGGGAGAAAGATACCAGAAGGAATATTTAGCAAGTGGAGAATTTGTATTTGATAGTGTTGGCCAGTGGGGCCCAGTTTTTGAGATTTGGTCCTCCCACTTTGCAATCAACCTTAAGAATGCACCTCAGAGTCAGTAGGCTGTCTACTTTCAGGAGTAGGCCAGTACAGAGGTGGTGATTGATGAGACAAATTACTTTGACCTTGCAAAGCCTGAAATCACTGAGGCAGGCCAAGGGTTGGTAGTGTGATGCCAGATATTCCTTTAGTAGGGATTTAACTGCATTAAACAATTAGAAATGAGACTTAAAATCCAAATTCAAATACTTGTGACAAAGGAGAGTGGATACACTTGACACCATACTTAGGAATGGAAAGGGGAATCTAAGCACACTGAAGTAAAGTCATTTATGTAACAGTGCCTAGAACATAATAGGTGCTCAAGAAGTGCTTGTTGAATGTCACTTTATGAATTATCTACCTTATTTATTTAAAAATGCATGACACCATTGGATACTGTGTTTAGAGTAAAATAGGTCTTGGGCTATGGCTTGTAGCTTCAAAGTGCTATTGGTTTTGGAGATTTATTTTTCCATTTTATAACTTAAATGTAATAATCATAGAAATATAAAAAAGAAAGCGTAAAGAAAAAAATTCCCAAACACTCAAGAGATAACCTGTATTGACATTTTGATGTTTATCCTTCTGGAAATACCCCCATGCAAATCTATGTGTCTATATCTATAGGTATGTATATATTTTACAAAATGATGATTTATCAATTTGAGATCTTTTTTTTAAATGTAGCTGTTTTATAGTTACAAATTTCCCTCTGAGCTGATGCTTTTGCTGCATCTCTCAAGTGTTTGGTGTTATGTTTTCATTCATCTGAAGATATTTTCTCATTTTCTGTGATTTTTTTTTCTTTGACACATTGGTTGTTTAAAAGTATGTTGTCTAGTTTCCAAATATGTATGAATTTTCCAGTTTTCCTTCTCTTATTGATTTCTAGCTTCATTCTGCTGTGTTCAGAGAAGATACATTGTATGGTTTCAATCTTTTAAAATATATTAAGGCTTGTTTTGTGGCCTACCATATGGTTTATCCTGGAGAATATTCCATGGAAAGAATGTGTATTTGCTTTTGTTGGGTGGAATGTTCTTCATATGCGTTAGGTCTAATTGGTCAATAGTGTTGTTCAAGTCCTATATTTTCTTACTGGCCTTCTGTCTAGGGTTCTACTCATTATTCAAAGTGAGAAACACAAAAAATCAGCCGGGTGTGGTGGTGTGCACCTGTGGTCCCAGCTACTGGTGGGCTGAGGTGGGAGGATTGCTTGAGACCAGGAGGTTGAGGCTGTCTGAGCCATGATTGTGCCACTGCACTGCAGCCTGGGCCACAGAGTGACACCCTATTTCACACAAAAAAAGTGGGGTATTAAAATCTCCAACTATTATTGTAGAACTGTTTCTTTTTCCCTTCAAATCTGTCAATGTTTGCTTCATATAATTTGAGCTTGTTGTTTTCTACAAATAATTATTTTCTATAAATAAATATTATAAACAAGAAGAAATAAAGTCTTCTTGTTTAATTGACGCTTTTATCAATATATAATGCACTTCTTCGTCCCTCATAACATTTTTTGACTTAAAGTCTATTTTGTCTGATAATAGTATAGCAGCTCCAGCTCTCTTTTGGTTATTATTTGCATGGCATATCTTTTTCCCTAGTTGTATTTTCAACTTATTAATGTCCTTGAAACTAAAAAGAATCTTACACTATATAGTTGGATCACATTTAAAAAAATCTATTTTGCCAATCTTTGTCTTTTTATTGGAAAGTTTAATCCATCTACATTTAAAGTAATTACTGCTATGGAAGGACTTCTGTCATTTTGCTATTTATTTTTACATGTTTTCTGTTCCTCAGTTCTTCCATTACTACCATCCTTTGTGTTTAGTTGATTTTTTTTATAGTGTATCATGTTGATTCCTTTCTCATTCCTTTTCTGTATATATATTTTTAGTTATTGTCTTAGTGGTTACTTAGAGATTACAATTGGCCTCCTAAACTTATAACAACCTATTTTGAATTAAAACCATCCTAGCTTCAATGGTATACAAAACCCTGCTGTTATATAATACATGTCTGTCTCTACTTTTTTGTGTGTTATTGTTGTCACAAATAGCATCTTTATACAGTGTGTACCTATTAACATAGATTTATTATAATTATTTTGTACATCCATCATTTAAATCATACATAAAAAGAGGTTCAAACCAAAAATACAATGCTGGCTATTAAATCACCTATATAGATACCAAAACCAGTATTTTTTTATTTCTTCATATGGCTTCAAGTTACTATATCTTTCATTTCTACTTGAGGATATCCTTTTAGAATTTCTTGTATGGCAGGCCTACTATAGATGAACTTAGGATTTGTTTATCTGGGAATGTCTTAATTTCTTCTTTATTTCTGAAAGGTAGTTTTGCTGAATGTAGAATTTCTGGTTGATGGTATTTTTTTCAACTGTAAATATGTTGTCTTACTGCTTTCTCACTTCCATGAATTCTGCTGAGAAATTGACTGTTCACCTTCAGTATCTTAATATGTGAGGAATCACTTCTTTTTTGCTCCTTTCAATATTTTCTCTTTCAAAATGTCTTTCTCTTTTGAAAGTTTTATTGTCATGTATCAGTGTGGATCTTTTATGTTATTCTTTTGGAGTTTGTTGAGCTTCCTGAATGTGTACAATCATTTCTTTTATCAAATTTGTAACATTTTCAGCCATTACTTCTTTAAATATTTTTTCTTTCCCTTTCTCTCTCTCCTCTTTTTCTGGAGCTCCCACCATGCATAAGTGGTACACTTAAGGGTGTCTTATAGGTCTCTGAGGCTCTATAAATTTTTCTTCATTCTTCTTCCTTTTCTTCAGGCTGAAGAATTTCAATTGACCTATCTTCCCCTAGCTCTTTGAACATTTTTAAGACAGTTGATTTAAAGTTTTGGTCCAATATCTGTGCTTCCTTAGTAGCAGTTTATTTTAATTTCTCCTAGCCATACTTTGTTGTTTCTTTGCATACTTCATAATAAAAAAACAAAAGGTAAAGTCTGGACAGTTTGTATGTTACTTGCATCATTCCGTGGGCATGCATGTGCTTTTCTGGATGTCCAATACATGCAGACACTTTTTTTTTTTTTTTTTTTTTTGAGATGGAGTCTTGCTCTGTCGCCCAGGCTGGAATGCAGTGGCGCGATCTCGGCTCAGTGCAAGCTCCGCCTCCCAGGTTCACGCCATTCTCCTGCTTCAGCCTCCCGAGTAGCTGGGACTACAGGTGCCCGCCACCATGCCCAGCTAATTTTTTGTATTTTTAGTAGAGAGGGGGTTTCACCGTGTTAGTCAGGATGGTTTTGATTTCCTGACCTCGTGATCCGTCCTCCTCGGCCTCCCAAAGTGCTGGGATTACAAGCGTGAGCCACCGCGCCCGGCCAGAAACTTTTTGATACACTAATTATTCAAATAATCTCTCTCCCCAGCTTTTCCTCCCAAACTTTCAGTGTGTCCGTTATTTAACCATGATTTTAGTCTTTTTACCCAGATGCCAGCAGGTTGCCTTTCAATGTTTTTGAGGAATGCCCTCTTTATAGCCACTTTTCCGTCCTGAGAGTTATGTTGATGGATACTTAGGTTATTTCCATATCTTGGCTATTTATTCACAATAATACTGCAATAAACATGATAGCACAGTAGTTTTGATATTTAAGCCTTTCTGAGAATGTGCCCATTTGTATTAGATAATATATATCTATATTAGATATATAGATATTAGAAATATATATTAGATATTTTATCTAATGTATCTAATATATTAGATAATATAGATAATCTATATTGTAATGTCCCTTTTTTCATTACTTATTTTAGTTATTTGAGTCTTTTTTTAATGTGGTCAACCTAGTTAAAAGCTTTTCAATTTTGTTGATATTTTGAAAAAACAACCTTTAAATTATTTTTCTGTCATTTTTATATTCTCATTTTATATTCTCCATTATATTAACATCTCTCTAATCTTTATTATTTCATTCCTTCTGCTTGGTGTGGGTATAGTTTGCTCTTTTTTATAGTTTTTTAAGGTGGAAAATTAGGCTATTGATTTGGGACCTTTGTTGCTTTTAAAATATAGGCCTCTATAGCAATAAATTTTCCTCTAAGCATTGCTTTCCTGTATCCCATAAGTTTTAGTATGTTGTGTTTTCATTTGGATTTATCTCAAAGTATTTTCTAATTTCTTTTGTGATTTCTTCTTTAATCCATTGGTTAATTAAGAATGTGTTGTTTAATTTCCACATATTTCTGATTTTTCTAAATTTTTTCTGTTGATTTATCTTTTAATTTCACTGTGATTGCAGAATATATTTTGTATTTTTTTTTTTTTTTTTTTAATGAGACAGAGTCTCCTGTGGCCCAGGCTGGAGTGCAATGGCATGGTCTCGGCTCACTGCAACCTCTGCCTCCTGGGTCAAGCAATTTTCCTGCCTCAGCCTCCTGAGTAGCTGGAATTACAGGCATGTGCCACCATGCCTGGCTAATTTTTGTATTTTTAGTAGAGATGGGGTTTCGCCATGTTAGCCAGACTGGTCTCGAACTCCTGACCTCAGGTGATCCACCCTCCTCGGCCTCCCAAAGTGCTAGGATTACAGGCATGAGCCACTGTGTCTGGCCTTGTATGATTTTAATCTTTTAAAATTTACTGAGGCTTGTTTTATGGTATAACATATGGTTTATCTTGGATAATGTTCATGTGCACTTAAAAGAATGTATATTCTGCTGCGGTTGGGCGGAATGTTCTCTAGAAGTCTGTTAGGTCTAGTTGATTTATAGTGTTAGTTAAGTCTTCTCTTTCTTGGTTGATCTTCTGCTTAGTTGATTCTATTATTGAAAGTGGAGTATTGACATCTCCAACTATATTCTTGAATTATCCATATCTCACTTCAATTCTGTAAGTTTTTGCTTCACATATTTTTGGGGTTCTGTTGTTAGGGCTATATGTGTTTATAATCATTATATATACCTGATAGATTGACCTTCTTATCATTATAAAATGTACTTTTTCAAGTAACAATTTTTGTCCTAAAATCTATTTTGTCTCATAGTATAGCCACTCCAGCTCTCTTTGATTACTTCATGCATGGCATATTTTAAAAAATCTTTTTACTTTCAACCTATTTGTGTCTTTTGATCTAAAGTTTGTCTCTTGTAGACAGTATATACGTAGTGGTATAGTTGGTTTTTTTGGGGGGAGGGTCCATTCTGACTATCTCTGCCTTTTGATTTATAAGTAGGATATACATGTTTTATTTTATTATTTTATATATGTCATATATTTTTTGTTCCTCAAGTCTTTCTTTTATTGTGTTAAATAGATATTTCCTAGTGTACCTTTTAAATTTGATTGCTGTTTATTTTACTATTTTTGGAGTTATTTTCTTTCTGATTTATCTGGATATTACAGTTAGTTTAATCTTAGCTTAAAATAATCTTGTTTGGATTTATACTAACGTAACTTCAGTATTATACAAAAACTTTGCTCCAGTATACTATGTTCCCGTCACCATTCTTTGTATTATTATTTTCATACAAATTACATCTTTACAGATTATAAACCCATTCACACAGCTATTGTAATTGATTTATGCTGTTATCTTTTAAAACAGGTAGGAGAAGGAAAGAGTTAGATAGAAAAGTGTGTTTATAACATCTTTTATAATACTATATTAGTCCATTTTTCACACTGCTGATAAAGACATACCCGAGACTGGGCAGTTTACAAAATAAAGAGGTTTAATGGACTTAGAGTTGTGACTGGGGAGGTCTCACACTCATGGCAGAAGGCAAGGAAGAGCAAGTCACGTCTTACATGGATGGCAGCAGGCAAAAAGAGAGAGCTTGTGCAGGGAAACTCTTGTTTTTAAAACCATCAGATCTCATGAGACTTATTCATGAGAACAGCACAGAAAAGATCCACCCCTGTGATTCAATTATTTCCCACCGGGTACCTCCTACAACACGTGGGAATTATGGGAGCTACAAGATGAGATTTGAGTGGGGACACAACCAAACCATATCAAATACCTAATGTACTTATCTTTACTGTTGCTCTTTATTCTTTACATGGATTTGAATTACCATCAAGTATGCTTTCATTCTGGCCTGAAGGACTCATTTTAGTATTTTATATGGCAGGATCGTTTGATAGTGATTGTGTCCGTTTTTATTTACCGGGAAATATATAAACTATTTTTTCATTTTTATTTATATATATTTTTTGGTTATATAGTAGGTGTATATATCTATGGGTTAAATGAGATATTTTGATACAAGTATGCAATGTGTAATAATCAGATAAGGGTAAATGGGGTATCTGTCACCTCAAGCATTTATCTTTGTGTCTTAAACAATCCAATTACACTTTTTTAGTTATTGTAAAATGTAGAATTAATTTTTTTTCTATACTAACCCTGTTGTGCTAGCAAATACTAGGTCTTATTCATTCCTTCTGTGCTTTTGTTCTCCTTTACCATCCCCACTTTCCCCCAATTCCCCACTACACTTCCCAGCCTCTGTTAACCATCCTTCTACTCTCTAGCTCCATGAGTTCAATTGTTTTTATTTCTAGCTCCCACAAATAAGCGAGAACATGTGAAATTTGTCTTTCTGTGCCTGGTTTATTTCACTTAACATTATGATCTCCAGTTCCATCCAGGTTGTTGCAAATGACAGGATCCCATTTTTTTTTCTTGAGACAGAGTCTTGCTATGTTGCCCAGGCTGTAGTGCAGTGGAACAATCTCAGCTCACTGTAACCTCCACCTCCTAGGTTCAAGCGATTCTCAGGCCTCAGCCTCCCAAGTAGCTGGGATTACAGGCATGTGCCACCATGCCTAGAAAATTTTTGTATTTTTAGTAGAGATGGGATTTCACCATGTTGGCCAGGCTGGTCTCGAATTCCAGAACTCAAGTGATCTGCCTGCTTTGGCCTCCCAAAGTGTTAGGATTACAGGCATGAACCACTGCATCTGGCCCCATTCGTTTTTTATGGCTAAGTGGTACTCCATTGTATATATATACCACATTTAAAAAATCCATTAATCTGTTGATGGACACTCAGGTTGCTTCCAAATATTGGCTATTGTGAATAGTGCAGCAATAAACATGGGAGTGAAGATATCTCTTTGACATACTGATTTCCTTCCTTTTGGGTAAATACCCAACAGTGGGATTGTGGATCATATGGTAGCTCAATTTTTAGTTTTTTTTTTTTTTTTTGTTGAGGAACCTCCAAACTTTTCTCCATAGTGAAAATAATTTACATTCTCACCAACAGTCTACAAGGGTTCTTTTCTCTTCACATCCTCACCAGCATTCAATGTTGCCTGTCTTTTGGATAAAAACCATTTTAACTGGGGTGAGATGTCACCTCATTGTAGTTTTGATTTGCATTTCTCTGATGATCAATGATGTTGTGCACTTTTTCATATGCCAGTTTGCCATTTGTATGTCTTCTTTTGAGAAATGTGTATTTGGATCTTTTGCCCATTTTTGATTGGATTATCAGATTTTTTCCAATAGAGTTGTTTGCGTGCCTCGTATATTCTGGTTATTAATCCCTTGTCAGATGGGTAGTTTGAAAATATTTTCTCTCATTTTATGGGTTGTCTATTCACTTCATTGTTTCTTTGGCTGTGCAAAAGCTTTTTAACTTGATGTTATCCAATTTGTCCATTTTTGCTTTGGTTTCCTGTGCCTGTGGGATATTACTTAAGAACTCTGCTCAGCCCAATGTACTGGAGAGTTTCCCCAAAGTTTTCTTTTGGTAGTTTCATAGTTTGTAGTCTTAGATTTGTCTTTAATTTTGATTTGATTCTTTTATATGGTGAGAGATAGGAGTCCAGTTTCATTCTCCTGTATATGGCTATCCAATTTTCCCTGCATCATTTATTGAAGAGACTGTCCTTTCCGCAATGTATGTTCTTGGAAACTTTGTCAAAAATGAATTCATTGTAGATGTATAGATTTACTTCTGGGTTTTCTATTCTGTTCCTCTGGTCTATGTGTCTGTTTTTATGCCAGTATCATGCCATCTTGATTATTATAGATCTTTAGTATAATTTGAAGACAGGTAATGTGATTCCTCCACTTTTCTTTTTGCTTAGGATAGCTTTGGCTATTCTGGATCTTTTGTTGTTCCATATAAATTTGAGGATTTTTTTTTTATTTCTGTGAAGAATATAATTGGTATTTTGATAGGGATTGCATTACATCTATAGATTGCTTTGGGTAGTATGGACATTTAAAAAATAATGATTCTTTTAATCCATGAACATGGAATATCTTTCCACTTTTTGGTGTCCTCCTCAATTTCTTTCATCAGTGTCTTATAGCTTTTATTGTAGAGATCTTTCACTTTAATTAATTCCTAGGCACATAATTTTATTTTTAGTTATTGTAAATGGCATTACTTTCTTGATTTCTTTTTCAGATTGCTTGCTGTTGGCACATAGAAATGCTACTGGCTTTTGTATGTTGATTTTGTATTTTGCATCTTTACTAAATTTGTTTATCAGTTCTAATAGTTTTTTTTTGTGGAGTCCCGAGGTTTTTCCAAATACAAGATTATATCTGGATCTGCAGACAAAGATCTGAAGTTTCTTTGTTGATTTTCTGTTTGGAAGATCTGTCCAATGCTGAAAGCGGGGTGTTGAAATCTTCAGCTATTAATGTACTGGGGTTTATTTCCTTCTTTACCTCTAATAACATATGAGTGCTCCCATGTTAGGTGCATATGTATTTATGATTGTTATATACTTTTGCTGAATTGATCCCTTTATCTTTATATAGTGACCTTCTTTGTCTCTTTTTATAGTTTTTGTCTTGAAATCTATTTTGTCTGATATAAATATAGCTACTCCTGCTCTTTGTTTGATTTCCATAGACATGGAATATCCTTTTCCATCCCTTAATTTTCAGTCTATGTGTGCCTTCATAGGTGAAGTGTGTTTCTTATTGGCAACAGATCATTGGGTCATGTTTTTCTTTTTATTCATTCAGCCACTGTATGTCTTTTTTATTGAGGAGTTAAGTCCCTTTACATTCAACATTATTATTGATAAACAAGAACTGATTCCTGCTGTTTTGTTATTTATTTTCTGGTTGTTTTGTAGTCTTCTCTTCCTTCTTTCTTTCCTTTCTGTCTTCTTTTTTTCTTTTTAATTATTATACTTTAAGTACTAGGGTACATGTGCACAATGTGCAGGTTTGTTACATAGGTATACATGTGCCATGTTGGTTCGCTGCACCCATCAACTCGTCATTTACATTAGATATTTCTCCTAATGCTATCCCTACCCCAGCCCCCAAGCCCATGACAGGTGCTGGTGTGTGATGTTCCCTTCCCCGTGTCCAAGTGTTCTCATTGTTCAGTTCCCACCTATGAGTGAGAACATGTGGTGTTTGGTTTTCTGTCCTTGTGATAGTTTGCTTAGAATGATGGTTTCCATCTTCATCCATTTCCCTGCAAAGGACATGAACTCATTCTTCTTTATGGCTGCATAGTATTCCATGGTGTATATGTGCCACATTTTCTTAATCTAGTCTATTATCGGTGGACATTTGGGTTGGTTCCAAGTCTTTGCTATTGTGAATAGTGCTGCAGTAAACATACGTGTGCATGTGTCTTCATAGTAGCATGATTTATAATCCTTTGGGTATATACCCAGTAATGGGATGGCTGGGTCAAATGGTATTTCTAGTTCTAGATCCCTGAGGAATTGCCACACTGTCTTCCACAATGATTGAACTAATTTACACTCCCACCAACAGTATAAAAACGTTCCTATTTCTCCACATCCTCTCCAGCATCTGTTGTTTCCTGACTTTTTAATGATCACCATTCTAACCTGCGTGAGATGATATCTCATTGTGATTTTGATTTGCATTTCTCTGATGACCAGTGATGATGAGCATTTTTTCATGTGTCTGTTGGCTGCATAAATGTCTTCTTTTGCGAAGTGTCTGTTCATATCCTTTGCCCACTTTTTGATGGGGTTGTTTGTTTCTTTCTTGTAAATTTGTTTGAGTTTTTTGTAGATTCTGGATATTAGCCCTTTGTCAGATGGGTAGATTGCAAAAATTTTTTCCCATTCTGTAGGTTGCCTGTTCACACTGATGGTAGTTTCTTTTGCTGTGCAGAAGCTCTTTAGTTTAATTAGATCCCATTTGTCAATTTTGGCTTTTGTTGCCATTGCTTTTGGTGTTTTAGCCATGAAGTCCTTGCCCATGCCTATGTCCTGAACGGTATTGCCTAGGTTTTCTTCTAGGGTTTTTATGGTTTTAGATCTTACATTTAAGTCTTTAATCCGTCTTGAATTAATTTTTCTGTAAGGTGTAAGGAAGGGATCCAGTTTCAGCTTTCTACATATGGCTAGCTAGTTTTCCCAGCACCACTTTTAAATAGGGAATCATTTCCCCATTTCTTGTTTTTGTTAGGTTTGTCAAAGATCAGATGGTTGTAGATGTGTGGTGTTATTTCTGAGGCCTCTGTTCGGTTCTATTGGTATGTGTATCTGTTTTGGTCTGTGTATCTGTGTATGCTGTTGTGGTTACTGTAGCCTTGTAGTATAGTTTGAAGTCAGGTAGCGTGATGCCTCCAGCTTTGTTCTTTTTGCTTTGGATTGTCTTGGCTATGTGGACTCTTTTTTGGTTCCATATGAACTTTAGTTTTTTCCAATTCTGTGAAGAAAGTCATTTTGCTTGATGGGGATGGCATTAAATCTATAAATTACCTTGGGCAGTATGGCCATTTTCATGATGTTGATTCTTCCTATCTGTGAGCATGGAATGTTCTTTCATTTGTTTGTGTCCTCTTTTATTTCATTGAGCAGTGGTTTGTAGTTCTCCTTGAAGAGGTCCTTCACATCCCTTGTAAGTTGGATTCCTAGGTATTTTATTCTCTTTGTAGCAATTGTGAGTGGGAGTTCACTCATGATTTGGCTCTCTGTTTGTCTGTTATTGGTGTATAAGAATGCTTGTGATTTTTGCACATTGATTTTGTATACTGAGCTTTGCTGAAGTTGCTTATGAGCTTAAGGAGATTTTGGGCTGAGACGATGGGGTTTTCTAAATAGACAATCATGTCATCTGCAAACAGGGACCCTTTGACTTCCTCTTTTCCTAATTGAATACCCTTTATTTCTTTCTCCTGCCTGATTGCCTTGGCCAGAACTTCCAACACCATGTTGAAAAGGAGTGGTGAGAGAGGGCATCCTTGTCTTGTGGTGGTTTTCAAAGGGAATGCTTCCAGTTTTTGCCCATTCAGTATGATATTCGCTATGGGTTTGTCATAAATAGCTCTTATTATTTTGAGATGTGTTCCATCAATACCTAGTTTATTGAGAGTTTTTAGCATGAAGGGCTGTTGAGTTTTGTCAAAGGCCTTTTCTGCATCTGTTGAGATAATCATGTGGTTTTGGTTCTGTTTATGTGATGGATTACGTTTATTGATTGGCATATGTTGAATCAGCCTTGCATCCCAGGGGTGAAGCCAACTTGATCATGGTGGATAGACTTTTTGATGTGCTGCTGGATTCGGTTTGCCAGTATTTTATTGAAGATTTTCGCATCGATGTTAATTAGGGATATTGGTCTAAAATTCTCTTTTTGTTGTTGAGTCTCTTCCAGGCTTTTGTAGCAGGATGATGCTGGCCTCATAAAATGAGTTAGGGAGGATCCCCTCTTTTTCTATTGATTGGAATAGTTTCAGAAGGAATGGTACCAGCTCCTCTTTGTACCTCTTTTAGAATTTGGCTGTGAATCCGTCTGGTCCTGGACTTTTTTTGGTTGGTAGGCTATTAATTATTGCCTCAATTTCAGAACCTGTTATTGGTCTATTCAGAGATTCACCTTCTTCCTGGTTTATTCTTGAGAGGGTGCATGTGTCCAGGAATTTATCCATTTCTTCTAGATTTTCTAGTTTATTTGCATAGAGGTGTTTATAGTATTCTCTGAAGGTAGTTTGTATTTCTGTGGGATTGGTGGTAATATCCCCTTTATCATTTTTTATTGCACCCCTATTTGATTCTTCTCTCTTTTCTTCTTTACTAGTCTTGCTAGCGTTCTATCAATTTTGTTGATCTTTTCAAAAAACCAGCTCCTGGATTCATTGATTTTTTGAAGGGTTTTTTTGTGTCTCTATCTCTTTCAGTTCTGCTCTGATCTTAGTAATTTTTTACCTTTTGCTAGCTTTTGAATTTGTTTGCTCTTGCTTCTCTAGTTCTTTTAATTGTGATGTTATGGTGTTGATTTTAGATCTTTACTGCTTTCAGTTGTGGGCATTTAGTGCTATAAATTTCCTTCTACACACTGCTTTAAATGTGTCCCAGAGATTCTGGTATGTTATGTCGTTGTTCTCATTGGTTTCAAAGAACATCTTTATTTCTGCCTTTATTTTGTTATTTACCCAGTAGCCATTCAGGAGAAGGTTGTTCAGTTTCCATGTAGTTGTGTGGTTTTGAGTGAGTTTCTTAGTATTAAGTTTTAATTTGATTGTGCTGTGGTCTGAGAGATAGTTTGTTGTGATTTCCATTTTTTTACATTTGCTGAGGAGTGCTTTACTTCCAAGTATGTGGTCAATTTTAGAGTAAGTGTGATGTGCTGAGAAGAATGTATATTCTATTGATTTGGGGTGGAGAGTTCTGTAGATGTCTATTAGGTCTGCTTGGTGTAGAGCTGAGTTCAAGTCCTGGATATCCTTGTTAACCTGTCTCATTGATCTGTCTACTATTGACAGTGGGATGTTAAAGTCTCCCATTATTATTATGCGGGAGTCTAAGTCTTTTATAGGTCTCTAAGGACTTGCTTTATGAATCTGCGTGCTCCCATATTGGGTGCATATCTATTTAGGATAGTTAGCTCTTACTGTTGAATTGATCCCTTTAATATTACGCAATGGCCTTCTTTGTCCCTTTTCATCTTTGTTGGTTTAAAGTCTGTGTTATCAGAGACTAGGATCGCAACCCCTGCTTTTTTTTTTTTTTTTTTTTTTTTTTTTTGCTTTCTGTTTGCTTGGTAGACCTTCCTCCATCCCTTTATTTTGAGCCTATATGTGTCTCTGCATGTGAGATGGGTCTCCTGAATATAGCACACTGATGGGTCTTGACTCTTTATCCAATTTGCCAGTCTGTGTCTTTTAATTGGAGCATTTAGCCCATTTACATTTAAGGTTAATATTGTTATATGTGAATTTGATCCTGTCATTATGATGTCAGCTGGTTATTTTTTCCATTAATTGATACAGTTTCTTTATAGCATCGATGGTCTTTACAGTTTGGCATGTTTTTGCAGTGGCTGGTACTGGTCATTCCTTTCCATATTTAGTTCTTCCTTCAGGAGCTCTTGTAAGGTAGGCCTGGTGGTGACAAAATCTCTCAGCATTTGCTTGTCTGTAAAGGATTTTATTTCTCCTTCACTTATGAAGCTTAGTTTGGCTGGATATGAAATTCTGGGTTGAAAATTCTTTTCTTCAAGAGTGTTGAATATTGGCCCTCACTCTCTTCTGGCTTGTAGGGTTTTGGCCAAGAGATCTGCTGTTAGTCTGATGGGCTTCCCTTTGTAGGTAACCTGATCTTCCTCTCTGGCTGCCCTTAACCTTTTTCCCTTCATTTCAACCTTGGTGAATCTGACAATTATGTGTCTTGGGGTTAGTCTTCTTGAGGAGTATCTTTGTGGTGTTCTCTGTATTTCCTGAATTTGAATGTTGGCCTGCCTTGCTAGGTTGGGGAAGTTCTCCTAGATAATATCCTGAAGAGTGTTTTCTGACTTGGTTCCATTCTCCCCATCACTTTCAGGTCCACCAGTCAAACGTAGATTTGGTCTTTTCACATAGTCCCATATTTCTTGGAGGCTTTGTTCCCTTCTTTTTACTCTGTTTTCTCTAATCTTGTCTTCTCGCTATTTCATTAATTTGATCTTCAATCACTGATATCCTTTCTTCCACTTGAATGAATCTGCTGTGAAGCTTGTGTACGCATCATGAAGTTCTTGTGCCATGGTTTTCAGCTCTATCAGGTCATTTAAGGTCTTCTCTCCACTGTTTATTCTAGTACCCATTCATCTAACCTTTTTTTCAAGGTTTTTAGCTTCCTTGGGATGGGTTAGAACATCCTCCTTTAGCTCAGATAAATTTGTTATTTACTGATCTTCTGAACCCTACTTCTGTCAACTTGTCAAAGTCATTCTCTGTCCAGCTTTGTTCTGTTGCTGGCAAGGAGCTGCGATCCTTTGGAGGGGAAGAGGCGCTCTTGTGTTCAGAATTTTCAGGTTTTCTGCTCTGATTTCTCTCCATCTTTGTGGTTTTATCTACCTTTGGTCTTTGATGTTGGTGACCTACTGATGAGGTTTTGGTGAGGATTTTTTTGTTGTTGATGTTGATTCTATTCCTTTCTCTTTGTTTTCCTTTTAACAGTCAGATCCCTCAGCTGCAGGTCTGTTGGAGTTTGCTGGGGGTCCACTCCAGGCCGTTCGCCTGGATATTACCAGTGTAGGCTGCAGAACAGCAAATATTGCAGAACAGCAAATATTGCTTCCTGATCCTTCCTCTGGAAGCTTCGTCCCAGAGGGGCACCTGCCTGTATGAGGTGTCTTTTGGCCCCTACTGGGAGGTGTCTCTGAGTTAGGCTACATGTGGGTCAGGGACCCACTTCAGGAGGCAGTCTGTCTGGAGAATCACTGCTCTCTTCAGAGCTGTCAGACAGGGACGTTTAAGTCTGCAGAAGTTGTCTGCTGCCTTTTGTTCAGTTATGCCCTGCCCACAGAGGTGGTGTCTACAGAGGCAGTAGGTCTTGCTGAGCTGTGGTGGGTTCTGCCCAGTTCGAGCTTCCTGACCACTTTGTTTACCTACTCAAGCCTCAGTAATGTGGATGCCCCTCCCCCCGCCAGGCTGCAGCCTTGCAATTCCATCTCAGACTGCTGCGCTAGCAGTGAGCAAGGCTCTGTGGGCATGAGACCTGCCGAGCCAGGCACAGGAGAGAATCTCCTGGTCTGCTCGTTGCTAAGACCATGGGAAAAGTGCAGTATTTGGGCAAGAGTGTACCGATTTTCCAGGTACAGTCTATCATGGATTCCCTTGGCTAGGAAAGGGAAATCTCCCAACCCTTTGCACTTTCTGGGTGAGGCAATGCCCTGCCCTGCTTTGGCTCACCCTCTGTGGGCTGCACCCATTCTCCAACCAGTCCCAGTGAGACGAACCAGGTATCTCAGTTGGAAATGCAGAAATCACCTATCTTCTGCATCAATCATTCTGGGAGCTGCAGACTGGAGCTGTTCCTATTCGGCCATCTTGGAACAGAAACCAGACCTTTCTGTCTTCTTTTTAGTGAAGGTGATTTTCTCTGGTGGTATGATTTAATTTCTTGCTTTAATTTTTTTAATTAAAAAAAATTTTTTTTAAGACAGAGTCTTGGTCTGTTGCCCATACTGGAGTGCAGTGGTGTGATCATGGCTTACTGCAGCGTCGACCTCCTGGACTCAAGCAATCCTCTCACCTCAGCTCCCTGAGTAGCTGGGCCTACAGGCATTTGCCACCACACCTGGCTAATTTTTAAATTCTTTTCAGAGACAGTGTCTCACTATATTTTCCAAGCTGGTCTGGAACTCCTGGGCTCAAATGATCCACCTATCTTGGCCTCCCAAATCATTGAGATTACAGGTATGAGCCATTGTACATGGTTGCTTTTTATTTTTTGTGTATCCATTGTATGTTTTTTGATTTGAGGTTACCATGAGGCTTGCAAATACTATCTTATAATCAGTTATTTTAAGTTTATAGCAACTTAACACTGTTTGAATAAGAAAACAAACAAAAACTAATAAAATCTCTACACCTTAACTTCATCCCCCTGCTTTTTAACTTTTTGTTGTTTCTATTTATATCTTATAGTACTATTTTTTGAAAAATTATTATTTTCAAATGGCTCATATTTTAGTAATGATTTTTGATTTGTTCATCTTTTAGTCTTTCTACATAAGAGTAGTTTACATACCCCAGTTATAGTGTTATAATATTCTGTGTATTTTTCCGTGTACTTACTATCACCAGTGAATTTTATACCTTTAGATGATTTATTTTTCTTTATTTCTTCTAAAAAAGAAACGGGATACATGTATACATGTATGCAGAACGGGCTGGTTTGGTACATAGGTATACGTGTGCCATGGTGGTTTGCTGCACCTATTGACTCATCCTCTAAGTTCTCTCCCCTCACCCCCACCCCACAACAGGCCCTGGTGTTGTTGTTCCCCTCTCTGTGTCCATGTTTTCTCAATGTTCACCTCCCACTTACGAGTGAGAATATGCGGTGTTTGGTTTTCTGTTCCTGCGCTACTTTGCTGAGGATGAGGGCTTTCAGTTTCATCCATGTCCCTGCAAAGGACACGATCTCATTTTTTATGGCTTCATAGTATTCCATAGTGTATATGTCCACATTTTCTTTATCCAGCCTGTCATTGATGGGAATTTGGGTTGGTTCCATGTCCTGGCTATTGTAAATAGTGGTGCAATAAAAATACATGTGCATATGTCTTTATAGTAGAATGATTTATATTCCTTTGGGAATACACCCAGTAATGGGATTGCTGGGTCAAATGGTATTTCTGGTTCTAGATTCTTGAGGAATTGCCATACTCTCTTCCACAATGGTTGAACTAATTTACACTCCTATATATTCAGAATAGTTAGCTTTTCTTGTTGAATTGTTCCCTTTACCATTATGTAATACCCTTCTTTGTCTTTTTTGATCTTTTTTGGTTTAAAATCTGTTTTGTCAGAGACTAGGATTGCAACCCTGCTTTTTTTTTCTTTTTATTTGTTTGGCAAATTTCCCTGCATCCCTTTATTTTGAGCCTGTGTGTGTCTTTGCACATAAGATGCTTCTCCTGAATACAGCACGCCAATGGGTCTTGACTCCTTTTTTGCCAGTCTGTGTCTTTTAATTAGGGCATTTAGCCCAGTTACATTTTCTTTTCCTTCCTTTCTCTCTCTCTCTTTCTCTGTTTCTCTCTCTCTTTCTTTCTTTTCTTTCTTTCTTTCTCACTCTCACCCAGGCTGGAGTGCAGTGTCATGCTCTCAGCTCACTGCAACCTCCACCTCCCAGATTCAAACAATTCTCCTGCCTCAGCCTCCCTAGTAGCTGGACTATAGGCACCTGCCACCACACCCAGCTGATTTTTGTATTTTTAATAGATATAGATTTTCACCATGTTGGCCAGGTTGGTCTCAAACTCCTGACTGCAGGTAATTCACCTGCCTTGGCCTCCCAAAGTGCTGGGATTACAGGTGTGAGTCACTGTGCCCAGTCCCAGTTACATTTGAGGTTAGTATTGTTACGTTTGGAGTTTGATCATGTCATCATGATGCTCTTTGGTTGTTTTGCACACTAGTTGATGCAGTTTCTTCATGTGTCATTAGTTTTTATATTTTGGTGTGTTTTTGCAGTGGCTGGTACCGGCTTTTCCTTTCCATAGTTAATGTTTCTTTCAGGAGCTCTTGCAGGGCAGGCCTGCTGGTAATGAAATCCCTTAGCATTTGCTTGTCTAGAAAGGATTTTATTTATCCTTTGCTTATGAAGCTTCATTTGGCTGGATATGAAATTCTGGGTTGAAAACTGTTTTCTTTAAGAATGTCAAATATTGGCTCCCAATCTCTTCTGGCTTGTAGAGTTTCTGCTGAGAGGTCTGCTGTTAGTCTGATGGGCTTCCCTTTGTAGGTGACCTGGCCTTTCTCTCTGGCTGCCCTTAACAGTTTTTCCTTCATTTCGACTTTGGAGAATCTGATGATTGTGTGTCTTGGGGTTGATCTTCTCGTGGACTATCTTAATGGTGTTCTCTGTATTTCCTGAATTTGCATGTTGGCAAAGTTGGGGAAGTTCTCCTGGATCTTCCCAGGAGATCATATCCTGGGAAATCTTCCTGGATCATATGCTGAAGTGTGTTTTCCATCTTGTTTCCATTCTCCCTGTCTCCTGGTACTCCAATCAATCGTAGATTTGGTCATTTTATGAAGTACCATATTTCTTGGAGGCTTTTTTCATTCCTTTTCATTTTTTTTTTTAATTCTTGTCTGCATGTCTTATTTCAGTAAGGTGGTCTTCACACTGATATCCTTTCTTCCGCTTGGTTGATTCAGCTGTTGATACTTGTGTATTCTTCATGAAATTCTTGTGCTGTGTTTTGCAGCTCCATCAGGTCATTTATGTTCCTCTCTAAACTGGCTATTCTAGTTAGCAATTCCTCTAACTTTTTATCAAGGTTCTTAGCTTCTTTGCATTGGGTTAGAACATGCTTCTTTAACTCATCATAGTTTTTTAGTACCCATCTTCCAAAGCCTACTTCTGTCAATTCTTTCATCTGATCCTCCATCCAGTTCTGTGCCCTTGATGGAGAGACATTGCAATCATTTGGAGGAGAAGAGGCACTCTGACCTTTTGGGTTTTCAGCATTTTTTCATTGATTCTTATCTTTGTGAGTTTGTCTAGTTTTGGACTTTGAGGCTGCTGACCCTTGGATGGGGTTTTTGTAGATGCCTTTTTGTTGTTGTTGTTGTTGATGCTGTTGTTGTCACTTTCTGCTTGTTTTTCTTTCAATAGTCAGGTCCCTCTTCTTTAGGGCTGCTGCAGTTTGCTGGGGATTTGCTTCAGGCCTTATCTGATTTGCTCCCGTGCCTGGAGATGTCATTCAAGGAGTCTGGAGAGCAGCCAAGATTGGTGCCTCCTCCTTCTTCTGGGACCTCTGACCTCAAGGGGCACCACCCTGATGCCAGTAGGATCGTTCCTATATAGAGTATCTGACAACCCCTGTTGGAGTGCCTCACCCAGTTGGGTGGTACAGGGAGCAGGACTCGTTTAATGAAGCACTTTGTCCCTTGGTGGAGAGGGTGTGTTTTGTGGGGGGAAACCCACTTGTCTGGGCTGCCTGGATTCCTCAGAACCACCAGGAGGATCAGCTAAGTTTGCTGGTCTGCAGAGACTGCAGCCATCCCTCCCCTTAGGGGCTCAGGCCCAGGGAGATCTGAATTCTGTCCCTGAGCCTCTGGCTGGAGTTACTGGAGATCCTGCAGGGAAGCCCCGCCCACTGAGGAAGGATGGGTCAGGGTTAGACCTGAAGAGGCACTCTGGCTGCTGACTGCCATAGCCAATGTGTTAGGCTGTGGGGACAAGTATTGGGACCAAGCCGTCCAGCCTCCCTGGCTCCAGCAGCGGAAAAGCGCAGCCTGGAGCTATAGAAATGGGTGTCACTCTTCTCCCACGCAGGGAGCATGTTAGGCAGTTGTGAGTCCCAGTGCTGGCTGCTGCCCCTCCCTCGAGGAGCTCAAACAGCTTAGAGAGCAGGCAGCAGCAGCCGGTGCTGGTCGCCCCTCCCCACAGGAGTTTGGTAGGCTTAAGCAGATTCCAGCTGAAAAGCTGTAAGAATCCACGCATTCCAGGACTGGGATGCTAGGCCCCGGTGGCATGGGTTCGCGAGCGGGGTCTTCTGATCTGTGGGTTGCACGGTTTCCCCAGCTGGGTAGCATGCTCACTCACCGCCTCCCTTGGCTGGGGAGAGGTGGTTCCCCTTCCCCACGTGGCTCTCAGGTAGGCTGCAGCACCACACTGCTCTCCCTTCTCTCCGTGGGTCATGCCAGCCTTCTACTCAATTTTGATGAGAGAACCTGGATACCTTGGTTGCCGGTGAAGGATTCACAGGCGTATTATGATTTTTTTTGATGGGAGCTGTAAAGTCCTCTGAGCTGGCCGCACCATGGTCAGGCCATCGTGACATTCCCCCGCCCTTGTGATAATGTACTTTGTGATATTCCCCATCCCTGTGAATGTACTTTGTAAGATTCCTCCCTGCCCTTGTGACAATACACCGTCCCGCCCTTGTGAATGTACTTTTTAACATTCCTCCCCGCCCTTGTGAATATACTTTGTAACGTCCATCCCCTGCCCTTAAAAAATTGCTCCTGACTCCACTGCCTATCTGAAACCTGTAGGAACCAATGATAATCCCACCACCCTTTGCAGACCCCTTTCTCGGACTCAGCCCACTTGCACCCAAGTGAATAAACAGCCTTGTTTCTCACACTAAGTCTGCTCAGTTCGTCTCTTATACGAACGCGCATAACAGGAGCCTCCAAACGCAGCTGCTTCTAGTTGGCCATCTTGGCACTGCCGGCCCTTTCAGATGATTTCTTATTGCTCATTAACATTCTTTTATTTCTGACTGAAGTACTCCCATTAGAATTTCTTATAGAACCAGGTCTGGTATTGATGAAGTCCTTCAGCTTTTGTTTGTCGGGGAAAGTCTTTATTTTTCCTTCATGTTTGAAAGACATTTTTGCCAGATATACTATTCTAGGGTAAAAGTTTTTTTCCTTTGGCATTTTAAATTTGTGTCACTTTCTCCAGACCTGTAAGGTTTCCACTGAAAAGTCTGCTGCCAGATGTATTGGAGCTCCATTGTATTTATTTGTTTCTTTTCTCTTGCTGCTTTTAGGATCCTTTATACTTGACCTTTGGGAGTTTGATTACTATTTATTACCTCCTTGAGGTAGTCTTCTTTGCTTGGTGTTTTATAATCTTCTTGTACTCTGATATTGATATCTTTCTCTAGGTTTAGGAACTTTTCTGTTATTATCCCTTTGAGTGAACTTTCTATGCCTATGTCTTTCTCTAGCTCCTCTTTAACGCCAATAACTCTTAGATTTACCCTTTTGAAACTATTTTCTAGATCCTGTAGGTGTGCTTCGTTATTTTTTATTCTTTTTTCTTTTGTCTCTTCTGACTGTATATTTTCAAATAGTCTGTCTTCAAGCTTACTAATTCATTCTTCTGCTTGATTTATTCTGCCATTAAAAGACTCTGATGACCATGTTGGCCAGGCTGGTCTCGAACTCTAAGGTCAGGAGTTTGAGACCAGCCTGACCAACATGGTGAAACCCCGTCTCTACTAAAAATATGAAAATGAGCCAGGCATGGTGGCAGGCACCTGTAATCCTAGCTGCTTGGGAGGCTGAGGCATGAAAATCGCTTGAACCCGGGAGGTGGAGGTTGCAGTGAGCCGAGATCACGTCATTGCACTCCAGACTGGGTGACAAGAAACTATCTCAAAAAAAAAAAAAAAAAAAAAAAGGCTCTGATGTGTTTCTTAACATTTCAGTTTCATTTTTCAGCTCCAGAATGTGTGCTTATTTTAATTATTTCAATCTCTTTGTTAAATTTATGTGATAGAATTCTGAATTCCTTCTCTATCTCTGTGATAGAATTCTGAATTCCTTCAAAGAAATCTTGAATTTCTTTGAATTTCCTCAACACAGTTATTTTGAATTCTCTGTCTGAATAGTTACATATCTCTGTTTCTCCAGGATTGGTCCCTGGTGCCTTATTTAGCTTGTTTGTTGAGGTCATGTTTTCCCAGATGGTGTTGATGCTTGTAGATGTTCTTTGGCGTCTGGGCAGAAGGCTTAGGTATTTATTGTAGTCTTCACAGTCTGGGCTTATTTGTACCCATCCTTTTCAGAAAGGTTTTCCCTGTAATCAAAAGGATTTGGGTACTATGACCTAAGCCATATCTACATTAGGGGGCACCTTGAGCTCAGTAACATTGTGGTTCTTGTAGAGTCATCGAGGTGCTACCTTGGCAGTCTTGGATAACGTCCAGATGGATTCTCTGGATTACCAGGTAGGGACTCTTGTTCTCTTCTCTTTCTCTGAAATAAACAGTCTCTCTCTCTCTCTCTGTGCTGAGCTTCCTGGAGCTGGGAGTGGGATGACAGAAGCAGCCCTGTGGCCATCACCACTGGGACTGCTGCAGTGCATCATACTTGAAGCCAATACAGCACTGGATCTTGCCCAAGGCTTGCTGTAATCACTCCCTTGCTACTGCTTATGTTCGCTCAAGGCCCTAGGGCTGTACAATCAGCAGGTGGCAAGCGGCAAAGCTAGTCAAGCTTGAGTTCTTGTTTTCAGGTCAGTGAGTTACCTCAGGTGCCAGGTGGGTCCAGAGATGTTGTCCAGGAACCAGGGACTGGAGTAAAAAACCTTAGACATCTACTTGGTGTTCTCTTGTACTGCTGTTGAGCTGGCACTCAAACAACAAGACATAGTCCTTCCCATTCTTCCCTCCTCTTTACACAGGCAAAGGAACCTGACCCTGTGGCCGCTACCACCACAGGCCCACGGAAAGTACTGCCAGGCATCCACCAGTGTTCACGTAAGGTGCATGGGCTCCTCAGGAAGCTTGTGGTGAATGGTGCCAGGCTGGGACTCACTTTTCAGAGTAGTGGGCTTCCCTCTGGCCCAGCATGGGTTTAGAAATGCCATCCAAGAACCAAGGCCTGGAATCAGGATTCTTAAGAGCCCAACTGGTACTCTACCCCATTGTGGCTGAGCTAGTACCTAAGATGCAAGCCAAAGTCCCCTTTACTTTTCCCTCTGCTTTTCTCAAGGAGATGGAGCCTCTCACCATAGCCACCACAGCTGGGAATATGCTGTGTCTCGCCTGAAGCCAGCATGGTTGAGAGTCTCCCCAAGACTCACAGAGTACTACCTGGGTATCACTGCTGGTTATTCAGTTCCCAAGGGCTTCTTAGTCAGCAGGTGATGGGACCTTCAAGGCAGTGGGTTCACTTCTGGCCTAGGGTATGTCTAGAAATGTCTGAGAGCTAGGGCCTCATGACTGCCCAGTGCCCCATCCTCGTGTCTGAGCTGGTACCCAAAATGCAAGACAAAATTCTCTCTTCTCCCAGGAGGAAGGATGGAGTTTCTTTTGGAACTGTGAGCTGTACAGCCTGCAGTTGGGTGAGGGGCGGTATATGCATTCCCTTAGCTGCCCTGGCTGATAGTAAGGTCATGTGCTCCCCTAGTCCACTGGCTCTGAGCCCAGCTTAGTGCTAGGACTCACCTAGGAGTTGCAGTCCTTGTGGCCTAGACTTCGTTTCAAGTTTATTTAGGGCCCCAGTGCATTTCAACCCACAGTGGCAAGACTTTCTAGAACTTAAGTTTTTTTGGGATGGGCAATTTCCCTCTGGCTAGGGCCAGTCCAAATGCTTTCTTTGTGGGCAGGTATCAGCTATATACAGTTCGGTTCTGTTTTCTTCTGTGAGAGGGCAGCACTGAGTTCAATGCAAAGTCCCCAAATTGCTGTGTTCTCTCTACCCAAGTGCACAGATTTTCCATGCCATGTAGCTGCTGCCAGGAGTTTGGGAAGGGGTAACATCAGCAATTCAAGACACTTTCCTGCCCTTTTCAGTGCCTCTTTCAGAAATATGAAATTAAAATCAGGTACTATGTGGTGCTTACTTGATTTTTAGTTTTTATGAATGTACTTTTTTGTGTAGATACTTGTTAAATTTGATGTTCCTACATGAGGGACAATTAGTGCAACCTTCTACTCCACCATCTTGCTTCACCTCGCTTCTTCATTTTTAAATGAGAGATTCTTTGGACAGAATTCTTAGTTGACTGTCATTTTCTTTTAACACTTTGAAGATCTTATCCCTCTGTCTTCTGGCCCCCATGGTTTCTTATAAGAAGTCAGCTATTAATCTTGTTGAGGATTCCTTGTACATGGTAGGTTGTTTTTCTCTTGCCACCTTCAGGATTCTCTCTTAGTGTTTGACTTTTTTCCATTTGACTTGAGTATGTCTTGGTGGAAATCTCTGAGTTTATTCTACTCGGAGTTCATTGAGCTTTTTGGATTTACAGACTCATTTATGTTTATCAACTCAGAGTTTTTAGTCACAAATTTTCTTTCAGTCCCATTCTCTTTTTCCTCTTTTTCTTGGGCCTCTGTTTTGCATATGCGGTATACTTGGTAGTTTCTTGTATATCTCTGAGGCTCTGCTCCCCTTCTTTTCATTCTCTTTTCTTTCTTCTCCTCAGACTGAATGATTTCAGTTGACCTACCTATCTTTAAATTTGATAATTCTTCTGCCTGCTCTAATCAGCTATTAAAACACTATAATAAATTTTTCATTTTAGTTATTGTACTTCTCAGCTGCAGAATTTTCATTTGGTTCCTGTTAATAATTTTTATCTCATTATTCCTATCCTTTATTTGTTGAGACAGTCTCCTGGCTTCCTTTAGCTCTTTACTCATGGTTCCTTTACCTCTTTGGACACATTAATAGTAGCTAATTTAACATCTTTTTCTGCTAAATCCAAAATGGTCCCCTCATGGATATTTTCTATTAGTTGCTTTTTTCAATGTACATGTGATATTTTCCTGTTTTTTTCATAAGTGTCATAATTTTTCATTGAAAGCTGGACATTTTAGAAAATATATTTTAACAACTCTGATATCAGATTCTTCTATCCCCTAAGGTTTGTCATTATTGCCATTTTGGCTGTGGTTTTTCTTGTTGTTTATTTGTGTCTGTTTGATTTTTCTGTATTAATTCTATAGGTCATGATAATACAGGAGTTATTAAGATACTAGTTTTAGGCAGTTAGAAAGGGTAAAAGAGTTCTCAGTAGAATTTTCCTTTATTAAAAAGCAACCCCAAACCATTTCTTCTCTAACAGAAAGCAGCCTGAAGAGTAAGTCATAGTTACGTAAACTAGGATCTTTTATATGTAAATTCCATCAGCTGTACCTGGAAGCCAGGTACATTCAATATGGTGTCTCCTGCCCTCTTTTCCTTGTCACCATTTGTGCTGGTGTCATGGCAACCTTCAGGTAAAACCTGTACAGGTATCATGGTGACCCACCAGGTAGAAGCCACATTTGTATAACAAAAGGTTAGGGTGGGAGGCCAATCTTTTCACGGGCTATGTAAATGGCACACCTGGTCAAACTGATCCCCTGATCCCTATGTAGATCAATCACCACCTTCTTAAGCCTCTGTACACAATTGATTGCATTCCACTGCAAACCAGAGACCTTTTCTTGGGAGACTTGCTTTCTCAGCATGAGGAAACCTTTTTTCTCTCTCTTCTTTTTTGCCTATTAAACCTTCCACTCCTAAATCCACTCCTCATGTGTGTCCATGTTCTGAATTCTTTCTCAGCCAAGACGAAGAACCAGGGTATATACCCCAGACAAAGAAGCCATTTCACTGATTCCTTGCTGTGTTGTAGTGTATGGCCACAGTTCTTTGCTGCTTTTATTTTTTTAAGTTATTGCTTTTGTTTTTAAGCCCTGGCTTTCTAGGGATCACTCTTGGATTAGTATAATTTAGTGGCTAACTGATAGTTGGTTAGATTTTCTTAAATGTTTTGACAGTAGTGTTTCATGCTTTGCCAAAGGGTTCTGTGTGAGATATCATGCCTCCAGCCGTCAGGCACTTTAAGACTGCTTTATTCCCTGCTTGGACAGGACCTCAAGGTCAGTCAGAGACGAATGACTGATGCCATCTTTGCCAGGTCTTTCCTTGGCATGTGCACAGTCTTTTAGATTTTAGGAATATGTTTGAGCTTTTTAAAATTCCCTAAGCAAATTCTTGAGAACTAGATTAAGCAGCAAAACATTCAAGAGATGACTTGGGTGCTGTCAAAGTCATTCAAGAATTTTCTTTTAAATTCTAAGCCAGGCTCTTCTTTGCCCCAACTAACATGATAGCCTTAGGCAGTTGTAATGTTGCCAGCAGTTTGCTATTGTTTTGATAATTGCCTGAGGATAACCCCCCTCCCCCACCTGCTAAGCTGAGTTCTGAGGAGAACCAGAGTGAGGTAGTCACCGTACTCTGAGAATTGAAATTTTTCTGGGAGATGCATGTTCAGACAAAACATTGACTGTGTTCTGGGGATGGTTCTTGTAATGGAATTCCAAAAGCAGTCAAAGATGCTGGCTTTTGGCTTCTGCCAGTGAGCTGGAGAGGGAGGAGTCATGGGAATAGACCCAAGTTTAAAATATCACAGACAACCCTGATATCGTTTGGTTGTGTCCCCACCCAAATCTCATCTTGAATTCCCATGTGTTGTGGGAGGGACCTGGTAGGAGGTAATTGAATCATGGGGACAGGTCTTTCCTGTGCTGTTCTTGTGATAGTGAATAAGTCTCAGGAGATTTGATGATTTTAAAAAGAGGTGTTTCCCTGCACAAGCTCTCTTTGACTGCTGCCATCCATGTAAGATGTGACTTGCTCCTCCTTGCCTTCCTCCATGATTGTGAGGCTTCCCTGGCCATGTGGAAGTTTAAGTCCCTTAAACTCTTTTTCCTGTGTAAATTACCCAGTCTCAGGTATGTCTTCATCAGCAGCATGAAAATGGACTAATACAGTAAATTGGTACCAGGAATTAGGTGCTGCTGAAAAGATACCCAAAAATTTGGAAGCGGCTTTGGAACTGGGTAACAGGCAGAGGTTGGAAGAGTTTGGAGGGCTCAGAAGAAGACAGGAAAATGTGGGAAAGTTTGGAATCTTTTAGAGACTTGTTGAATGGCTTTGACTAAAATGCCAATAATGATATGGACAATGAAATCCAGGCTGAGATGGTCTCAGCTGGAGATGAGGAACTTGTTGGGAACTGGAGCAAAGGTGATTCTTGTTACATTTTAGCACAGAGACTGGTGGCATTTTGCCCCTGTCCTAGAGATTTTTGGAACTTTAAACTTGGGAGAGATGATTTAGGGGTATCTGGCAGAAGAAGTTTCTAAGCAGCAAAACATTCAAGAGATGACTTGGGTGCTGTCAAAGTCATTCAATTTTGAAAGAGAAACAGGGCATAAAAGTTTGGAAAATTTGCAGCCTGACAATGTGATAGAAAAGAAAATCCCATTTTTTTTCTGAGCAGAAATTCAAGCTGGCTGCAGAAATTTGCATAAGTAATGAGGAGCTGAATGTTAATCATTAAGACAATGGGGAAAGTGTCTCCAGGGCATGTCAGAGACCTTTGTGGCAGCCCCTCCCATCAGAGGCCTGGAGGCCTAGGAGGAAAAAATGATTTTGTGGGCTGAGCCCAAGGTTCCTGTGCTGTGTGCAGCCTAGGGACTTGGTGCCTTGCATCCCAGCCACTCCAGCTGTGGCCGAAAGGGACCAAAGTTGAGCTCAGGCCGTGGCTTCAGAGGATGCTAGCCTCAAGCCTTGGCAACTTCCATGTGGTGTTGACCCCGTTAGTGCACAGAAGTCAAGAATTGGGGTTTGGGAATCTCCACCTAGATTTCAGAGGATGTATGGAAATGCCTGGAAGTCCAGGAAGCAGTTTGCTGCAGGAATGGGGCCCTCTTGGAGAACCTTTGCTAGGGCAATGCAGAAGGGAAATGTGGGGTCAGAGCCTCCACACAGAGTCCCTACTGGGGCACTGCCAAGTGGAGCTGTGAGAAGAGGGCCACCATCCTCCAGACCCCAGAATGCTAGATCCACCAACACTTTGCACTGTGCACCTGGAAAAGCCACAGACATTCAATGCCAGCCCGTGAAAGCAGCTGGGAAGGAAGCTATACCCTGGAAAGCCACAAGGGCAGAGCTGTCCAAGACCATGGGAACCCACCTTTTGCATCAGTGTGACCCAGATGTGAGACACGGAGTCATAGGAGATCATTTTGGAGCTTTAAGATTTGACTGCCCTGCTGGATTTTGGACTTACATAGGGCCTATAGCCCCTTTGTTTTAGCCAATTTTTCCCATTTGGGATGGCAATATTTACCCAATTCCTGTACCCTCATTGTATCTGGGAAGTAACCAACTTGCCTTTGATTTTACAGGCTCATAGGTGGAAGGGACTAACCTTGTCTCAGATGAAACTTTGGACTGTGGACTTTGGGTTAATGCTGAAATGAGTTAAGACTTTGGGGGACTGTTGGGAAGGCATGATTGGTTTTGAAATGTCTGGACATGCGATTTTGGAGGGACCAGGGGCACAATTATATGGTTTGGCTGTGTCTCCACCCAAATCTCATCTTGAATTTCCATGTGTCGTGGGAGGGACCTGGTAGGAGATAATTGAATCATGGGGGGCAGGTCTTTCCTGTGCTGTTCTTGTGATAGTGAATAAGTCTTAGGAGATCTGATGATTTTAAAAAGAGGTGTTTCCCTGCACAAGCTCTCTTTGCCTGCTGCCATCCATGTAAGACGTGAGTTGCTCCTCCTTGCCTTCCTTCATTATTGTGAGGCATCCCCAGCCAGTGGAACTGTAAGTCCATTAAACCCCTTTTCCTGTATAAATTACCTAGTTTTGGGGTATGTCTTTATCAGCACGATGAAAACAGACTAATACAACCCCCTCCCCCATCTTACCAAGATTGAGTAGTTTTTTTTTTTTTGATAACTTCCAGTTTGTGTTTTGACCTCCATGTGTAATCATCTGAGGGGTTCTTCCTGCCCATTGCATAAAGAGAGACCATGAAATTGTAGCAGAGAAAGAGTTTAATAGACATGAGCTGGACATGTTATGTGCGAGATGAAGTTTGTACTCAAATAATCTCATTCAAAGCCCATATGTTAGGGGTTTTTCAAGGACAGTTTGGGAAAAGGGGTGGGGGTGGCCAGGTACCAGGTGCTTGCTGCTGATTGGCTGGGGCAGAGATGAAATCATGGGGGTCAAAGCTTTCCTCCTGCAGGCCAAATCACTTCTGGGTGGGGCTACAGGAGTGGGGTTGTCGGTTCAGGTAGAGCCATCAGGTCCAGGTGGAGACATGGGTGTCAGATATGCAAAAAATTCTGGAAAGATATCTCAAAAGGCCAATCTACCATAATGGTGTTATTTGCAAGAGTAATTGGTGAATTTGCATATCTTATAAGCTCTGGAATAATGTCTGCACCTTAGCAGGACTCAGGCTCCTCTCCTCCCTTTAGCCTGATGGCTTCCTATTAGCTTTACAAAAGCAGTTGAGTTTTGGGCAATGTCTATTATCATTTAAACTGTAGCCTGAATGTCTTCCAAAGTTAGCATGGCCCAATATGCCAGGAATAATAAAGGAAAGGCAAGATGGGGGTTAGCTTAGCTTAGTTTACTGTAATAATTTTTTCACTGATATAATTTCTGCAAAGGTGATTTTACATATAGTGAGGAATTGGCTTATGTGATTATGAAGGTTGAGTAATATCATGATCTGCTGTTTGCAAGTTGGAGACCTAGGACATCCAGTGGTATAATTCCAGTCTGAGTTCAAAGGCCTGAGAACCAGGGGAGCCAGTGGTATAAATTCCAGTCCAAGAGCAAAAGACCAATATTTCAGCTCAAGCAGGCAGGCAGGAAAAAAAAAGAGCATATTCCTTCATCTTCTGCCTTTTTGTTCTGTTCAGGACCTCAATGGATTGCATGATGCCCACCTGTATTGGGAAGGATAATTTACATTACTGAGTCCACCAATTCAAATGCTAATCTCATCTAGAAACACCCTTCCAGACACACCCAGAAATAATGTTTTATCTGAGCACTCTGTTGTGCAATTAAGTGAAAAACAAAATTAACCATGACAGTTGTTTGGCTCATATTTTTATTGTTTAGAGGTAGAGTAAATTCACAAAGCTCCTCGTTTTGTCATTTCAGAAGTAGGACCTTAATTATATAATCTTAAGACTTAAAATGTTTTCCTAAGGCTTTTGTGATAGCAAATAAAGTTTTGCACCACTTTTATAAATTTTTGAGGGAATCAGCAGACACCAAATGGTAAACCACTAATTTTTTTATCACCTCATTTTAGAAGATTATATAGATTGTACATTTATTAGTTAAGATTTCTCTATTTTTGGACATATGGGATTATATTAAATTAAAAAGCTTCACCGAAAAGGAAACAGTCAACGAAGTGAAGAGACAACCCACAGAATGAGAGAAAATATTTGCAACTATTCATCTAACAAGGGATTAGTTACCAGATTATATAAGGGACCCAAACAACTCTATAGGAAAAAATCTGATAATGCAGTTAAAAATGGGCAAACAATCTGAATAGACATTTCTCAAAAGAAGACATACAAATGGCAAACAGGTATATGAAAAGGTGCTCAACATAATTGATCATCAGAGAAATGCAAATCAAAACTTCAATGAGATATCATCTCACCTCAGTTAAAATGGCTTTTATCCAAAAGACAGGCAATTAACAAATGCTGCCAAGGATGTGAGGAAAAGGGAACCCTTGTACCCTGTTGGTGGGACTGTAAATTAGTACACCCACTATGGAGAAAGGTTTGGAGGTTCCTCAAAAAACTAAAAATAGCGCTACCTTATGATCCAGTAATCCCACTGCTAGGTATATACCCCAAAGCAAGGAAACCCAATGTATCAAAGAGATAGCTGCACTTTCATGTTTATTGCAGCACTATTTACAATAGCCAATATTTGGAAGCAACCTGAGGGATATGGTTTGGATTTGTGTCCTCACCCAAATCTCATATTGAATTGTAACCCCAATGTTCAAGGAGGGACCTGGTGTTGATGATTGAACCATGGGGATGGGCTTCTTCCTTACTGTTCTTGTGATAGTGACTGAGATCTGGTTATTTTAAAGTGTGTAGCACCTCCCCCTTTACTCTCTTCCTCCTGCTCCAGCCATGTAGGACATGTCTGCTTCCCCTTTGCCTTCCATCATGATTATAAGTTTCCTGAGGCCTCCCCAGCCATGTTTCCTGTACAGCCTATGGAACTGTGAGGCAATTAAACCTCTCTATAAATTACCCAGTGTTAGGTACTTCTTGATAGCAATGCGAGAATGAACTAATACAGAAAATTGGTACCTAAGAGTGGGGCATTGCTATAAAGATACCTGAAAATGTGGAAGCAACTTTGAAACTGGGTAACAGGCAAAAGTTAGAACATTTGGGAGGGCTCAGAAAAAGACAAGAAGATGAGGGAAAGTTTGGAACTTCCTAGAGACTTGTTAAACTATTGTAACCAAAATGCTGATAGTGAAAAGGACAAGGAAGTCCAGGCTGAGGTGGTCTCAGAAGGAAACGAGGAACTTATTGGGAACTGTAGCAAAGATCACTTTTGTTATGTGTTATCAAAGAGGTTGGAGGCATTGTGCCTCTGCCCTAGGGATCTGTGGAACTTTGACCTTGAGAAGGATGATTTAGGGCGTCTGGCGGAAGAAATTTCTAAGTGACAAAATGTTCAAGAGTGAACTGGCTACTTCTAGCAGCCTAGGCTTATATTTGTGAGCAAAGAAATGACCTGGAATTAGAACTTATATTTAAAAGGGTAACAGAGTATAAAAGTTTGGAAAATTTGCAGCTTGGCCATGTGGCAAAAAGGAAAAACCCATTTTCTGGGGACGAATTCAAGCTGGCTGCAGAAATTTGCATAAGTAAGGAGGAGACAAATGTCAATAGCCAAGACAATGGGGAAAATGCCTTGAAGGCATTTTAGATACCTTTGCAGCAGCCCCTCCCATCACAGGCCTGGAGGCTTAGGTTTCATGGGCCATGGGCTGGGCCCAGGGCCCTGCTGCCCTGTACCACATCAGGACACTGCTCCTTGCATCCTAGCTGCTCCAGCTCCAGCTGTAGCTAAAAGGGCCCCAGATATGTCTCAGGTCACTGCTTCAAAGGATGCAATCTGTAAGCCTTGGTGGTTTCCACATGGTGTTAAGCCTGTGGGTGTGCAGAGGCTAAGAGTTGAGGCTTGGGAACCTCCGCTTAGATTTCAGAGGACGTATGGAAATACCTGGATATCCAGACAGAAGTCTGCTGCAGGGGCAGAGCCCTCATGGAGAACCTCTACTAGGGCAGTGCAGAGGGGAAATGTGGGGTTTGAGACCTCACACAGAGTCCCCACTGGGGCACTGCCTAGTGGAGCTGTGAGAAGAGGGTCACCATCCTCCACACCCCAGAATGGTAGATCCATCGACAGCTTGCACCATGTGCCTAGAAAAGCTGCAGGCACTCCACCCTAGCCTCTGAAAGCAGTCATGGGGGCTGTACCTTGCAGAGCCACAGGGGTGGAGCTGCCCGAGGCCTTGGGAGCCCACCTGTTGCATCAACATGGCCTGGATGTGAGACAGGGAGTCAAAGGAGGTTATTTTGAAGCTTTAAGATTTAATGAGTGTCATCCTGGGTTTTGGACTTCCATGGGACCTGTAGCTCCTTTGTTTTGGCCAGTCTCTTCCTTTTGGAACAGGAGTATTTTTCCAATGCCCATATCCTCATTGTATCTTGTAAATAACTAACTGGTTTTGAGTTAGGGACTTGCCTTGTCTCAGATGAGACTTTGGACTGTGGACTTCTGAGTTAATGCTGGAATGAGTTAAGACTTTGGGGGACTATTGGGAAGGCATAATTGTATTATGAAATGGGAGAAGAAAATGAGATTTGGGAGGGGCCAGGGGTGGAATGATATGTTTTGTATTTCTGTCCCCACCCAAATCTCATGTCAAATTATAATCCCCAGTGTTAGAGGAGGTGCCTGGTGGGATGTAATTGGATCGTGGGGCAGACTTCTCTCTTGCTGTTCTCATGGTAGTGACATCTGAGAGACCTCATGAGATATGGTTGTTTAAAAGTGTGTAGCACCTCCCCCTTTGTTCTCTTCCTCCTTCTCTAGCCATGTAGGACATGTCTGCTTCCTCTTCACTTTCTGTCATGATTGTAAGTTTCCTGAGGCCTCCTCTGCCATGCTTTCTGTACATCCTGCAGAACTGTGAGCGAACTGAAGCTCTTTTCTTTATAAATTACCCAGACTCAGGTAGTTCTTTATAGCAATGTGAGAATGGACTAATACACTATGTGTTCATCAACAGATGAATGGATAAAGAAAATGCAGGACATATGGTGGGAGGAGCCAAGATGGCCGAATAGGAACAGCTCCGGTCTACAGCTCCCAGTGTGAGCGACACAGAAGACAGGTGATTTCTGCATTTCCATCTGAGGTACTGGGTTCATCTTACTAGGGAGTGCCAGACAGTGGGCGCAGGACAGTGGGTGCAGCGTACCATGCACGAGCCAAAGCAGGGCAAGGCATTGCCTCACTCGGGAAGCGCAAGGGGTCAGGGAGTTCCCTTTCCTGGTCAAGGAAAGGGGTGACAGACGGCACCTGGAAAATCGGGTCACTCCCACCCAAATACTGCGCTTTTCCAACAGGCTTAGGAAACGGCACACCAGGAGATTATATCCCGCACATGGCTCGGAGGGTCCTACGCCCACAGAGTCTCGCTGATTGCTAGCACAACACTCTGAGATCAAACTGCAAGGTGGCAGAGAGGCTGGGGGAGGGGCGCCCACCATTGCCCAGGCTTGCTTAAGTAAACAAAGCAGGCGGGAAGCTCGAGCTGGGTGGAGCCCACCACAGCTCAAGGAGGCCTGCCTGCCTCTGTAGGCTCCACCTCTGGGGGCAGGGCACAGACAAACAAAAAGACAGCAGTAGCCTCTGCAGTCTTAAATGTCCCTGTCTGACAGCTTTGAAGAGAGCAGTGGTTCTCCCAGTACGCAGCTTGAGATCTGAGAATGGGCAGACTGCCTCCTCAAGTGGGTCCCAGACCCCTGACCCCCGAGCAGCCTAACTGGGAGGCACCACCCAGTGGGGGCAGACTGACACCTCACACAGCTGGGTACTCCTCTGAGACAAAACTTCCAGAGGAACGATCAGACAGCAGCATTCGTGGTTCACGAAAATCCGCTGGTCTGCAGGCACCGCTGCTGATACCCAGGCAAACAGGGTCTGGAGTGGACCTCTAGCAAACTCCAACAGTCCTGCAGTTGAGGGTCCTGTCTGTTAGAAGGAAAACTAACAAACAGAAAGAACATCCACACCAAAAACCCATCTGTACATCACCATCATCAAAGACCAAAAGTAGATAAAACCACAAAGATGGGGAAACAACAGAGCAGAAAAACTGGAAACTCTAAAAAGCAGAGCGCCTCTCCTCCTCCAAAGGAACGCAGTTCCTCACCAGCAACCGAACAAAGCTGGACGGAGAATGACTTTGACGAGTTGAGAGAAGAAGGCTTCAGATGATCAAACTACTCCAACCTACAGGAGGAAATTCAAACCAAAGGCAAAGAAGTTGAAAACTTTGAAAAAAATTTAGATGAATATATGACTAGAATAACCAATACAGAGAAGTGCTTAAAGGAACTGATGGAGCTGAAAGCCGAGGCTCAAGAACTACGTGAAGAATGCAGAAGCCTCAGGAGCTGATGCGATCAACTGGAAGAAAGGGTATCAGTGATGGAAGATGAAATGAATGAAATGAAGCAAGAAGGGAAGTTTAGAGAAAAAAGAATAAAAAGAAACGAACAAAGCCTCCAAGAAATATGGGTCTATGTGGAAAGACCAAATCTACGTCTGATTGGTGTACCTGAAAGTGATGGGGAGAATGGAACCAAGTTGGAAAACACTCTGCAGGATATTATCCAGGAGAACTTCCCCAATCTAGCAAGGCAGGCCAACATTCAGATACAGGAAATACAGAGAACGCCATAAAGATACTCCTCGAGAAGAGCAACTCCAAGACACATAATTGTCAGATTCACCAAAGTTGAAATGAAGGAAAAAATGTTAAGGGCAGCCAGAGAAAAAGGTCGGGTTACCCACAAAGGGAAGCCCATCAGACTAATAGCGGATCTCTCGGCAGAAACTCTACAAGCCAGAAGAGAGTGGGGGCCAATATTCAACATTCTTAAAGAAAAGAATTTTCAACCCAGAATTTCATATCCAGCCAAACTAAGCTTCATAAGTGAAGGAGAAATAAAATACTTTACAGACAAGCAAATGCTGAGAGATTTTGTCACCACCAGGCCTGCCCTAAAAGAGCTCCTGAAGGAAGCACTAAACATGGAAAGGAACAACTGGTACCAGCCGCTGCAAAATCATGCCAAAATGTAAAGACCATCAAGACTAGGAAGAAACTGCATCAACTAATGAGCAAAATAACGAGCTAACATCATAATGACAGGACCAAATTCACACATAACAATATTAACTTTAAATGTAAATGGACTAAATGCTCCAATTAAAAGACACAGACTGGCAAATTGGATAAAGAGTGAAGACCCATCAGTGTGCTGTATTCAGGAAAGCCATCTCACGTGCAGAGACACACATAGGCTCAAAATAAAAGGGTGGAGGAAGATCTACCAAGCAAATGGAAAACAAAAAAAGGCAGGGGTTGTAATCCTAGTCTCTGATAAAACAGACTTTAAACCAACAAAGATCAAAAGAGACAAAGAAGGCCATTACATAATGCTAAAGGGATCAATTCAACAAGAAGAGCTAACTATCCTAAATATATATGCACCCAATACAGGAGCACCCAGATTCATAAAGCAAGTCCTGAGTGACCTACAAAGAGACTTAGACTCCCACACAATAATAATGGGAGACTTTAACACCCCACTGTCAACATTAGTCAGATCTACAAGACAGAAAGTTGACAAGGATACCCAGGAATTGAACTCAGCTCTGCACCAAGCGGACCTAATAGACATCTACAGAACTCTCCACCCCAAATCAACAGAATATACATTTTTTTCAGCACCACACCACACCTATTCCAAAATTGACCACATAGTTGGAAGTAAAGCTCTCCTCAACAAATGTGACAGAACAGAAATTATAACAAAGTGTCTCTCAGACCACAGTGCAATCAAACTAGAACTCAGGATTAAGAAACTCACTCAAAACCGCTCAACTACATGGAAACTGAACAACCTGCTCCTGAATGACTACTGGGTACATAACGAAGGGAAGGCAGAAATAAAGATGTTCTTTGAAACCAACGAGAACAAAGACACAACATACCAGAATCTCTGGGACACATTCAAAGCAGTGTGTAGAGGGAAATTTATAGCATTAAATGCCCACAAGAGAAAGCAGGAAAGATCCAAAATTGACACCCTAACATCACAATTAAAAGAACTAGACAAGCAAGAGCAAATACATTCAAAAGCTAGCAGAAGGCAAGAAATAACTAAGATCAGAGCAGAACTGAAGGAAATAGAGACACAAAAAACCCTTCAAAAAATTAATGAATCCAGGAGCTGGTTTTTCGAAAGGATCAACAAAATTCATAGACCACTAGCAAGACTAATAAAGAAAAAAAGAGAGAAGAATCAAATAGACGCAATAAAAAATGATAAAGGGGATATCACCACCGATCCCTCAGAATTACAAACTACCATCAGAGAATACTACAAACACCTCTACGCAAATAAACTAGAAAATCTAGAAGAAATGGATAAATTCCTCGACACATACACTCTCCGAAGACTAAACCAGGAAGAAGTTGAATCTCTGAATAGACCAATAACAGGATCTGAAATTGTGGCAATAATCAATAGCTTACCAACCAAAAAGAGTCCAGGACCAGATGGATTCACAGCCGAATTCTACCAGAGGTACAAGGAGGAACTGGTACCATTCCTTCTGAAACTATTCCAATCAATAGAAAAAGAGGGAATCCTCCCTAACTCATTTTATGAGGCCAGCATCATCCTGATACCAAAGCCGGGCAGAGACACAACCAAAAAAGAGAATTTTAGACCAATATCCTTGATGAACATTGATGCAAAAATCCTCAATAAAATACTGGCAAACTGAATCCAGCAGCACATCAAAAAGCTTATCCACCATGATCAAGTGGGCTTCATCCCTGGGATGCAAGGCTGGTTCAATATATGCAAATCAATAAATGTAATCCAGCATATAAACAGAACCAAAGACAAAAACCACATGAGTATCTCAATAGATGCAGAAAAAGCCTTTGACAAAATTCAACAACCCTTCATGCTAAAAACTCTCAATAAATTAGGTATTGATGGGACGTATCTCAAAATAATAAGAGCTATCTATGACAAACCCACAGCCAATATCATACTGAATGGGCAAAAGCTGGAAGCATTCCCTTTGAAAACTGGCACAAGACAGGGAGGCCCTCTCTCACCACTCCTATTCAACATAGTGTTGGAAGTTCTGGCCAGGGCAATCAGGCAGGAGAAGGAAATAAAGGGTATTCAATTAGGAAAAGAGGAAGTCAAATTGTCCCTGTTTGCAGATGACATGATTGTATATCTAGAAAACCCCATCGTCTCAGCCCAAAATCTCCTCAAGCTGATAAGCAACTTCAGCAAAGTCTCAGGATACAAAATCAATGTACAAAAATCACAAGCATTCTTATACACCAATAACAGACAAACAGAGAGCCAAATCATGAGTGAACTCCCATTCACAATTGCTTCAAAGAGAATAAAATACTTAGGAATCCAACTTACAAGAGATGTGAAGGACCTCTTCAAGGACAACTACAAACCACTGCTCAAGGAAATAAAAGAGGATATAAACAAATGGAAGAACATTCCATGCTCATGGGTAGGAAGAATCAATATCGTGAAAATGGCCATACTGCCCAAGGTAATTTATAGATTCAATGTCATCCCCATCAAGCTACCAATGACTTTCTTCACAGAATTGGAAAAAACTACTTTAAAGTTCATATGGAACCAAAAAAGAGCCCGCATTGCCAAGTCAATCCTAAGCCAAAAGAATAAAGCTGGAGGCATCACACTACCTGACTTCAAACTATACTACAAGGCTACAGTAACCAAAACAGCATGGTACTGGTACCAAAACAGAGATATAGATCAATGGAACAGAACAGAGCCCTCAGAAATAACGCCGCATATCTACAACTATCTGATCTTTGACAAACCTGAGAAAAACAAGCAATGGGGAAAGGATTCCCTATTTAATAAATGGTGCTGGGAAAACTGGCTAGCCATATGTAGAAAGCTGAAACTGGATCCCTTCCTTACACCTTATAGAAAAATTAATTCAAGGTGGATTAAAGACTTAAATGTTAGACCTAAAACCATAAAAACCCTAGAAGAAAACCTAGGCATTACCATTCAGGACATAGGCATGGGCAAGAGCTTCATGTCTAAAACACCAAAAGCAATGGCAACAAAAGCCAAAATTGACAAATGGGATCTAATTAAACTAAAGAGCTTCTGCACAGCAAAAGAAACTACCATCAGAGTGAACAGGCAACCTACAGAATGGGAGAAAATTTTCGCAACCTACTCACCTGACAAAGGGCTAATATCCAGAATCTACAATGAACTCAAACAAATTTACAAGAAAAAAACAAACAACCCCATCAAAAAGTGGGTGAAGGATATGAACAGACACTTCTCAAAAGAAGACATTTATGCAGCCAAAAGACATATGAAAAATGCTCATCATCACTGGCCATCAGAGAAATGCAAATCAAAACCACAATGAGATACCATCTCACACCAGTTAGAATGGTGATCATTGAAGAGTCAGGAAACAACAGGTGCTGGAGAGGATGTGGAGAAATAGGAACACTTTTACACTGTTGGTGGGACTGTAAACTAGTTCAACCATTGTGGAAGTCAGTGTGGTGATTCCTCAGGGATCTAGAACAAGAAATACTATTTGACCCAGCCATCCCATTACTGAGTATATACCCAAAGGACTATAAATCATGCTGCTATAAAGACACATGCACACGTATGTTGATTGTGGCACTATTTACAATAGCAAAGACTTGGAACCAACCCAAATGTCCAACAATGATAGACTGGTTTAAGAAAATGTGAACCATATACACCATAGAATACTATGCAGCCATAAAAAATGATGAGTTCATGTCCTTTGTAGGGACATGGATGAAATTGGAAATCATCATTCTCAGTAAACTATCTCAAGGACAAAAAACCAAACACTGCATGTTCTCACTCATAGGTGGGAATTGAACAATGAGAACACATGGACACAGGAAGGGGAACATCACACTGTGGGGACTGTTGTGGGGTGGGAGGAGGGGGGAGGGATAGCATTAGGAGATATACCTGATGCTAAACGACGAGTTAATGGGTGCAGCACACCAGCATGGCTCATGTATACATATGTAACTAACCCGCACGTTGTGCACATGTACCCTAAAACTTGAAGTGTAATAATAATAAAAAAAAATGTGGGACATGTATACAATGGAGTACTATTCAGCCATAAAAAAGAATGAAGTCCTGTTATTTTTGACAACATGGATGGAACTGTAGGTCATTATGTCAGGTGAAGTAAACCAGGCAGAGAAAAGCAAATTTCTTACTTATTTGTGGGAGCTAGAAACGAAAACAATTGAACTTGTGGAGATAGAGGGTATAAAAATGGTTACCAGAGGCTGGGAAGGGTAGTGGGAAGTTCGGGGGGAAATGGTGATGGTTAATGGGTACAAAAAATAGTTAGAAAGAATGAATAAAACCTACTATTTGATAGTATAACTGGGTGACTATAGTCAATAACAATTTAATTGCATCCTTAAAAACAACTAAAAAAGTATAAATGGATTGTTTGAAACACAAAGGATAAATGCTTGAGGTGATGGATATGCCATCTACCATGATGTTATTATTGTACATTGTATGCCTGTATCAAAATATCTCATATATCCCATAAATAAATCAAGAGGATGCAGGGAATTATGGCAGACATACCTCTTAACGTGGATCCTTAAATGTGTGATCCCTTTGCTCTATATATGTTTTGCATTCAATATGTTTGTAATATGACAAATAAGTATGAACCAATTTTTTGCCTCCGTGTAGAAAGAGATCCAGAAAGCTTGTTGGTTGGGGTTCAAGGGGAGTATAAAAAAGAAAAGAAGTATAATTTAATTTTTGGAGTAAGAAAGGGCAAAAAGGGACCTTAACTAAAGTGAGAGAGAATTTAGCCCTATTTTGTGGTGGTAGGCCAAAGGAATCTAGGCTGAGAAAGACCTGGATATGGGCATTGGGAGTGCTCATCCAGATTGAGGAAAAAAATCAGTAAATGCCATCTTGCAAGCTAAAGGACTTCATGTATGGTATGTGTGGTTTCCTAATCTGAAAGAGCTTGTAACTTTTTTACTCCTCACCATTTATGTCAGAGGAAGTTTTAAATTACTAAAGAAAATTGGATAAGTGTGTTACTGTTTTGATAAGTTGTGACTGATGCAGGTGACCTACTACAAGGAGTAATATAGGAGATAAAGAAGGTCAAAGTCTCTGGATGGTTGCAGCCATGGTGGAAAAGTAGTATCCATTCTATTACCCTGATCCATCTTGATACAACTGTGGGTAATCCCATACAGATCTAGTTTGGGGTAGCTTTAGTTAATCCATTCTCCTATTAAAGTTTCTGTGTGATTAATTGGTCTGATGAAATGGTTTCCATCCTAATATTTTGTTATGGCTCCAAATCCTGTACCCAAGAAGGTTTTCCTAAAATAAACTATTTAAAAATTTTAAAAAATGAAATACATATAATGTTATGATGACATAAAGTCTCTCTTCCCCTGTTCTCACCTTCCTCAGGCAAGAAGAATAAATGTCTCTGGTGGAACTTTTGCTCTGGTGGAACTGCTTTTCTAGAACTGGTTAGTGACTTGACATTGGAAAAGTTTTATTACTATTAGTGGTTATTATCTCTTATGGCCTGGCTGAGTGAAAGGCTTTTTGTGATACTAACTTCTATGTATATTCTCCTACTACTAAAAAAAATCTTCCATTTCTAAGTCCTGGGAAAAATCATTTTTTCTTTCAAAAAATATTTATTGAGCCCTTGCTATGTGTCAGGCACTGTGGATTCAATAAGAAATAAGACAGAATTCTTAACGTTGAGAATGCATATGCTGGAGGGTGACTCTGATAAGAAAATAAGCAATGCAATTATAACACACTGTGTTAAGAGCTATGATGGGAGAAGTATAAACAGCTATTGGTGCCTGTAGAAGAAGCACATAACCCAAAGCTGAAGGGTAAGGAGAAGTGACATAAATATAGTAAAATGTATAGTCAGTTTGTTGTTCTAAGGCCTTTGGAGTGCTGGAGTTCAGTTGCAGCTACAACATTTACTAGTTCTGTTTCCTTATACAAGTTTCATAACCTTTTAAAGGTTCAATTTTCTTATATTTAAAATAGAGACAATAATACCACTCACTTCATTGGCTAGCTGTGAAAATAAATGAGTTAATACATAGAAATTGCTTAGCACAGTGCTTTTGTAAATAATAAAAAATGGAAGCTTATTATTACTATGCTGAGAGCTGAAGGGTTATTAAGATTTAAGAAGTGAATGGGAGTGATCAGTGTCAGGAGAAGCCTATTCCAGGCAAAGAGAAGAACATATTACATGCTTGGAGGCATAGCAGATTACGGGGAGTTTGAATAACTAAAAGAAATTCGATATGTTGTAATATTGAGTGTGAAGGGGCTGGGTAATAATAGATGAGGCAGGAGAGGTAGATAGGGGACATATAGAGATGTTTAGCTTTTATTCCAAGAATATGCAGAGTCATCAAATGATTTCTTGCAGGGTATTGACAAAATTAGACTTGCACTTTAGATCATGCTGGTTGTAATTGGCAAAAATGGATTGAGGAGGGGATTGGAAATTGGGCGACTAAGATGACCTTATTATAGAAATTTCTATTTTAAAAATGGCTAAGTAAATACGGTACTGTCCTCCTATTCTCTCAGAAATCAATCCAAGGTAAGAACAAAAAACAGAAATGTAAATTTCATCTTTTTAAAAAAACTAGATGAAACCTATAAACCTTAGCCACAATATATGAGGGGGCATTACCAAGAGCAGTTATGGGTGAAGAGGAGTATTGGCAGATACAGTTAGGTGCTGCTTGCATCTGTATAACTCAAGCAAAACTGGGGAAATACCCAACAATTCCTTATTTGGAATTATGGGAAGATGGTAGTGGAAGTCTCCTTAACCCACTCAAGTCAATACTAGTAAGAAGCAGGATTGGTAGGAATGAGGGAAAAATCACACTAATAGGCCATATCTGAGTTTTACATTTTATTTCATTAGTGGTACAGGGTGGACCAAAGAGACTCTGCATTGGATACAGCCCTATAGCAACTGATCTTTGATGACTTTGGAGAAGTAAAAAGAAAAAAGAAACTTTTACGCATAACCTTGTGTCATAAGAAACATAACTGTTAACTGGGAAGAATTTCTGCTAATCCAGAAATTCTTGGCTTAGCAGAAAGGAAGATCTTAGCTCCTTCCTCTTATAAACCTCCTGCCAGTAGTGATCATAAGAAAAACTCATCACATTCAAACATGAGCAGTAGTCAAAGAGGAATTAACACAGGATTTGTATAAGTATAAAAAAAAAAAGAAGGAAAGGAACAGTAGACACCAAAACAAGCAGAGAAAGAAAAACTCATCAGAAAAAAAGTTGTCATAGATCACATAAAAATTTTGGGCCGGGCGCGGCGGCTCACGCCTGTAATCCCAGCATTTTGGGAGGCCGAGGTGGGCGGATCAAGAGGTCAGGAGATCGAGACCATCCTGGCTAACACGGTGAAACCCTGTCTCTACTAAAAATACAAAAAATTAGCCAGTCATGGTGGCGGACACCTGTAGTCCCAGCTACTTGGGAGACTGAGGCAGGAGAATGGCATGAACCCGGGAGGCGGAGCTTGCAGTGAGCTGAGATTGCGCCATTGCATTCCAGCCTGGGCGACAGAGCGAGACTCCAACTCAAAAAAAAAAAAAAAAAATTGGCCAAGTATGAATTAAAATATAAAACAAAACAACAAACCTTAATTATGCACTCCTTCTGTAAATATGAACTCAAAACGAAGAACTCCAACGGCTCAGAGAAGACATACTAAGACCACAGAGGGACTTGACAAATGAGCTCAGGGAAGAAATGGAGAATTAAAAAACTATTATAGGAATGAAGGTCTTATTGGAAGAAGCCGAAAGAAAACTAGATATAACTTAAAACACTTTGGAGATGTGGGAGATGGAATGAAGAAAAGCAAGAAAAATGAAACAGAATCCACAAAAAATTTAGAAGTATTAGGGACAAAAATAATTGATAGGAAAGATGAGGAGGTCCAATATATAACAATGAGTATAGATTCAATGGACTAGATGCAATATTTGAATATATAATTCAAAAATATTTTCTAGAAACAAAAAATGTCTTGGATATAAGTATGGAAATGGTATTCTGTAGCCTAGGAAAACTTGACATGGAATTGTTAACATTTATGTTATGTTCAAACAAAATTACTGTTCCTCAAAGATTAAGACTCTTTTATGCAACTAGGCAAAACAGTCTAATTTCATGTAAGAAAAAAAATTCAGACTGGCTCAGACCTCCACAGCAGCAATCAATGCTAGGAAACAATGGAATAATGCTTAAAATTCCTTAAGGAGAGAAAGTGTGGACTCCAGAAATGCATTTCCAGATGTTATCCTTTTAGTGAAAAGATAGCAGACATCTCTGAATATGCAAAAACCCAGAGAATATAATTCCATGAATTTTTATAGCAGATGGAAAACCTCAACAACCACAGATAAATGGAGAAATTATGGCAAAAGGAGTGGCAGTGATGTACCAGTATGATTAAATGTGGAATTAAGGTGAAAATAAACATGGAGGTTACAGTTAGAAAGGAATCTGTTTTATAAACTCTGACAAAGTGGAAATAATAGAACAAACAAAAGATGGAAGGGGAAGAAAAAATGGGAGGTAGTGTAAGCACTTTTTATAATTAGAAGCTAAAATTATTTAAAATATAGATGAAGTAATTGAAAGTACATGTATTTAAAACTTTAAAGACAAGTACTAAGATAAATCTTATAATTCACTAACATTAGATGCTGGAGTAAGAAGAAAGTGAAAATGAAATGGAAATAGACTAATTTATTTAATCATTGTTGATACTGTGGAGTCAATAGATACCGTCCAGTGAAACAGAGAATTAAATGTGTTATACATTTAGGGTTAGCCCACAGATATATTTGCAAATGTGAGAAATTAGGTATATGAAAAGATGTTTATGGCAACATGATTTGTAAAAGCCAAGAACTGTGAATCAAGGAAGTTCCCATTAATTGGAACCAGTGAAATAAATTATGGTATATCCATTCAGTATAGCTCAGGGGAAGGAAGGATACATTTTATTGTATACCTTTTGGTAATTTAACATTTTTTGTGCCATGTCTGTATATGCTTTACTTTTTTTGTTTTTTGAGATGGTGTTTTGCTCCTGTTGCCCAGGCTGGAGTGCGGGATGGGATGATCTCGGCTCATTGCAACTTCTACCTCCCAGATTCAAGTGATTCTCCTGCCTCAGCCTCCCTAGTATCTGGGACTACAGACATGCGCCACCACGCTTGGCTAATTTTGTATTTTTAGTAGAGACAGGGTTTCTCCATGTTGGTCAGGCTGGCCTTGAACTCCCGACCTCAGGTAATCTGCCCACCTTGGCCTCCCAAAGTGCTGGGATTACAGGTGTGAGCCACCGCACCCGGCCTGCTTTACTTTTTAAAATAACATTTTTTAGTTTTAAAAGTAAATTTGTAAAAAGAGGCTATTTAAATCATTTGTATTAGAAATGATGATAGCCCGTGTTAGACAAATGGCAGTGGCACGGAGAGAAGTGGATGGATTGGAAGTATTATCAGTCAGATTTGGTGTTAGAATGATGAGTAGTGAGGAAGAGAAAGGAGTTGAAGACAACATCTATGTTTCTTCTAGTTTGGGTAACTGGATAGATGGAGGTGGCATTCCACAAGATGGGATATACTGATTCCCCATGGATCTGTCCTCAGGATTCATCCCTCATCTCCCTCTGTAGAATTCTGTTATGTCATCCCATTCCATGACTTTCGATTTACATATTTGTGAACAGTTTCCATATCTTTCATAAACTCTAGACTACCTGGTTATCAGATGCCCCCTGGATGTAACTTATATCACTTATCCTTGACTAATCACAAGACCCAAGATCATACACTTTAGATCTAAAATGAACCTTAGAAACGTCTCATGGTCCAGCCCTTTTATTTTACCAATGAAAAGCCTAAGACACAGATTATGTGACTTTTGGATTTTTCTTGTAAATTTAAATAAGTTGAAGTATGAAGTTACATATTTTTGATCTCCCTACTCCTTATTTAAATGATAATAAACTAAAACATTTCTAAGCAGTGAATAGTAGATCAATTTTGTCCTTTAACCACATGTGGCAAGTAGGCAACGTATGGGAATTAATGACAAATTGTCATCATCTCTGTGATCTCTGCCACACTGGCTTCAAAATATTTCTACCTGCCTAGACTCAAAGCCTCAGGGACTTCTTTATTCTCTTATTCTAAGGATCTTCTCTTATCCAACACTCCACATCAACCCACTGTTGAGTGATTTTTGTTCTTTTTCTGAAACATCTTATATCTGTGTCTTTTTCTCTATTGCCATTGTTACAGCTGTGGTTTACATTTTCATCTCTGGATGATATCAGTGGCCTTCAAACTGACCTCCTTGACTTTAGGCTTTCTCTTTTTCAGTTTGTCTTTGAAACTGCAGTAGTTTCTCCTTATCCATGCTTTTGCTTTCTGCAGTTTCAGTTACCCACAATTGCAGTCTAAAAATATTAAATGGAAAATTCCAGAAATAAACAATTTATATTTTAAGTTGCATGAAGCTCTGAGTAGCATAATGAAATCTCATGTCATCCCGTTCTGTCTTACCCAGGATGTGAATCATTCCTTTGCCCAGCGTATCCTCACTGTACACTCTGCCTGCCCATTAGTTTCTTAGTAATTGTCTCAGTTATCAGATTGAGAAAGTACAGTGTACATTGGGTTCAATACTACCCAGAGTTTCAGGCATCTACTGCTGCTCTTGGAATGTATCCCCAGTGGATAAGAAGGGACTAATATACAGCAAAATGTTTTTCTAAAACCATGGATCTTACTGCAACCTCTTGTAAAATGTTCAATAACTTTTCAAAACAGATAGATCAAAGTCCAGATTTCTTGATGGCATTCAAGGCCCTCCATGATTTCTAACCAGCCCTTGTGTCTGATTTGATTTCTGAATACACTTGCCACTGCAGCTATACCTGACTAGTCATCTTTTCCAAAATTCAAGCTGTAATTTTCTACTCATGTGTAGTAGTTTACCTTTTTCCATCTATGTGAAGTAACTTTTCTCTTATTTTTTTGTTGATGATTTAAGTATCCTTAAAGAGCTCATTCATCTACCATTTACTTTGGGAAGCATTCCTAGAGCAAACTTTCTTTCCCTGTACTCCCATGTCTCTGAATTTGTACCACCAATAGAATTATGTTCTCACAGTTTGCTTTCCATTCTACTTAGTGGTATTGTGTCCATGTACCTTCCCTCATGCAGAGATAATGTATTTTTCATTTTGATATACTACACTAACCTTCCCTTTCCCAGTTTTTGCCCATTCTCAGTGCTCAGAAAATTTTCTGGATTGAATTGAGAACTCTTTGTGACTCCTCTGCAGAACTTCAGTAATCTGAAATTGGATTAAAAACTGAGGTTAGACACCAGAGGGATTATCCGCAAACATTGAAGTAATAGTGGAACAAAAGTACCCTTGAAATTTGTTATACTTCTAAATGTCATTCTGCACCTGTGACCTTTTTTTCCCCAATTTTCATATCTTATTTATTTTGCAATTTGTTATAATTGGGGCATATTTTAAAAAGTGAAACATTATACTTAATATGACTGATTTCCCAAAGGGAGTAGGTTAGGAATGCAAAGAATTTGTTACCTGAGATAATAATGCAAGTTTTGAAACTTTTTTTCTGAAAACATGTGAGACAGAGTAGAAAAGTTATTTTGATTTTTAAAAAATATATGCCAGCCAATTGAGGACATCACCTTTGTGTGCTTTACGTTTTCTCCCACTAGAGAGCAGCAAAGATTCATAATTGACTCAGGCAACAGCTAAAAATGCTTTGGGATTACTTTTGAAATATAGTTTCCAATGCTAAATTGCACAAAATGCCTTTTCCATTAATTTAAAAAACATATTTTATTGACTTTCTGGCCAAGTGGAAACTAATCCGTAGTAAAGGCTTTTAAGTTTAGTAAAGCAAATTGTGCTATATGGCAGAACAATTTTCTTACCTTGGTTTTTGGCTTCATTTCTTATTTCATTTATTCATACAGCAAATGTGTTAATCTCTATTGTGCTAGGCACTATGCTGTTCTTGAGGGTACAAAACTGAATAAGATATAGTCCCTGCTTCAGAGAACCCTGTTTCATGAAAAAAATTGTTTTAGTATTTCTATGCTAAATACAATGGAGTATGCAAATATGTTATAAGACATAGTAACACATAGCATGCGTTGAATGCTTACAATATGTTAGGCACTGCTCTAAGTGTTTTGCTTCCACTATATCACTTATTATTCACACTCTAAGAAGAAAGAATTAGTATTCCCATTTTACAGGCAGGAAACAGAGGCACAAAAAAGGTTAAGTAATCTGCCACACATCACATGACATATAAATGATGGAGTCAGCATTTTAACTAAGGCAGTTTTAATACACCTGCATACTTCATCACTGTACTATACTGTTTCCCACATAAGCTTTGTTCTCCAAAAGAAAACCAAATTGGCTCGGTGCGGTGGCTCACACCTTTAATCCCAGCACTTTGGGAGGCTGAGGTGTGAGGATTGCCTGAGCTCAGGAGTTGGAGGCCTGGGCAACATGGCAAGACCCTGTCTCTAAAAAAAAAAAAAAAAAAAAAAAAAAAAATTAGCTGAATGTGGTGGCATGTGCCTGTAGTCCTAGCTACTTGGGAGGCTGAGGTGGGAGGATCGCTTGAACCTGGGAGATTGAAGCTGCAGTAAGCTGTGTTTGCACCACTGCACTCCAGCCTGGGTGACAGAGCAAGACCTTGTCTCAAAAAAAACCAATCTCATATGGAGAAATGAGACATCTTGGAAAAATAAACAGCATCATCGAAGTAAGTGCTTTCTCTTGAGGTTTGTAATGGAGTCTCAATAAAGGTACTCTCCTTTTCCACCTGGATTCTTGAACAGTTTGAGGAATAAAACAAAAGAGTTGGGTGATGGGGTCAAAATATCACCCTCTGATAGAGGCCAAACTGGAGGATTTGTTAGCCAAATGACACCAAGTCCCCAAGTTAGCAGGCTCTCTCTCTCTACCTCGCCACCTCAGGAAGGCCAGGTTTGGGGTGAACCTCACCCCCAACCTGTGCTTGCTGGGGTAGATTCCCTGGAGGAGTAGTGAAATGTGTGCTCTCCATAAGCAGTTTGCTCCCCAGAGGAAAAATGGGAGGTTCTGAGCCAAGCATGCCAAATTTACTCTTCCTAAGTTTACCAATAAGATAAACCATTTCATCTCCTGTGAGCAGAGAGATGCCATAATTATAGTTACCGAGCTCCTCCAGGGAAGGAAACATCAGAAGTAGTGGAGATGATGCATTCCTCCCTAATATTTCCTAACTTCTGACAGTGATTTCCTTTTTTTTGAGAAACGTATTATGGCAGACAAAATAGGGGCTCCCAAAGATGTCTGCATTCTAGTCGTGGAGCTTGTAAATGTCGTTACATGGCCAAAGGAAATTAAGGTTGTAGATGAAATTAAGTTCACTAACCATCTGACTTTAAAATAGGAGATTATCCTGGATTATCTAGGTGGATCCAGTGTAATAAATCTTAAAAGTAGAAGAGAGATGTGGAAGAATAATCAAGATGGCAGCATGAGAAAAACTTGGTACCAAAAGTATGAGAAAGAGCCGTTATAACAAAATTTTTTCTTACAAACATGGGAACTTCTAGTCCAGAAGAAGGGATGGTATGCATTACAAGAAGTAGAGCTCAGTGTCTTAAAAGCTAGAAACTCTTGGCCACCCTTTTTGCCTAAGGCTCTAAAAGATGAAATTGGGCCTGCAAGAGAGAGAAAGTTACTATTTGTATAAGCCAATAAAGGTCTGTGTTATTGTTTGTTTCCCCTTTGATACGCCTTGGCATTTAGTAAAGTCATGTTTGAATTTCTAGTCTTTTCCCACTGTGCCACTGGACATAAAGAAAAGGTGCACTTTCACAGCATCGGGTAGAGAGTTAAATACAAAGTAGCACAACTTCACAACCTAGAGGCAAATATGATGAAGGCATTAGTAATCTGCAAGAAGATTCAGAGGAGTGGAAAGAGTCTCAGACAGGATGAAGTAGTGTAGTTCAGTTGCTTTTCTCCATTTGAAGATTCCTCGGCATTTCTGGACTGTATTATTATTAATATAGATTGCATTTCATTTTAAGAATTTATAACCATATATATGTATATGGCTGTATATGTGTGTATATATACACATGTATATATGTGTGTGCATTATATATATGTATGTATATGTGTGTGTGTATATATATATTCTACTTGAAGTCAGAGCCATGTTTCCCACTTCCACATGTATGTCCAAAAGCCTGGGCCATAAGGGGTAGACCAGTTAATAAAGACTTGAGGGTGAGTATGCCCACCAGTAGGTACCCTCCCATCAAGAAGAGTGCTTGAAAGCCAAGTCACTGTAACCATGATAGAGTTTACTCAATACATCCATTGTTTTCTTAGAGTTTCTACTAAGTACTAAACACTGTGCTAGGTAGTTGCTGGAGTTAAATATAAATAAATAAATAAATAAATAAAACAGTTTTCATCCTTAAGGAATTCTAAGTATACTTGAAAAGAAGGACATGCAAGTGGATAGTTAGAACATGATATAAGCTAAGTAAAAAATAAAGAAGTTTATAAGATGCAATCTTCCATGGGCCCTGAGTATCCCCATATACTCCTTCTGGGTATACCAAGAATGAAAGCTTCTGATTTATCTCTACCTAAGCCATTCTCAGGGTTGGGTTTGCAGTATGCAACCTTGAGGGTTTAGGTAACTTCTTCCCCCAAAGAATAGGCTTGCTAACTGTGAAAGTGCTGAATCTCCAAGTTTAGTGTTTCTCTCCTGTAAAGCAACCTACTGCATGTGTAGGCCATGGTCTCTAACTCAATGTTGTTTTTTTCTGTGAGACTTGGAGGATGTGAGGAACTGGCATGAACATGAAGCTTTGGCTACTACTTTTGCTGTAAGTAATGAAGTCCTTGGTCCCTATCTAGGAATCTCATGTCTTCTGCCAGGATCCATGAACAGTAATAGGTTAATTTGTTAGCTTGTAAGTAGAGTAAAATCCTAGACCCTTCATAATCCCTGACTGTACTCTGCCTTGGGAAAGTAAACTGATATTTTAGCTAAGACTTGAAGAGTGAATGTGGATTTTTAGGCTGACAATAAGGTCACCTGTACCATGTCAAGTAACAGAGTCAGGCAAGGCCACCCTGTGAATATTTTAGCTCTCTTGTTAATTCTGACCCTTGTATGTCTGCTTGGTTCATTGTTCAATTCTTGGAAATATTGTGTATATTCTCTTTGTGCAAGATTTTTTATAGTCTATGGTTATTAGTGTGGAGAGGGTATTAACAAAAACAAAGATTATACATTCTCAGATACGAGCATGAACCATCCCAAGTGTGTATGTATTAGATTCAGCTTCTTATTGTCATTTTTCAAATACCAACTTTGTTTGAGTTTTTACTTTGATACTTTTCTTTAGCTCATTTTTCAATGTGAAATTACTTTTCCTGAACTTTTGGAATAGGGTGGGTTTCAGGAAAGTTTTTCATAATATTACAGAACTCCTTCCTTTATGTGGTGTTAAAAATATAGAGACTTGTCCAGGCTCGGTGGCTCACGTCTGTAATCCCAGCACTTTGGGAGGCCGAGGCGGCTGGATCATCTGAGGTCAGGTGTTCGAGACCAGCCTGGCCAATGTGGTGAAAGCTCATCTCTACTAAAAATACAAAAATTAGCTGGGTGTGGTGGCAGGAGCCTGTAATCCCAGCTACTCGGCAGGCTGAGGCAGGAGAATGGCTTGAACCTGGGAGGCGGAGGTTGCAGTGAACCGAGATTGTGCCATTGTACTCCAGCCTGGGCGACAAGAGTGAAACTCAGTCTAAAAAAAAAAAAAAAAAATAGAGTTGCTCTCTGGGATTTTCTGGCTTTGTTCACCTACCCTACTTTGGTGTAGATATTCTTGTTCCTTTTTTCCTATTCTTTTCAATTTTGGTTGCACTCACAGCAGTTTCTCTCTTTGTTCCACCCTTCTGTAGCACTCCTAGCTCTTTTTTCAGGATTTCCTTCCTGGAAGACATGAACTGATAAAAGGATTCTGTTGTTACATCTGTCAGAAGGTGCCTAATTGCTTGTTATCTTTCCTACCAAAGAAATGCTAATACCATACAGGTTTTCTGGCTGTTAGTGGTTCACCACTACCCATGTGTATGTTGTGGTTTATAGGAGTACCTTGTTGTTCAATTAGTAAATGAATATTACTCATTTTTTGGTACAACAACCAAAAAATGAGTAATATTTATTTACTAATTGAACAACAACTTTTTTTTTTTTTTTTTTTTTTTTTTTTACTTCGCTATGTAGTCCTTCTTTCCATTTTATGTGGGGACTTGAAAAAATGGAAAAGGTATATTTCCACTCCTTCATCTTCCTGGGACCCATATTAAAATTTTTATCAACTGTAACTATTAATATCATTAGCTCGGCCAATATATTCCTGCTACATGTTATACCTCATGAGGTGATTTACCGAGATTCTGCACCTTTACGAAAATGTCTCTTAAAATCTCTTAAGATCATATTTTCTGATTGTATCTAGGCTATCTTCTGATCTTAATTGGATTTCTCCCTTAGAAGTGCTCATGTTGATTAGCTGAGATGTGTAAATACTCTTGGATATTCTATTTCTCATGATAAATTATCCATATATTCACTTCAAGTTAAGCCTTCTTTTGGGTCTACTATCTGTGCCACAGTATGAGTTGGGTACAAGAGTCAGAGAGTTGAATAAACCATAGACCCTACACTGAGAAAGCTCAAAGGCAAATGGTTTACTGGCATTAGGGACCTGTCTTTACCTCTGATGATGTCAGATCCCTGAAACAACCTCTGATGAAGAAAAGGAACTGAGCTTTTTGACTGTCAAAGCTTTATGAAAATATCTAGTGAACTTTCTGGAAGGTAGAGGGAAGTAAACTGCTGCTGAGCCCCAAATTAATGTGGAGGACAATACTTTGCTTTCGGTATTGACGTTGAAGATACCTCGTGGTTATTAAAGATTTGTCGTCCTAAAATGTGGCTGGGTACAGGCATTTACTGACATAAATTTTTCCTAAGAAGTGTTTTCAACCAGAGTAAGTTTAACGGTCAGGTTTAAAAAAAAAAAAACGGGTCTCAGAAGCCCATGTGTGTAAATGGCCAGCAGCTTCTTCGGGGAGTTCTCCATGGTAGTGTGTTTGGGTCAGAGCTCATTCCATTGATATGAAGCTGATGCAGTGTAATCCCTGGGAAGTGTCCAAAAAAGTACAGTGCTAATGATTGAAGGTAAAATACAGAAGTGTTGAAGGCGGACGTAGCTCAGCAATCTTTAGTGTCTTCTGTGAGTTAACACAGGGTGTGCATTGTTCGATAGGGCATTTTCTGTTATTCACACTTTAAATATACCTTTGTGTTTATTTTTTTGTGTGTGTTGATATCTTAATATACAATCATGTGTTACTTAATGACAGGGGTACTCCCTGAAAAATGCATTGTTAGATAATTTTGTCATTGTGCAAACATCATACAGTGTACTGACACAAACCTCGATGGGATAGTCTACCATACACCTAGGCCATATGCTCACACAAACCTAGATGGTATAGCCCTACTAAACACCTAGCCTATTGCTCCTATGCTACAAACTTGTATAGCATGTTACTGTACTGAGTACTGTAGGCAATTGTATCAGAATGGTAAGTATTAGTGTATCCAAACATAGAAAAAGTACAACAAAAATATGGTATAAAGATGAAAAAAATGGTATATCTGTATAGGGCACTTAACATGAATGGAGCTTGCAGGACTAGAAGTTGCTCTGGGTAAGTTAGTGAATCAGTAGTGAGCGAAAGTGAAGGCCTAGGACATTACTATACACTACTGTAGACTTTAGAAACACTGTACACGGCTGGGCACAGTAGCTCATTCCTGTAATCCCCGCACTTTGGGAGGCTGAGAGGAGTGGATCACCTGAGGTCAGGAGTTCAAGACCAGCATGACCAACATGGCGAAACCACGTCTCTACTAAAAGTACAAACATTAGCCAGGCATGGTGCCACATGCCTGGAATCCCAGCTACTTGGGAGACAGGAGAATCTCTTGAACCTGGGAGGCTGAGGTTGCAGTGAGCCAAAATTGCGCCACTGCACTCAGCCTGGTCAACAGAGCGAGACTCCATCTAAAAAACAAAAAAAAGAAAGAAAGAAACACTGTATACCACTTAGGCTACACTAAATTTATTAAAAATTTTTTCTTTATTTTAACTTTGTTTAATCTTAGCTTACTATAATATTTTTACTTCAGAAACTTTTTAATTTTAACTTTTTTATTCCTTCATATCACTTAGCTTCAAGCGCGAACACAGGGCGTGGTGGCACAGACCTGTAATCCCACATACTTAGGAGTCTGAGGCATGAAAATTGCTTGAACCCAGGAGGCGGAGGTTTCAGTGAGCCGAGATTGCACCACTGCACTGCAATCTGAGTGACAGGGTGAGACTGTGCCTCAAAAACAAAAGAAAAAACCACCAACCCCCCCCCCCCAAAAAAACCAAAAACCAAAAAACAAAACACACATTGTATAGTTATACAAAAACATTTTCTTTGTTTATATTATTACTCTGTAAGTTTTTTTCTATTTTTAAATTTTTTATTTTTATTTTCCTATTTAAAAAAAAATTCAATATTTATTTTACATACAGGGGGCACATTTGCAGGTTTGTTACATGGGAATGGTGTGTGATGCTGAGGTTTGGAATATGGATCCTATCACCCAGGTAATGAGCACAGTATCTGATAGGAGGTTTTGCAACCCATGCTCCCACTCACTTCTTCCCTAGTAGTCTTCAGTGTCTCTTCCCATATTTATGTCCATGTGTGCTCAGTGTTTAGCTCCCAGTTATAAGTGAGAACATGCAGTATTTAGTTTTTCTGTTCCTCCATTAATTTGCTTAGGATATGGCCTCCAGCTCCATCTATGTTGCTGCAAAGGATATTATTTCATTCTTTTTTATGGCTGTGTGGTATTCCATGGTGTATATGTATCACATTTGTTTAATCCAATCTACCATAGATGGGCACCTGGGTTGATTCTATGTCTTTGCAATTTCGAATAGCACAGCAATAAACAATACAAATGAATATGTCTTTTTGGCAGAAGTATCTGTTTTCTTTTGGGTATATACACAGTAATAGGATTGCTGGGTCAAATGGTAGTCCTCTTTTAAGTTCTTTGAGAAGTCTCCAGACTGCTTTCCACAGAAGCTGAACTAATTTACATTCCTATCAACAAAGTAGAAGTGTTCCCTTCTCTCTTCAGCCTAGCCAGAATCTGGTGTTTTTTGACTTTTTAATAATAGTCATCTGACTGGTGTGAGATGGCATCTCATTGTGGTTTTGATTGTCATTTCTCTGATGACTAGTGATGCTGAGCATTTTTTCATGTTTTTTGGCCACTTGTTTGTCTTCTTTTGAGAAGTGTCTATTCATGTCCTTTGCACGTTTTTAAATAGGGTTATTTGTTTTTTCCTTAAGTTCCTTGTAGATTCTGGATATTAGACCTTTGTCAGATGCAGAGTTTGCAAATATTTTCTCCCATTCTGTAGGCCATCTGTTTACTTTGTTGGTGCAGAAGCTCATTAATTAGGTCCCGCTTGTCAATTTTTGTTTTTGTTTTTATAGTTGCTTTTGGGAACTTAGCCAAAAATTCCTTGCCAAGGCTGATGTCAAGAATCTATTTTCTAGGTTGTCTTCCAGGATTTCTATAGTTTGAGGACTTACATTTAAATCTTTGATCCATTTTGAATTAATTTTTGTATATGGTGAAAGGTAGCCATCAAGCTTTAATCTTCTGCATATGGCTAGCTAGTTATTCTATCACAATTTATTGAATAGAGTATCCTTTTCCCATTGCTTGTTTTTGTCGACCTTGTCAAAGATTAGATGGTTGGAGGTGTGTGGCTTTATTTCTGAGTTTTTAAATTCTGTTCCATTAGTCTATGTGTCTGTTTTTGTACCAATACCAAGTTGTTTTGGTTACTGTGGCTTTATAGGGCAGTTTGAAGTCAGGTAGTGTGATGCCTTAACTTTGTTCTTTTTGCTTAGGACTGCTTTGGCTATATGGGCTTTTTGTTATTGTTCCATATGAATTTTAGAATAGTTTTTCTAATTCTGTGAAGGATGATGTTGGTAGTTTGATAGGAATAGCTTCAAATCTGTAAATTGCTTTGGCAATATGGCCATGTTTACAATGTTGATTTTTCCAATGCATGAGCATGGGATGTTTTTCCATTTATTTGTATCATCTCTGATTTCTTTCAGCAGTGATTTGTAGTTTTCCTTTCACTTCCTTGGTTAGCTATATTCCTAGGTATTTCATTTTCTTTGTGGCTATTATAAATGGGATTGTGTTTTTTATTTCACTCTCACCCTGGAGACTGTCAGTATATAGAAATGCTACTGATTTTTGTATATTGACTTTGTATCTTTTTTGTTTTTTGGTTTGTTTGTTTTTAAGACTGATTGTGGCTCTGTTGCCCAGGCTGGAGTGCAGTGGCATGATACCAGCTCACTGTAACCTCTGCCTCCCAGGTTCAAGTGATTCTCCTGCCTCAGCCTCCTGAGTAGCTGGGACTACAGGCAAGTGCCACCCAGTCTGGCTAATTTTTGTATTTTTAGTAGAGATGGGGTTTTGCCATGTTGGCCGGGCTGGTCTCGAACTCTCAATCTCAGCTGATCTGCCTGCCTTGGCCTCCCAAAGTGCTGAGATTACAGGTGTGAGCCATTGTGCCCAGCCTGATTTTGTGTCTTGAAGCTTTACTGACTTAGCTTATCAGCCTGGAAGCCTTTTGGTAGTCTTCAGTGTTTTCCAGGTATAGAATTATATCATTAGCAAAGAGAGATAGTTTGACTTTGTCTCCTCTTTTGATGCCTTTTATTTCTTTCTCCTGTTTGATTGCTCTGGCTAGGACTTCCAGTACTATATTGTATAGGAGTGGTGAGAGTGGGCATCCTCGTCTTGTTCCAATTCTAAAGGAGAATGCTTCTAGCTTTTGCCCATTCAGTATAATGTTGGCTGTGGGTTTGTCATAGATAGGTCTTGTTTTTTTGAGGTATGTTTCTTTGGTGCCTCATCTGTTGAGGGTTTTTTATCATGAAGGAATATTGTATTTTATTGGAAAGCTTTTCTGTGTCTATTGTGATAATCATATGGTTTTTGTTTTTGATCCTGTTTATGTGGTGAAACATTTTTTGGTTTGTGTATGTTGAACCAGCCTTCTATCCCAGGAATAAAGCCTACTTGATTGTCGTGTATTAACTTTTTGATGTGCTGTAGGATTTAGTATGCTAATATTTTGTTGAGGATTTTTGCATCTATGTTAATGAGGGATATTGGTATGAAGTTTTCTCTTTTTATTATGCCTCTGCCAGATTTTTGTATCAAGCTGATGCTGGCTTCATAGAGTTAGTCAGGAGAGCTCCTACTCCTCGATTTTTTTGAATAGTTTCAGCAGAATTCGTATCAGTTATTCTTTGTATGTCAGTAGAATCCATCCGGTCTAGGACTTTTTATGGTTGGTAGGTTCCTTATTATTGATGCAATTTTAGAAGTTGTTATTGGTCTATTCATGGTTTCAGTCTCTTCCTGATTCAATCTTGGGAGTTTATGTGCTTCCAGGAATTTATCCATTTCCTCTAAATTTTCTAATTTGTGTGCCTAGAGTTGTTCATAGGAGTCTCTGAGGATCTTTTGTATTTCTGTGGGATCAGTTGTAATACTGTCTTTGCTGTTTCTGATTGTGTTTATTTGGATTTTCTCTTTTTCTTTGTTAATCTAGCTAGCAGTCTATCAATCATATTTATTTTTTGAAGAACCAACTTTTTGTTCCATTGATCTTTTGTATGGATTTTTGCATGTCAGTTTCATTAAGTTCTCAAATTTTAGTTTTTTCTTCTTTTCTTCTACTAGCTTTGGAGTTGGTTTGTCCTGTTTCATTTTTCTCTCTTTTTGTTTTTTTGTAGTGCCTTTAGGCACAAAGTTAGATTGTTAATATGAGATCTTTCTAACTTCTTGATGAAGGTGTTTAGGGCTATAAAACTTTCCTCTTAACATTACTTTAGCTGCATCCCAGAGATTTTGATAAGCTGTGTGTCTATTATCATTAATTTCAAGGAATTTAAAAATGTCTGCCTTAATTTCAATGTTCACTCAGGAGTTATTTAGAAGTAAGTTGTTTAATTTCCATGTATTTGTGTAGTTTTGAGAGATCTTCTTGATATTGATTTCTGTTTTTTTTTTTCACCGTGGTCCACAGAGTGTTCCTGGTATGATTTTAATTTTTTTGAATTTTTTGAGACTTGCTTTATGACTGAGCATGTGTCAATCTTAGAATATGTTCCATGTGCAGATGAGAAAAATGTATATTCTGTGGTTGTTGGGTGGAGTATTCTGTAAATGTCTATTAGGTCCAGTTGATCAAGTGTCAAGTTTAAGTCCAGAGTTTGTTAATTTTCTGTCTCAGTGATTCATCTAACATTGTCAGTGGGGTGTGGCAGTCTCCCACGATTATTGTATAGTTGCCTAAGTCTTTTGTATGCCAAGAAGAACTTGTTTTATGAATCTTGGTGCTCCAATGTTGGGTGGGTATATATTTAGCATAGTTAAGGCATCTTGTCAGATTGTACCCTTTATCATTATGTAATGCCCTTCATTGTCCTTCTTAATTTTTTTCCTTATTTATTATTAAAAAAAATTTTAATTTTTATTTCAATAGGTTTTTGGGGAACAGGTGGCATTTGGTTACATAAATAAGTTGTGTAGTGGTGATTTCTGAGATTTTGGTACACCCATCACCCAAGCAGTGTACACTGTACCCAATGTGTAGTCTTTTATCCCCTGCCATCCCCCACCCTTTCCCCCAAGTCCCCAAAGTCCAGGGTATCATTCTTACACATTTGCGTCCTCATAGCTTAGCTCCCACAGATGAGTGAGAACATATGATGTTTGGTTTTCCATTCCTGAGTTACTTCACTTAAAATAATCGTCTCCAATTCCATCCAGGTTGCTGTGTATGTCATTATTTCATTCCTTTTTATGGGTTAGTAGTATTCTATGGTGTGTGTGTGTGTGTGTGTATGTGTGTGTGTGTGTGTGTGTGTGTGTGTATAACATTTTCTTTATTCACTTGTTGATTAATTGGTGGGCATTTGGGCTAGTTCCGTATTTTTGCAATTGCAGATTGTGCTGCTGTAAACGTGCATGTGCAAGTATCTTTTTCATATAATGACTTCTTTTCCTCTGGGTAGATACCTACTAGTGGGATTGCTGGATCAAATGGTAGATCTACTTTTAGTTCTGTAAGGAATCTCCACACTATTTTCCACATTGTCCTTCTTAATTTTTATTGCTTTAAAGTCTGTTTTATCTGATATAAGAATAGCAACTCCTGCTCTTTTTTACTTTCCGTTTCCATGTTAGATCTTACTCCACCCTTTTACTTTGAGCCTGTGGGTGTCATTACATGTGAGATAGGTCTCTTGAAGACAACAGATAGTTGAGTCTTGTCTTTTTATTCAGTCTGCCACTTTTGTCCTTTAAGTGGGGCTTTTGGCCCATTTATGTTCAAGGTTAGTATTGCTATGTGTGGTTTTGATCCTGTCATCATATTGTTAGCTGGTTGTTATGTAGACTTGATTAAGTAGTTGCTTTATAGTACCTGTGGGCTATGTGCTTAAGTGTGCTTTTGTGGTAGCAGGTGTTGGATTCCATGTTTAGCACTCCCTTAAGGACTTCTTGTAAGGCTTATTGAAACATATTCCCTCAACCTTTGCTTGTCCTGGCAGAATTTTATTTCTCCTTCACTCATGAAGTTTAGTTTGGTGGGATATGAAATTCTTGGATGGAATTTGTTTTCTTTAAGAGTGCTGAAAATAGGCCCCCATCTCTTCTGGCTTATAAGTTCCTGCTGAGAGGTCTGCTGCTAATCTGATGGGGTTCCCCTTGTAGGTGTCCTGACCTTTCTCTTTAGCTACCTTTAAGATTTTTTTTTTTCCTCCCCCTCCAACTTGGACTTTTTCTTTTGTGTTGACCTTGCTGAATCTGATGACACTGTTCCTTGGGGATGGTGACTTGTGTAGTGTCTGGCCACGTTTTTCTGTATTTCTTGTATTTGCATGTCAACCTGCCTAGCAAGATTAGAGAAATTTCCATGGATTGAATCCTCAAATATGTTTTCCAAGTTACTTATTTTCTCTCCTTCTCTCTTAAGAATGTCAGTGAGTCATATATTTGGTCTCTTTACATAATCCCTTGTTTCTCAGAGATGTTGTTCATGTTTTTAAAGTTCTTTATTTTTGTCCGACTGAGTTGATTTGAAGAACTGAGGCAGGAAAATAGGGTCCAGAGGCAGGGAACATAAGGCCGATTCACACTTCAGCTGTAACAGGAAATATCCTCTCCATAGTGCATATGCCATAAATGACTTTGTAACTGTAACTTCACTTCATCCTTTTCATTTACATAGTGTGTCCCAAGTAGAGGGTATTGAAACTCACAAAAACTCTGTAACAGGGCCTTAGAGCCGCTTTGCTCAGGCCAACTCCCACACTATGGAGTTTACTTTCATTTTCAATAAAACCCTTCATTCATTCCTTGCTTTGTTTGTGCATTTTGTCTGATTCTTTTTTCAAGATGCCAAGAACCTGGACACCATCCACCATTAACAGAACTGGTCTTCAAGCTCTGAGATCTTTTCCTTAGCTTGCTCTGTTCTGCTGTTAACACTTCTGATTGTATTATTACATTCTTTTAATGAAGTCTTCAGCTCAAGAAGTTCAGTTTGGGTTTTTCTTAAAATGGCTATTTCATCTTTCAGCTCTTGAATCATTTTTATTGGATTGTTTGGCTTCCTTGGATTGAGTTTCAACTTTCACCTGGATGTTGATGAGCTTCCTTGCCATTCAGATTCTGAATCCTATCTCTGTTACTTCAGACATTTCAGATTGGTTAAGAACCATTGCTGGGGACCTAGTGGGCTCATTTGGAGGTAAGGGGACACTCTGGCTTTTTGAATTGCCAGATTTCTTGCACTGATTCTATCTCACTGGGATGATTTTTATTTCTTAACTGTGGTGTAAATTTGAGTACACAGTCGGTTGGCTTCATTTATGGAAGTTTTCAGAGGGCTAAAGCTTTGTACAGGGTCTTTGTTAAGTGCTTGGTCTTAGTTTCGCAGGTGGGAGAATTAGTTTTTTGACATTGTAGTTTGGGCTACAATCCAGTAGGTGATGCTTGAGACAATGGGCGACAGGTTGTTACTCAGCCATGCATCTCCTTTGTGTATCCTCACATTTGCACCTGTGTTCTATGGTATGAGGGGGAGAGAGGTGACCTCACCAGCTCCACTCTTGAGCCTTGGGGGAGCCACCTCCCATCATTGGCAATGTGCCCACAATTTTATTGTTGTTATTAGGTCTTTTGGGCGTTGAGGCTCCCTCCAGAAGAGGTCCAGTAGGGAGATAGGCCACACCCTTATTGGACAAGCCCTGTGGAAGGAGGCATACCTAGGTTCCACACCAGCCTGTGAACCTGTGTGACTCAGCCCTCTCAGCTTTCTGAGAATGTGGGCTCCTCCCCAGCTCAAGTGCCGGGCACAGATCCTGTCTTGGCAGTCTGGAGCCACTGGCCACAACCCTGGAACACCAGGACCTGCTCGTGGCTCCCTCCTCCAGGTCCTCAGGACTGGGTTCTGGGTGCACTGAGAGATATGAAGGGCTTACAAACTGCCAGAATGCACTCAGATGAAGCAAGAGACCCAGGTTGGGCAGTAGAGCCTGCACTGTATGCACGCTTCTGCAGGGCAGCCAGACAGGAGCCCTGGAAGGGTTGGCTGGCAGGCAAGACTGCAGGGCAGATGTGCCCCAGTCCCATGTAGAAGAAAGCCTTGCTTTCTTCCTGGTGATTAGCTGGGAGATTAGAGGGAGATGGGCAGCCTGCAGTGGGGGTGGGTGCTTATGGCTGGGCTCCACTGGAACTACCCCACACATGCTTGCTGCAGATCCATTTCTGTCTAATCTCTGGGGAAATGCCCCTGCTAGCTCAAGCATCTATGGGGGATGTGGGGTCTCCTGCAGCTAGGATCCCAGAGGTCTATGGTGCAAGTGGGATGTCCTCCATCCTCTTCACTCACCCTTTCCCTAAGTGCAGTTGGAGGCAGGAAACCAGCCCTAGCATTTAGGCACCCCACACGAGATTCCCAGCTTCCCAGCTTCCTTGCCTTCAGCCTCAGTGTCTGTGCCTTTTCACCTTCCACATTTGGTGTGTTCTCTCCAAAGATCTGTTCAAATTACATTGGTTTAGACAAAATCCTTGTCTTTCTCTGTAGGAGCAGCACTTCCTGGCTGTATCTAGTTGTCCATCTTGCCCCCTCCTCTATTTTTATACTTTTAAAACTTTTTTGTTAAAAACTAAGACACAGACACACACATTAGCCTAGGCCTACACAGGGTCAGGATCATCAGTATCACTGTCTTCCATCTCCATATTTTGTCTCACTGGAAGGTCCTTGGGCAATAACACACAGGGAGCTGTCATCTCCTGTGATAACAATGCCTTCTTCCAGAATAGCTCCTGAAAGGCCTGTCTGAGGCTATTTACATTAAATTTTTAAAAAAAATAAATAGAAGGAGTATACTCTAAAAGAATGATCAAAAACATAGTATGATAAATACATAAACAATTACCTTAGTAGTTTATCATTAGCAAATACTGTGTACTGCACATAATTGTATGTGCTATACTTTTATATGACTAGCAGAGCAGTAGGTTTGTTTACACAAACTGGTGAATAATGTGTTCCACTAAGATGTTACAATGGCTACATGTCTCTAGGTGATAAGAATTTTTGAATTCTATTATATCTTATAGGACCACTATCATATATGAGGTCTGTTATCTGAAACATCATTATGTGGTACATGACTCTATGTGTGTGTGTGTGTGTTTGTGTGTGTGTGTGTGTGTGTGTGTGTGTGTGATCTTTGTGGTAAGAGTGTTTGTTCTATAGATCAATTAGGTCAGTTATTCCCAGGAGGGATAGGAAAGGAGGTGGGAATAAACTACTACATAGAAATAGTCTTACCAGGTGCAGTGGCCCATGCTTGTAATCCCAGCACTCTGGGAGGCCGAGGCGGGAGGATTACTTGAGCCCTGGGTAACATGGCAAAACCCTATTGCTACTAAAAATGCATTAAAATAGCTGGGCATGGTGGCTTGTTCCTGTAGTCCCAGCTCCTCGTGAGGCTGAGGTGGGCTGAGCCCACGAAGTCGAGGCCGCAGCAAGATCATGCCACTGCACTCCACCCTGGGCAACAGGATTGAGATGCTGTCCCCCACACCAAAAAAAAAAAAAAAAGAAAAAAGAAAAAGAAAAAGAAAAAAAAGGAATTAGTCTATGAAGGTAATTATCTGGGGCAATCAGTGAAAGAACCCACAGCTTATGGTGCTATACTTGAATTTAACTGGTCAATTTAGCCTTCTTCATTACAGTTTTGTCCTAAAACATAACCCTGACAATTGATTTTAAGTCTGTATAATCTTTACTGATATTTTTCTTTTTATACTCCCTTGAGACAAAATAACATTTTTTGTTTGTTTTATATTTGAAAACCCTACTTTTATGTAGATTTGGTCATAGAAGCATGCTAAGTTGATGTTTTCAGAGGAAGTTTATCATACCTCCTAGATTCTTCCCTTAAGATTTCAGTAAAGTTTAATTTTTTGTTGTTATAAATGTTTGAACATACAAACACTAAACACTAAATACAAACTGAATTTTATATTGCACCCAATGAAACTTACAGTGACATTAATCTGACATACTAAGTGATGAGTATGATTGCTATTGAACTTTATGAAATTTAAAGATAAATATTGAACTTTGTCATAATTTATCTGTGGAAGAATAGTATAAACGTAACCCATAAAACATGTTATTGTATTGATTGTAAGGATGTTATTGAGGATAGGATTTAATTCATTATATATTATTTTCTGTATGAATACTCATGGAAGATTTTTCTCTGTTCTTAGAACCTGTAATAGTTCTGCTGCTTATAAACTATTGTTTTGTTTACCTTTTGGAGACTCTGTATCTTATAACTGATCATATTCCTCTTTGCATTGCCTGCCAGGAAGCTCAGAGCCAGATTTCTGGCCAATCTGTAGTTAAGTGTGGAGGATATTATGGCATGAAGTATATGTCCTAAGCTCACATTTTATCTTACTTTTATGTTGCCATTTTTTCTTACCTATTAAATTTTATAACTTATTGTATTGATTTTACTTTTTGGTAAGCCATTAAATTTCAATTAACAGGAGGTCTGAATAAAGAAAGTGAATATAAATAATTACAAGTGGGAGGAGTTTACATAGTCAGATTTCAGGGTTGGAGCTAACTATAGGCAAACTGAATGAAGTAGGAAGTTTCTCTATCTGAGGATCTCAGGACCATGAATGTAGGAGGGATTAGAAGGTCAGGCTTTATAATTTCTCACATTGGAGTTTCCTAAATTTCAGGTTGTCTGGGTACTGTGCCTCAAATTCCCTTTTTTCTCTATTCGTCATTCTCAGTGCTTACCTTGGCTTCACAGGCCAAGAAGTGTTTCTTGTACCAAAGGAGGTTTCTTGTCCCTAAATATATTTCATAAATTTCCACCAGACATAGATTTATTTGGACAAGCAAATACCCATGTAAGGAATAAGATTTAAATCTTCCTACCTACCATTCACAAGGAGGTGTGAGTAAGTAACAGCATCATAAAACTGAAAGGGTCTTTAGAAATCCAAAACAACTCTCATTTTATAAGTAAGGAAATTGAGGCTCCCTGTGGTAAAGTAATGTGCCAAAGGGCATACAATTTGTAAGTGTTGAAAACCAGGACTAGAATTTCTAAATACAAATCCAGCATATGTTAGAAAAGAAACGCTTTTTAAAAGAACTGTAGGACATGGGACAGTTCTTTATATATATTTAGTCCATACTTAGTGTATATAAAATACTGTACCAAAGGAGTGTCACCTTTGGAACTGGTAGGGACCCACGCTGCCCTTGTGGATTCAGTATTCACCTAGGTATTATGGTTATGACAATGATCGAGTAGAGCACAAAGAAATAGAATGGGAAAAAGGATATCTGGAACAAGAAGCAATAAAAAGTAGAGGGAAAAGAAGTAAAGGATAAGATTATGAGGAGAAGCAAGGCAGATGGAAAGATAGAGACAAAAATAGAAGTGAAAGACAGAAATAGGAGAATAAAAATGAGCAAAAGAGAAACAGACGAAAAATGGGACTATGAGGATGAAAAGTAAGAAGGAGATAGTAAAGAATAAAATATGAAAGACATGAAAAATACTCACTAGACAGTCAAATGCTCAATCAGCTGTTGTAAATAACATGTGAAACAACACATTACACAATTAGTATTTAAAAACATTGAGTATTCATTTTACTTTCTAAGTTACTGAGAGGTACCAATATATTTCCCTAAAATGAAAATTAATACATTGAAAAAAAAACAATAAATAAACCCTGAAACTTTTTGGGTAAAATTTTAGTAGGAGGAAATTCATTAATATATTAATAGATTTTTTGATTTGTGGGGAATTAGTTAAACTGGGATAAAAAGCAACTGTCACCCTAGGTCTGAGCTATCTTCCTTTAAAGATGCAAATTAAGCATGGACTTTCAAATAGTACTTAGGATAAGAAAGTTACAATTAGCTGCTATAATAATTGTGCTCTTTGGTTCTTTCTTTGTTTCACAGTGGCTTTAATTAAAGGCCTAGTTATGTAGGAAAGTCACATTAATTATTCATCTGCAAACATTTACATAGACTTCCCTGTTCCCCTTCAATAAATTATCAACTTCACATCTCCATAATTTAATCAAAATGACTAAAAATACACCATCTCAGGCTTCTGCCCCTCCTCTCTGGGCTTTGTCTCTTCAGTGTTACTTGTTCTTGCAGAAGACTTCCCACTGTTATTAAGAAATAAGAGAAGAAAATCTGTCGGCTGAAATTGTATGGATAGTCTTTACTTTTTTGCACACTGTCATATTGATTGGTACAAAGCTGTGGTTTGCAAATGTCCATAATTTTTTTGGAGTAAAATGAGAGGGATCATAGAATTGTAGTATTATTAAAAGCCAGTATGATGCCAGAATATATTAATAGAAGCATATTCAAGAATAAAGAAAAAATGTTTCCCATAATCCTCAGAGTATAAAGAATCAAAGCTTCCATTACTAAGCATAGAAAAATTATAAAAGGGAAATTCTTCTAGGGGTTTCAGCTAAGCAGTTTAGAGAGTCATATGTAAAATTATAAATATGATTTAAGAAAAATTGCCTATGGAGGCAGATGTGCAATTTGATAGATAAATAATTACTTACTTAGTAGGGCTGCAATTTAACCTAACCCTTTTTTATTTCCTTCCAACTTTTATTTTAGGTTCAAGGTGGTACATGTGCAGGTTTGTTAAATGGGTAAATTGCATGTTGCTGGGGTTTGGTGTACAAATTATTTCATTACCCAGGTAGTGAGCGTAGTACCCGATAGGTAGTCTTTTGATCCTTACCCTTCTCATACCCTCCACTCTTAGGTAGGCCCTGGTGTCTTTTGTTCCCTGTTTTGTGTCCCTATGTATTCACTGTTTAGCTCCCACTTGCAGAAGAGAACATGCGGTATTTGATGTTCTGTTCCTGAATTAATTTGCTTAGAGTAATGACTTCTAGCTGCATCCATATTGCTGCAAAGGACATGACTTCATTCTTTTTTATGGCTGCATAGTATTCCATGGTATATATGCATCACATTTTGTTTATCCAGCCCACCATTGATGGGCATCTAGGTTGATTCCTGTCTTTACTATTGTGAATAGTGCTGCAATGAACACACATGTACACGTATCTCTATGAAAGAATGATTTATATTCCTTTGGGTATATACACAGTAATGGGATTGCTGGGTTGAATGGTAGTTCTCTTTAAGCTCTTTGAGAAATCTCCAAACTGCTTTCCACAGTGGCTGAACTGACTTACATTCCCATCAACAGAGTATAAGCATTCCTTTTTCTCTGCAATTTCACCAACATCTGTTATTTTTTAACTTTTTTTTTTTTGAGACGGAGTTTCACTCCTGTCACACAGGCTGGAGTGCAATGGCGTGATTTCAGCTCACTGTAACCTCCGTCTCCTGGGGTTCAAGTGATTCTCCTGCCTCAGCCTCCCAAGTAGCTGGGATTACAGGCACCCACCACCACACCCGGCTAATTTTTTGTATTTTTAGTAGAGACAGGATTTCACCATGTTGATCAGGCTGGTCTCCAACTCCTGACCTCAGGTGATCTGCCCACTTCGGCTTCCCAAAGTGCTGGGATTACAGGCATGAGCTACCATGCCCGGCCTATTTTTTAACTTTTTAATAATAGTCATTCTGAGTGGTGTGAGATGGTGTCTCATTGTGGTTTTGATTTGCATTTCTTTAATGATTAGTGATGTGAAACATTTTTTCATGTGCGTGTTGGCCACTTGTATGTCTTCTTTTGAGAAATGTCCGTTCACTTCTGTTCTGTCCTTTGCCCATTTTTAAATGGGGTTATTTGTTTTTTGCTTGTTGATTTGTTTAAATTCCCTATAGATTCTGGATATTAGACCATTGTAGGATGCATAGTTTGTGAATATTTTCTCCCATTATTTAGGTAGTCAGTTTGCTCTGTTGATAGTTTTGTTTGCTTTGCAGAAGCTCTTTAGTTTTGTTAGGTCCCATTTTTCAATTTTTCTTTTTGTTGCAATTGCTTTTGGAGTCTTCATCATGAAATCTTTGCCAGGGCCTATGTCCAGAATGGTATTTCCTAGATTTTCTTCTAGGGTTTTTATAGTTTTAGGTTTTACACATAAATCTTTAATCCATCTTGAGCTGATTTTTGTAAATGGTGAAAGGAATGCATCCAGCTTCAATCTTCTGCATATGGCTAATCAGTTATCCCTGCACCATTTGTTGGACAGGGAGTCCTTTCCCCATTGCTTGTTGTCGACTTTGTCAAAGATTAGACAGTTGTAGGTATGTGGCTTTATTTATGGGTTCTCTAACCTGTCCCATTGGTAATGGTCTCTGTTTTTGTACCAGTACCATGCTGTATTGGTGTACCATTGGTCATGGTCTCTGTTTTTGTACCAGTACCATGCTGTTTTGGTTAATGTATCCTTGTAGTATAGTACTTGACATCAGGTAGTATGATGCCTCTGGGTTTGTTCTTTTTCTTTGACATGACTTTGGCTATTCAGTCTCTTTTTTGGTTCCATATGAATTTTAGAATAGTTTTTTCTAATTTTATGAAAAATGCCTTAGTTTGATAGGAATAGTATTAAATCTGTAAATTGCTCTGGGCTGTATGGCCATATTAATAATATCGATGTTTTCTAGTCATGAGCACAGAATGTTTTGTCATTGGTTTGTGCCATTGCTGATTTCTTTCAGCTGTGTTTTGTAATTGTTGTTGTAGAGATCTTTCATCTCACTGGTTAGCTGCCTTCCTAGGTATTTTATTCTCTCGTGAATGAGATTGCATTCTTGATTTGGCTCTCTGCTTGGACGCTATTGGTGTATAGAAATGCTACTGATTTTTGTACATTGATTTTGTATCCTCAAACTTTGCTAAAGTTATTTATAAAATCCAGGAGCCTTTGGACAGAGACTATGGGGTTTTCTAGGTATAGAATCACATCATTGTAAAAAGAGATAGTTTGACTTCCTCTCCTTTCTATGTGGCTGCCTTTTATTTCTTTTTCTTGCTTGATTGCTCTGGCTAGGACTTCCAGTGCTATGTTGAATAGGAGAGTTGAGAGTAGGCATTCTTGTCTTGTTCCAGTTCTAAGGGGGAATTCTTCCAGCTTTTGCCCATTCAGTATGATGTTGGTTGTGGGTTTGTCATAGATGGCTCTTATTTTGAGGTATATTCCTTTGATGCTTGGTTTGTTGAGGGTTTTTTTTCTTTTTAAATTTTATTTTAAATTGACATATAATTGTACATATTTATGAGGTACAGTGTGATGTTTCTTTTTTCTTTCATTTTAAGTTCTAGGGTACATGTGCACAACGTGTAGGTTTGTTACATATGTATACATGTGCCATGTTGGTGTGCTGTACCCATTAACTCGTCATTTACATTAGGTATATCTCCTAATGCTTTCCCTCCCCCCTTCCCCCACCCCACAACAGGCCCTGGTGTGTGATGTTCCCCTTCCTGTGTCCAAGTGTTCTCGTTGTTCAATTCCCACCTATGAGTGAGAACATGCAGTGTTTGGTTTTTTGTTCTTATGATAGTTTGCTGAGAATGATGATTTCCAGCTTCATCCATGTCCCTACAAAGGACATGAACTCATCCTTTTATATGGCTGCACAGTATTCCATGGTGTATATGTGCCACATTTTCTTAATCCAGTCTATCATTGTGGACATTTGGGTTGGTTCCAAGTCTTTGCTATTGTGAATAGTGCCACAATAAACATGCGTGTGCATGTGCCTTTATAGCAGCCTGATTTATAATCCTTTGGGTATATACCCAGTAATGGGATCGCTGGGTCAAATGGTATTTCTAGTTCTAGATCCTTGAGGAACTGCCACACTGTCTTCCACAATGGTTGAACTAGTTTACAGTCCCACCAACAACGTAAAAAAAAAAAGTGTTCCTATTTCTCCACATCCTCTCCAGCACCTGTTGTTTCCTGACTTTTTAATGATCGCCATTCTAACTGGTGTGAGATGGTATCTCACTGTGATTTTGATTTGCATTTCTCTGATGGCCAGTGATGATGAGCATTTTTTCGTATGTCTGTTGGCTGCATAAATGTCTTCTTTTGAGAAGTGTCTGTTTGTATCCTTTGCCCACTTTTTGATGGGGTTGTTTGTTTTTTTCTTGTAAATTTGTTTGAGTTCTTTGTAGATTCTGGATATTAGCCCTTTGTCAGATGAGTAGATTGCAAAAATTTTCTCCCATTCTGTAGGTTGCCTGTTCACTCTGATGGTAGTTTCTTTTGCTGTGCAGAAGCTCCTTAGCTTAATTAGATCCCATTTGTCAATTTTGGCTTTTGTTGCCATTGCTTTTTGTGTTTTAGACATGAAGTCCTTGCCCATGCCTATGTCCTAAATGGTATTGCCTAGGTTTTCTTCTAGGGTTTTTATGGTTTTAGGTCTAACATTTAAGTCTTTAATTCATCTTGAATTAATGTTTGTATAAGGTGTAAGGAAGGGATCCAGTTTCAGCTTTCTACATATGGCTAGCCAGTTTTCCCAGCACCATTTATTAAGTAGGTAATCCTTTCCCCATTTCTTGTTTTTGTCAGTTTTGTCAAAGATCAGATGGTTGTAGATGTGTGGTATTATTTCTGAGGGCTCTGTTCTGTTCCATTGATCTATATCTCTGTTTTGGTACCAGTACCATGCTGTTTTGGTTACTGTAGCCTTGTAGTATAGTTTGAAGTCAGGTAGCGTGATGCCTCCAGCTTTGTTCTTTTGGCTTAGGATTGACTTGTCAATGAGGGCTCTTTTTAGGTTCCATATGAACTTTAAAGTAGTTTTTTCCAGTTCTGTGAAGAAAGTCATTGGTAGCTTGATGGGGATGGCATTGAATCTATAAATTACCTTGGGCAGTATGGCCATTTTCACGATATTGATTCTTGTTGAGGGTTTTTAACATGAAGAGATAATTGAATTTTATAAAAAGCTTTTTGTGCATCTATTGAGATGATCATTTGGGTTTTGTTTTTAGTTCTGTTTATGTGATGAATCACATTTATTGATTTGTGTATGTTGAACCAATCTTGCATCCCAGGAATAAAGCCTACTTGATTACAGTGGGATTAGCTTTTTGATGTGATGCTTGATTTGGTTTGCTAGTATTTTGCTGAGGATTTTTGCATCTACGTTTATGAGGGATATTGGCTTGAATGTTTTTGTTTGCTGTTGTGTCTCTGCTAGGTTTGGTATAAGAATGATGCTAACTTCATAGAATGAGTTAGGTAGGAGTCCTTCTCTTTGTTTTTTTGGAATAGTTTCAGTAGGATTGGTACCAGATCTTCTTTTACTTCTGGTGGAATTTAGCGGTGATTATATCTGGTCCAGCATTTTTTCTGCTTGGTAGGTTTTTTATTATTGATTTAATTTTAGAACTAATTATTGGTGTCTTCAAGGTTTCAATTTCTTTCTGGTTTGATCCTGGGAAGTTGTATATTGCCAGGAATTTATCTGTTTCTTCTAGGTTTCCTAGTTTGTGTGCAGAGGTGTTCAAAGTAGTTCCTGAGGAATTTTTATATTTGTGTGAGGTCTGTGGTAATGTCCCCTTTGTCATTTCTGATTGTGTCTATTTGGATTCTCTTTTCTCTTTATTTGTCTAGCTAGTGGTATATCTATCTTACTTATTCTTTTGAAGAACCATCTTTTGGTTTTGTTGATCCTTTGTATGGTTTTTTGCATCTCCATTTCATTCGTTTCACCTTTGATTTTGGTTATTTCTTTTCTTTTGCCAGCATTGGTATTGGTTTGCTCTTGTTTTTCTAGTTCCTCTAGGTCTGATGTTAGGTTAATTTGAGATCTTTCTAACTTTTTTTTTGTTTATTTTATTTATTTTTTTGAGACGGAGTCTCGCTCTGTCGCCCAGGCTGGAGTGCAGTGGTGCGATCTCAGCTCACTGCAAGCTCCGCCTCCCAGGTTCATGCCATTCTCCCACCTCAGCCTCCTGAGTATCTGGGACTACAGGCACCTGCCACCATGCCCGGCTAATTTTTTGTATTTTTAGTAGAGACAGGGTTTCACCATTCACAGGATAGTCTCAATCCCCTGACCTTGTGATCCACCTGCCTCGGCCTCCCAAAGTGCTGGGATTACAGGTATGTAATCTCGTGTGCCTGGCCCAGATCTTTCTAACTTTTTGATGTGGGTGTTTAACACTATAAACGTTCCTCTTAACACTGCTTTAACTGTGTCCCAGAGATTCCACTATGTTGTATCTGTACTGTCATTATTTTCAAAGAATTTGTTGATTTCTGCATTAATTTTATTGTTTACCCAAAAGTCATTCAGGAGCAGATTGTTTAATTTCCACGTAATCATATGGGGTTGAGAGACCTTTTGGTATTAATTTCTTTTTTTATTGCACTGTGGTCCATGAATGTAGTTGGTGTTATTTCTATTTTTTTAAATTTGTTGAGAAGTGTTTTATGGTCAAATATGTCATCAGTTTTAGAGTATGTGCCATATGCAGATGAGAATGTATATTCTGTTGTTGTTGGGTAGAGTGTTCTGTAGATGTCTGTTAGGTCCATTTGGTCAATTGTCAAGTTTAGGTTCCAAATATCTTTGTTAGCTTTCTACCTTGATAATCTGCCTAATATGGTCAGTGTGGTGTTGAAATCTCCCACTATTACTGTGTGGTTATCTAAGTCTATTTGCAGGTCTCTAAGAGCTTGTTTTATGAATCGGGGTGCTCCAGTGTTGGGTCCATATATATTTAGATGACCTTGAGAGGTGACAGCGTGCTGGCAGCCCTCGCGTCCCTCGCTCACTCTTGGCGCCTCCTTGGCCTTGGTGCCCACTCTGGCCATGATTGAGGAGCCCTTCAGCCTACCGCTGCACTGTGGGAGCCCCTCTCCGGACTGGCTGAGGCGGGAGCCAGCTCCCTCTGCTTGTGGGAGGTGTGGAGGGAGAGGCGTGGGTGGAAACCGGGGCTGTGTGCAGTGCTCACAGGCCAGCGCGAGTTCCGGGTGGGTGTGGGCTCAGTGGCCCCACACTTGGAGCAGCCGGCCGGTGCTCCCGGCCCTGGGCAGTGAGGGGCTTAGCACCTGGGCCAGCAACTGCAGAGCGTGCGCCGGGCCCCCAGCACTGCCGGCCCACCGGCACTGCACTAGAATTTTCACCGGGCCTCAGCTGCCTTCCCGCAGGGCAGGGATCGGGACCTGCAGCCCACCATGCCCGAGCCCCCCCACGGTGGGCTCCCATGCGGCCTGAGCCTCCCCGATGGGCGCCACCACCTGCTCCATGGCACCATGGCATCCAGTCCCCATCGATCGCCCAAGGGCTGAGGAGTGCAGATGCGCGGCCCAGGACTGGCAGGCAGCTCTGCCTGTGGCCCTGGCGCGGGATCCACTAGGCAAAGCCGGCTGGGCTCCTGAGTCAGGTGGGGACTTGGAGAACTTTTATGTCTAGCTGGAGGATTGTAAATCCACCAATCAGCACCCTGTGTCTAGCTCAAGGTTTGTGAATGCACCAATCAGCACTCTGTATCTAGCTAATCTGGTGGGGACTTGGAGAACCTTTATGTCTAGCTAAAGGATTGTAAATACACCAATCAGCACTCTGTGTCTAGCTCAAGGTTTATAAACACACCAATCACCACTCTGTCTAGCTCAAGGTTTGTAAGTGCACCAATCAGTGCTGTGTCTAGCTCAAGGTTTGTAAATGCACCAATCAGTGCTCTGTGTCTAGCTAATCTAGTGGGGACTTAACAGAACTTTTGTGTCTAGCTCAGGGATTGTAAATGCACCAATCAGCACCCGGTCAAAACGGACCAATCAGCTCTCTGTAAAATAGACCAATCAGCAGGATGTGGGTGGGGCCAGACTAGGGAATAAAAGCAGGCTGCCCCTGCCAGCAGTGGCAACCTGCTCGGGTCCCCTTCCACACTGTGGAAGCTTTGTTCTTTTGCTCTTTGCAATAAATCTTGCTGCTGCTCACTCTTTGGGTCTGCACTGCCTTTATGAGCTGTAACACTCACCGCAAAGGTCTGCAGCCTCATTCCTGAGGCCAGCAAGACCACGAACCAACCGGGAGGAATGAACAACTCCAGACGCACTGCCTTAAGAGCTGTAACACTTACCACGAAGGTATGCGGCTTCACTCCTGAAGCCAGCGAGACCACAAACCCACCAGAAGGAAGAAAGTCTGAACACGTCCGAACATCAGAAGGAGCAAACTCCGGACACATCATCTTTAAGAACTGTAACACTCACCGCGAGGGTCCGCGGCTTCATTCTTGAAGTCAGTGAGACCAAGAACCCACCAATTCTGGACACAACCTAACTCTTAAAGATACATTGGCAAGCAATTAAAGGAGTCATAAAAGATGGTAGTGGGAAAAATATGGATATTGTAGTTAGCTGGATCTGAGTTCAAATCTCAACTTTGCTGTTTAGTACTGCTCTGATTTGGGGACAGTTTCTGATTTTTAAAAAGGCTTATTTGTTAATCTTGATAGATAATGCCTTAGCTCAGGATCATTTGCTTGCAAGGAAGAGAAACCCACTCAAGCTAAATTAAATATAGTGAACTTACTGTACGGAAACAAAGAAATCTCACGGAAGACGTGCTAAATATAGCCAGACCTTATGGAAATTTGAAAGTTTTTAGGCAACTTTTCTTTTCTTGGAATATTCTCCTAGAGTCTCTTATTTTTTATTCCTGTGCAAGACTTGTATTTCCTGAAGAAATTAAAGAATACCTAAATAAGTAGAAAGACATTCCATGTTTGTGGATCAAAAGACTTAATATTTTTAATATGACAATCCAAATTAACCTAGAGATTCAGCACAATCCCTGTCAAAATTCCAGCTGTTTTGTTTTCGTTGGGCAGAAATTGACAAGCTGATTCTCAAATTCATATGGATATCATGAAGGCCCAGAGTAGCCAAAACAATCTTGAAAAAGAAAAATGAAGTGGGAAGACTCACACTTACTGATTCCAAAACTTACTATAAAGCTAAAGGAATCAAGACAATGTATCTCTGGCATGATGATGGACATATAGATCAATGGAATATAATTGAGAAGTCCAGAAATTATATATATGCTCATATATATGGTCAATTTATTTTTGAGAAGGATGCCCAATTATTCAATGGGAAAAGAATAGTCTTTTCAACAAATGGTGCTTGGACAACTATATATCCAAATGTTAAATAATGAAGTTGGACCCCTACCTCACACTATATACAAAAATTAGCTCAAAATTGATCAAAAACTAAATATAAAAGCTAAAACTATAAAATTTTTAGAAGGGATAAGAGGTCTAAATCTTCATGGCCTTGGATTAAGGAATGCTTTCTTAAATATGACACCAAAAGCACAGGCAACAAAAGAAATAATAGATAATTTGGACTACATCAAAACTAAAAATATTTGTGCATGAAGGGACAGTATTAAGTGAAAAGACAACACACAGAATGGGAATAAATAATTACAAATTATGTGAGTAGTACTGTGGCCATGGTCATTTATGCCCATTTTGCCTCTTATCTCTTCCTGGTCTTGCAGGACTTCATCCTCCTCTCAAAAATGTTTTCCAGTTGTTTCATAGAAGCTCTATGATTCTGGTGTTTCACATGTGCTCATGAAAACTTCTGTGTTCTTTCACTCTTGTGTAAGCCTCCTAACTGCAAGCCACCAGGGAGAAGCATTTCTCCCAACAGCTTTTTTTGAGGGTGCTACTCATATGGGTATTCTGTTCTCTACCTACTGTAGGCCAAAAGTATGTTCACAGTAGTGTTAGAGGAAAGGAAAAATAATCTCTGTGATTCTGTATTGCACATGATCACTTGGACAAAAAAGTAGCTATGTTGTGTTCAGAGCCTCCTGTCATGAATATACTTCCTTTAGCCTTTTGCCCTAATACTGCTCTCGGAAGAATTTGAACCCATTCTCCAGTATAGACATGGAGAGAAATGGCACAGCATCCTGATCATTGTCCCCAATTTCCTCTTGTCTTTATTCCACAGGTGCCTCTATATCTGTATTCATTTAGGAAAAAAAATTCAAAACCCCAAAACCCAAACCAAAACAAAGCAAACATCAACAACAACAAAAAACAAAGAAGGAATGAATAAAAAAACATGTACATAAACTCTTAATGTAGATACTTGAATGTTACCTGCACAGCAGAAGATGTGATCCTTAGCTGTCCAGATAGGACACGATTTTAAAAATCATCTTAAAGTAGTTAAATTTTGAGACTGCATGAAGTATCCTTAATCAGTAGTTATTTTGGTATGCTTGCTTAGTCAGTTCAACTCCCATCACTTTATACATTCTTCCCTTATGTATTTCAAATATATATCAATATTCTAATTAGAACAATATTGTAATACATTATTTCAGACATAGGTATAATTACCAGCAATTGCTATATGCAGGCACCCAGGAAAAGTGGTAAGCCCTTTTGGTTGAAGATTCGTTTATTTTTGTTTTCAGTTTTCAAAAGAGTAAGGAAAAAACACATCTGAAATTCTTGCTGAGGGCCTGGGGTTAAAAATTACATAATCTACTGTTTTGGTCTAGAAGAACTGTGATAAAGGGAGTAAAGCATGAGTTCTAAATTCCAGAACTTTTGAATTCCAACTTCACTTCTTATGTATTCTTGATCAAGTTTCATTGTGAGCTTCAGTTTCCTCCTTTTAAACGGAATATATTTCCCAATGTTAATGAGATGCTGCAAAGTGCCTAGCACCTAGTAGGGGCTCAACAGATGTTACTTCCTCCTACCCATTGCTTTTTCTTACAGGGTTGTCTCATACTCGAGTGAATCATTGCTATATGGGAGTTTTAGAACTGGGAAGAAATAGGTCTCAGTTTTTATTGCCATGACAACAGAATTCGAGAAGTAAAAAATTTTCTCCTGAAACAGAATTTGAGAAGTAAAAAATTTTCTCCTGAAACAGTGAGCAACTGTTAACAAAGTAGCACCTTTTTAATTGGTGGCAAGTATGTGATTTTTTTTTTTCCCTTTTTGCTTCAACTAGTTTTCCTAATTTTGTTTATTCTGAAAGGTCCAAAAAGAGAAGTTGGTTTTTGAATTTCTATTTACTGTGAAAATGTTAACAGTAATATCTAGCAGTTTTCTATCACCTACCCTGCTACTTGCAGGATATCGTGGAGGGTATCATGGGTTTTATTATTATCTGAAATTAGGCCTTTTCATAATCAATATATGTATTTATCAGATGTCTTTAAGCCATAATTATATTTTATTCATAAAATCTCAAAGACTACAATGGTCATGTAGTATTTCCTTCACCCTCTCAATAAGATCATTTCCAAAAGGATTTTTCTACTCATTGTTTCAAAATACTTAATGTTGACTCAATTAATTTCCATGGCAATATATTTCACTCACTCATTGTTTTTGTGGTCTAATTACCAACCCAACCTACTAAAATGTAAGCATGTTGTCTCTCCTCTCTACCAAAGATATGGAAAATAACCATTGTTGGCCAGGCACAGTGGCTCACGCCTGTAATCTCAGCACTTTGGGAGGCTGAGGCAGGGCAGATCACGAGGTCAGGAGATCGAGACCATCTTGGCTAACACGGTGAAACTCTGTCTCTACTAAAAATACAAAAAAATTAGCCAGGCATGGTGGTGGGTGCCTGTAGTCCCAGCTACTCGGGAGGCTGAGGCAGGAGAATGGCATGAACCTGGTAGGCGGAGCTTGCAGTGAGCTGAGATTGCGCCACTGCACTCCAGCCTGTGAGACAGAGCAAGACTCCATCTCAAAAAAAAAAAAAAAAAGAAAAAAAAAAGAAAATAACCATTGTCACTCATAAATCATACCTTTATATGCTCTAATTGCATGCTTTACTTAAGAAAGACTGTAAGTTATGATCTCTTTTTTAGAATAAATAAACCATTGTCCTTTTATCATGTGAGTCAGTATGAAGCTATTTTAAAATACTGTTCTGCTTAAAACTTATTTCTAAAGTTTCTTTGAAAGCTAGAGTCCTCAAAAGCAGTTTGGCAGAGATCAGTAAATAAATTATTTACTAAAAACTTTCTTATTAGAGAGAAGAGCTGAATGACAGAGAAATGTGTTGCCAGTAAAATTATTTCCTTCTCATTGATAAAGGACCACTACAGATATGGAAGTCATGCTGCTAGCATGCAAATATTAAATGGCATAATGTTCTTTGGGTTTTTGATAAGTACTTGGAGCAGAAAATAATTTTTCTCTTGTGCAATTATAGAGAGGAATTTATTAGTCAGATAAGAAAGAAGCTAAAAGAAGTGCTAAGAATGGAACTGTGGCAGAGATTGCTAGCTGCCCACCTAATATCCATTTTCTCTTTTTCTTTGCTATGAAGTTTTCATGGGGGCAATAATGTACTCAAGCTTAAAATATTACATTTCCAAGCCTCCCTTATAGGTAGAAGTGGACAAATAATATGGTTTGGGTCAATGATGTAAACAAATGGAAGTTTGTGGTTAGGACATCTGCAAATACTTCAAAAGTTAGTGATCCACTGCTGGTATGCCTTTTCTGCTCTATGGACGGTCTCCTTTCTCCAGCATGGAACATGATAGGCATGATAGGTGAAGACCCATTTATCTTGTAGCAGTGAGGGAAAGCTGAGAGAACCTAAGTACTTCAACTTAGACCTCAACCTTGTAATAGTTTCTTAGATGCAGTCAGTATTGCTTAAGATTGGCTACTCATTAGAATCTACTAGGGATATTGACATCTACTAACAGGTAAGATGTATGTAGATTGCAGCAGGCCAATGTTTCCATTGCAATGGCCAGATAAATTACAAATACGTTTTTAAAGGTATCAGATACCTGTAAGAGCAAGTTTATAATACTAAAATCCTAGAGGGGGAAGAATCTAGAGAGGGTAGGTGAATGAACAAATGCCTCCCTCTGGGGCTTTTGCCTGTTCTAGGCATGGATTGAGGATCCTGCTTGATCTAAGTAGAGGGACTTCACGGAGACCAAAATACATGAAATAAAGTTTTTAGTAGTCATTCAGGGTTAGAATGGAAAAGAGGAAACTTGAAGCACTTTAGATGCATGTCTAAAAAAAAATCTAAAGTTTTTTCCCCACAGTACGTTAGTCAAGTTTTGGTATTACGAGGGAGCTGAAGAGCTAAGCTGAAAGCTTCTAAAAGGCAGAGTGAAATTCCCTGCAGTCTCATGATAACTTAGGAAACAAAGACCCACCAAGGGAGGGGACCTTCCTTAAAGATACAGTTGATTTCCTCCTGAAAATATTTGCTAGATTTTAAAATGTAGGAGGCAAGAGGCTGAAGGTGGGCTGAGGACCTTGGAAGGGCAGAGCTGGATCTACAGTTTGCTAGAACTGAAGAATGGGAAGCTCACCAGGATCTCCAGAAGAAAGCTCATGAGAGCCTGAGGAAAAGAGGTGAGCCAGAGGTAGACTTGACTTTTATTAACACTGAAACTCAGCTCCAACCCAGCTCCGTAATTGGATTGAGGTAATCAGCCAACCACTCATCCTATACGCTAGTACAGGACAGAAGAAACTCTTTGGTGAAAGATAACATTACTTGGAGCTTTGTATCATTTTTTAAATACATGGAGCTTAGCATACAATAAAAAGCTACTAGATTTACATTGAGGCAAGACAAATAGGATGTATAATGAAGAAAAAAGCAGACAGTTATGCTCGGGCCACATGTGGTCCAGATATTGGAATTTGCAGACAATAAATTTAAATAACTGTGATTAATATATTTGGAAAATAATGGAAAATGTGGACTCATAGATAAAATGGTGGAAAATGTTGCCAGAGAATTGGAATCTCTAAGAAATGAAATAGATGTATAAAACTAAAAAGTATAATATCTGAAATCAAGAACTCAATAGATAGGTTTTATGGATACAGCAGAACACAGATTAAGTGAACTGGAAGACAATTCAAGAGAAAATACCCAAGTTGAAGCATGGCAAGACAAAAGGATCGAAAGAACAAACTGGAGTATAGCAAACAGGTATAGTGGTACGATGACAATCCAGTTCTCTGGGAAAAATAAAGTATCAATTTGCAGTGTTTGCTGACTGTCATGGTGTAAATACTGTCAACCATGGATGATTTCAAGCTACCAATGATTTAACAACAATCTCACAGAATTCCTGAATATTTAACAATTGGCTCTGACAAGCTGGTATGAGCTGCTCCAGCACACTACTTTATATGAATCATACTTAGAATCTAAAATATGTTTAATTAGAGATCCAGAGAGAAGATAGAGTTGGGAAAGAAGGAATATTTGAAGAGATTACAGCTGAGAATATCCCAAAACTTTGAAAATAAATCACAGCAAACTATAAATATGGTAAATCCAAAAAAGACTATACGTAGGCATATTATCATGAAACTGTTGCAAACCAAGGTATAATGGGCTGGATGGTGACACCCAAAAAGATATGTCCATGTCCTAACAAATGTTACCTTGTTTGGAAAAAGGATCTTTACAGATTTAATTAAGAATTTTGAGATAAGATCATCCTGGATCAGTTAATCCAGGTGGGCCCTAACTGTTGTCTGCCTGTTTCACCATGATAAAAAAAGAAATACAGTTACTTGCATTAGTTATGAAAAGGGGGACATTACTATGGATTTTATAGACATCAAAGTTTTGAAAATTATGATGAAATGGATGCATTTTAAAAAAATACTACTAACCAAAGCTGAAAGAAGAAATAAAATACCTGAAGTTTTATGTTTATTTAAAAGGTTGTCCATTAAAAAACAGCCCTCCCCTGATGAAAATTACACATTCAATGAATACACAGGTAAATTCTTCTAAGAATTTGTGAAATTCTTGTGAAACAAATATTTCACAATTCTTTTATAAAACAGAATACTACAAGGAATGCTTTCTTGCTTTTTTTTTTTTTTTTTTTTTTGAGACAGAGTCTCACTGTGTCACCCAGGCTGGAGTGCAGTGGTGCGATGTTGGCTCACTGCAACATCCACCTCCCGGATTCAAGCAATTCTCCTGTTTCAGCCTCCCGAGTAGCTGGGATTACAGTTGCACACCACCATGCCCATCTAATTTTTGTATTTTTAGTACAGGCGGGGTTTCACCATATTGCTCAGGCTGGTCTCAACCTCCTGACCTCAGGTAATCCACTTGCCTTGACTTCCCAAAGTGCTGGGATTACAGGCGTGTGCCACTGCCCCCCGCCTGCTTCCTTGCTTTTTGTGAGGCCAGCGTAATTTTGATTCTAAAAACTGACAAGGAAATTACAAGGAAAAAAAATTACAGACCACTGTGTCATGAAAGTAGATACATTAAAAAAATCCAATTATATGTAAAAAACATATCCCATGATGATGACCAGGAGATTTCACAGATACACTGATGATTTGGCATTCAAAAAAATCAGTGAAGACAATCTATATATCATCAAGAAAAAGTGAGAGGTGACATTATCATTGCAGCAGATACAGAGAAGGTATTTGAGAAAATTTAGTGCACATTAATGATTTTTTAAAATCTTGGCAAACTTAACAATAAAATGGAATGCTTTTAATTTGATAAATATATCTATTAAAATCCTATGTGATACATCACTTGAAAAGATAAAATATTCAAAACTTTCTCTCTGAAATTGGGTATGAGTCAAAGAGGCCAGCTACCAACACTTACATTAAATATATTCTGGAGGTCTCAGGAAGTACAATAAGGCAAGAAAAATAAGTGAATAAAGATTGAAAGGGAAGAAATAAACCTATTTTTACATGACATGATTGTACATGTAGACCATTCAAAAGAATCTATAGTCAAACTATTAGAATCAATAAGTGAATGTAGTAAGATTTTTGGAAATAAGTTAGATGTATAAGAGTTAACTTTTTTGTATGCCAGCAATAATCAAATAGAAAATTAAATTTGAAAAACAATACTATTTATAATTACATCAAAGAATGTCACATACGAGCAATAAATTTAATTAAAAAGGAACAAGAAACTACAGAATATTATTGCGAGAAATGAAAGAATCCTAAATGCACTGATTGATATGCCATGTTCTTGGATTGGGAGCCCTAATATTATAAAGATATTTTTTCCCAAATTAATCTATAGTTTCAGTACAACCCCAGTCAAAATCCCAGAGATTTTATTGTGTAAATTGAGGTGATGATTCCTAAGTTCACATGGAAAAAAAAAAAAAAAAAAAAAAGAGCAGCCAAGGCAATCTCAGAAGAACAAAGCTGGAGGACTTACACTACCAGACATCAAGACTTAAAAACCTACAGTGTGTAGGACAGCGTGGTTTTGGGATTAGGATGGAGTAATTGACCAGTGAGAACAGAATAGAGGGAAAACCCCCTACACATACTCAGCCATCTAATTTATGACAAAGGCTATGCTGCAGTTGTTTTAAAAAGCCTTTTTAAACAAATGATGCTTAGTTACAGTCAATATTTTGGCTATTCCTACCTCATACCATTTATAAAAATTAAATCCATATGGACTGCAGATATAAATGTGAAAAAGTAAAACAAAAAAGCTTTTAGAGTAAAATGTAGGAGAACTTCTTTCTGACTTTGTTGTAGTCTCTGATCTGTGGTCATTTTATTCCAACTCAGGGTTCCTCTTGCACACCAGTTTTCTTGGCATCTCAGAGTCCCCTTCCTCCTTTCAACCAAGGACCTAACGCTACTCTGCACTTTCTGGACCACTATAATGGAACATGTGCAACTCCATGAGACCATCTTTTGGCCTACTCATCAAGACATTTTCCCAATCATCACTCTTCCACAGCTCATTTGCTAAAATGCAGCAGTGCCTCCTTGCACTACTACATATTACAGAGCAAGTGAAGACACTCACATTTGACTTCCTGGCCTCTTTCCTTCTCTCTCTTGGTTCCTCTTTGAAAAGTTTTCCTTTCCTTCTTGCTAGGGTTGGAACATCATCTATGTAGTATCCTCTGATTTGTATTCAGGAAGACTTACAATATAACACCTTTGTGTGAATACATCTGACTTGTCTCTAGATATTTAAAAAGGAACTACTGAAATTAAAAACAAAACTATACACTATAATAACAAGAACACAACAAAAGTAAGACGTCCCCTATCTTGAAGCCTGGCTAAGAGAAAGTATTTTTGCATGGGACTAAAAAATGTAACCATTGTACTCAAAGCAGAAGAATGACATTTTTTTTTCTAGGTACCTGCACTGTTCATGTCTGTGCACAAAAACAAAACAAAACATAACAAAAAAACCCCTCATGGCTTGTCCTCAAAAGGGAAAATTTACAAGAAAACATGATTTACAAAGGGGAATTAAAATGCACAGTTTTGCTTCAAAATATCTCAATTTTTTCACCTGTTCCAAAAATTATCCACTTTCCCTTTGCCTAGCCAACCCTCAGTCTTTGTAGAGGAATTATGTCTTCGGGGAATTCTTTCCAGCTTTCTTTGATTGTGTCAAATTGTTCTGTTACAGGCCCATTCAGAACTCAGACCCTCTCCTTCATACCACTTTTCACATTTGTTAGTAGAATTATGTGGTGGTAAATTTCTGCCTTTTCCACTAGACTGAAGGTTTCATAAGAGCAAAGACCTATTGATTTTTGCTACTTAATGTATTATCACCAGTACCCTGGACAGAGCCTGGGAGATTGTATATTCTCAAAAAACACTGTAAAACCCTATTACAATGTATCCCATTAATAATGAGAATGAATATATAATTCCGTTGACAATTCCTGTCCTATGTTTAGTCCTTTTCTCATAGTGAGGGGAGGGGAGTTAAAGGGAGTGGAGGCTAAAGTGGAGGATGTGGTGGGGTGAATGAAGTTAGAGGGTTAAATCCTTCCTAATCCTGCCTTGAGAAGCAGAGGGTGGGTTCCTGTATATCATGGCCTGCATATGTTCCTGTATATCATTCTTGCATCAAGCTGATGAAACAAGTGCCAGTTCACTGTTCCTGGTATCACTGATGGAACCCTGGAAGTATCAATCAATATAGGACCCAGAAACATTTCCATCAATAGCTAAGCTTTAGTTTGAAGTGCCACCTTGCTAAACCATAGTTAGGACATAAATAGATGCAGATTCAGCAACAGGACTTCTGGAATTCTTGGCAATCTTGCTAGGCAATTTATTACCCCAATCATTTTAGAACCTCGCAATAATATGACTATGTATTTTGCATGATCTGATTGTTTAGTTTTCACTCAACACATCATAGCAGGATTTTTACATAGTTGTTGAATTGATGAAAGACTGCACAAGAGCGGTGCAAATTCAATGGAAGGACAGAGTGGGGTTGGTTGTGAGGCAAAGGCATTTGTGGAAGTGTTAATGTTTTGCAGTCTCTCATTTCAAAGATCTATACAGAGGTATTTCCAGTTTATTCTGGGGAGATATCTTGATTGTCCACATTAAATTAAATTCAAATATTTTCTTATGGCTGCAAAATACAATGCAGTGAAATATTTGGGTGGAAATACCAAGTCAATGGATCTTTCCTCCCCATGATGGCAAACTTTCAAATAAAACCAATTCTACTAATAATGGTAATAATAACAGCAGCTAATCAGACTTGCCAGGCTGATTATCAGGTAGGCACTGTAATGGGCATTTTCATACATATTACCTGATTCAATTCTAATAACCTGTGAAGTAGGAATTATATTCCATTTTTATAAGGTGGTAGTTGAGATATACAGAGGTTAAGTGACTTTCCCAATGTTATTAATAATATAGCACAGTTGAAATTAAGCAAACCTTTTATCATTTAGAAGGTCAAATGCAAAAGCTCTATTTCGCATTTACCTTATTTGGTTCTAGACATCAAGAAATATACACTATAGACATGCCCAAATCTCTAGGACAAGAAGTATACTATTATCATAATTTTGATGTATATTTAAAAAGAGCTGGCTACTGAAAAAAAAAAACTATAGTTAAATCTTAGTAGGAACCACGTATATAGATACATAAAATCTATTTGAAGTTAGTTGTCTTAGTTTGGGTTCCCGTGAAAGTATATCCTGAGTGAAAGGCTGATATATAGTTAGTTTATTTAAGAAGTAATTTCAGGGAGAAAGAGTAATTGATGGGGAAGTGAAAAAGGCAACAAGAAAAGCCAAAGATGCATTTGTTGTTGGTTGGTTGTCATTGATCATGCCAGGAACTTCTGGGGAGCCTGATGAAATGTGGCTACAAACTGCCACTTGGAGGATGCAAGGGTGAAAGGTTATCCATTGAGTCCCATCCTACATTGGTCAAGAGTGGCCCCTATGCTTCCAGGTTGCACATGTCTATGGCACCGGATTCCTGCTGGTGTCAGAGAATCTCTGGAGCAGAAAGAGAGAGGTACTTGATATAGTCCAAGGCAAAGCAAGACACTGTTAAGTTATACCTGTGAGAAGCTGATCTAAGCTGCAGCAGAAACTAGAATAAGAGATAGAACTGAGAAGATATGAAATGGCGCATAAGAAGATTCTAATACTGCGGCACTCTTTCTTTAAGAATACATGGTATTAATATGTGGATTTTGGTAATAATAATGATTAGATATATATTGATTTTTCTAAAAATGATATTAAAACTGTGAACCAATTTATTTGAATTAAAAGTATCTTTTAGGCCATCTAATTTTTTCCTTATTGTGTTACCATAGAAACAGCATAGCTCACTGTTTTTGAGTTCCAATTTTTATGGGTTATTCCTGATTTTATTATTAAAAACATTTCAAATCCAGGCATTATTTACTTAGTCTTTCATGTTTACAAAATATAAAACTTCTGATTAATTTTTAAAGAGTGGGTTATCTATTTAATTTTATATGTCTGTATCTCTTAAGGAAGAGTGTTCATTAACAGATACAAAAGACAGGCTAAAATCTGAACAAAAGATATTTTAGTATTAAAAAGTAGCAGAAAGGTTATCAGTTTCCAATTGTTGATCAGGGTGCTAATTCAAATGGAGGTATCTGCATATAGTGGAAAGAACACTGGCCATAGAGACAGAAAACTTGAGTTTTACTTTCTAAGCTTTACTATTGATGAGCTGTATCATCTTGACTATGCAGTTTAAAGCTTCTTTGAATCTCAGTTTTCTTTATCTGGAAAAATGAAGTAAAATTACTTGTATCACAGCATTGTTGTGAGGATTTAAATAAGATGATTGTGTTAAAGTGTATAGTATAGTTACAGTGCCTGGTCCATATAAGTATGCCATAAATATGGATTAAATTTAAGTGTGAAATGTACACCCATCACTGGTTCTGATCTACACACTGATCATATGTGCTATCAGATTGGAGGCAATTTTTTCAAAATCTTATGGTTCTTCTCAGGGTTGTTTTTTCTTATGTTTTGACTCTTTTCTTGGATGTTGCTGGTTTAAAAAGATCTCTGATGGCTCTCATTAGGTAGGACCCTCCTCACCTCTTTTGAAGTATAAGTTAATCAATATCTCTAACTTTCTGGAAAGACAAGAATTTCACAACACTTTAATCCTAAAGACAATGTTCTTGGTTGCAAGCAACAGAAACTGATGATGGTTCATTAAAGGAGAAAAGGTCCAGGCTGTTAGGTAGCTCATAGAAAAGACGGGAAGTCTAAAGGATTAGAAAATAAGCAGCAACCAAAGGAGGCTGAATAGCCAAATGACACCAAAGGAACACTCTGGTGGGGACTCACTGGACAGCTCCTGGCACCACCACCACTGCTGGCACCACAGCTACAACTGTCTCTGGTTAGTGGACAGTGGAATGAACTCTTTTTCATCTCTTCCTTCTTTTATGTCTTATCATTTCCTTTTCCTTCTTCTTTCCTTATCCCTAAATTTTTGTTACACTTGCTCAAGACTTACAATTCCAAATATGAGGCTCTCCAGTTGGCTGAAACTTATGTTATGTAATTGCTTCCTGGTTGCTAGAGGGTATTTCTGGCCTCTGCAGGGGAAGGTGGACTCTACTTTCCACTGAAAATCAAACTCTGGAAAATTGTCTGAACATTCGAAGAAGGTCTTGATGCTTAGCAGGAAAAAAAAGCTTGGCAGTTAAAAAAAAAAATCACCAGTGTCTGCAGTTTTGGATGCCTCACATCCACCAATACCCTTTCCCTTCTAGTTGTACTGAAAAATAATAAATGTATCCTTTTCAAAAATTATTTCAGTAGTTTTTGGGGAACACGTGGTATTTTGTTATATGGATAAGTTCATTATTGGTGAATTCTGACATTTTGGTGCATCCATCATCCGAGCAGTGTACACTGAACCCAATGTGTACTTTTTTGTAATCACCACCCTCCACCCTTCCCCTGAGTCCCCAGAGTCCATTTATCATTCTTACGCCTTTGTGTCCTCATGTCTTAGCTCCCACATATAAATGAGAACATACAATGTTTGGTTTTACATTCCTCAGTTACTTCACATAGAATAATGGTCTCCAACTCCATCCAGGTTACTGTGAATGCCATTATTTCATTCCTTTTTATGACTGAGTAGTTTCCATGGTGTGGTGTGTGTGTGTGTGTGTGTGTGTGTGTGATCTGTGTATATACACACACACTACATTTTCTTTCTTTTTTTAAATTTTATTATTATTATACTTTAAGTTTTAGGGTACATGTGCACAACGTGCAGGTTTGTTACATATGTATACATGTGCCATGTTGGTGCGCTGCACCCACTAACTCGTCATCTAGCATTAGGTATATCTCCTAATGCTATCCCTCCCCTCTCCCCCCACCCCACAACAGTCCCCGATGTGTGATGTTCCCCTTCCTGTGTCCATGTGTTCTCATTGTTCAATTCCCACCTATGAGTGAGAACATGTGGTGTTTGGTTTTTTGTCCTTGTGGTAGTTTGCTGAGAATGATGGTTTCCAGCTTCATCCATGTCCCTACAAAGGACATGAACTCATCATTTTTTATGGCTGCATAGTATTCCATGGTGTATATGTGCCACATTTTCTTAATCCAGTCTATCATTGTTGGACATTTGGGTTGGTTCCAAGTCTTTGCTATTGTGAATAGTGCCGCAATAAACATACATGTGCATATGTCTTTATAGCAGCATGATTTATAATCCTTTGGGTACATACCCAGCAATGGGATGGCTGGGTCAAATGGTATTTCCAGTTGTAGATCCCTGAGGAATCGCCACACTGACTTCCACAATGGTTGAACTAGTTTACAGTCCCACCAACAGTGTAAAAGTGTTCTTATTTCTCCACATCCTCTCCAGCACCTGTTGTTTCCTGACTTTTTAATGATTGCCATTCTAACTGGTGTGAGATGGTATCTCATTGTGGTTTTGATTTACATTTCTCTGATGGCCAGTGATGATGAGCATTTTTTCATGTGTCTTTTGGCTGCATAAATGTCTTCTTTTGGGAAGTGTCTGTTCATATCCTTTGCCCACTTTTTGATGGGGTTGTTTGTTTTTTTCTTGTAAATTTGTTTGAGTTCTTTGTAGATTCTGGATATTAGCCCTTTGTCAGATGAGTAGGTTGCAAAAATTTTCTCCCATTTTGTAGGTTGCCTGTTCACTCTGATGGTAGTTTCTTTTGCTGTGCAGAAGCTCTTGAGTTTAATTAGATCCCATTTGTCAATTTTGGTTTTTGTTGCCATTGCTTTTGGTGTTTTAGACATGAAGTCCTTGCCCAAGCATATGTCCTGAAAGGTATTGCCTAGGTTTTCTTCTAGGGTTTTTATGGTTTTAGGTCTAACATGTAAGTCTTTAATCCACCTTGAATTAATGTTTGTATAAGGTGTAAGGAAGGGATCCAGTTTCAGCTTTCTACATATGGCTAGCCAGTTTTCCCAGCACCATTTATTAAATAGGGAATCCTTTCCCCATTGCTTGTTTTTGTCAGGTTTGTCAAAGATCAGATAGTTGTAGATATGCAGCGTTATTTCTGAGGGCTCTGTTCTGTTCCATTGGTCTGTATCTCTGTTTTGGTACCAGTACCATGCTGTTTTGGTTACTGTAGCCTTGTAGTATAGTTTGAAGTCAGGTAGCGTGATGCCTGCAGCTTTGTTCTTTTGGCTTAGGATTGACTTGTCAATGCGGGTTCTTTTTTGGTTCCACATGAACTTTAAAGTAGTTTTTTCCAATTCTGTGAAGAAAGTCATTGGTAGCTTGATGGGGATGGCATTGAATCTATAAATTACCTTGGGCAGTATGGCCATTTTCATGATATCAATTCTTCCTACCCATGAGCATGGAATGTTCTTCCATTTGTTTGTATCCTCTTTTATTTCATTGAGCAGTGGTTTGTAGTTCTCCTCAAAGAGGTCCTTCACATCCCTTGTAAGTTGGATTCCTAGGTATTTTATTCTCTTTGAAGCAATTGTGAATGGGAGTTCACTCATGATTTGGCTCTCTGTTTGTCTGTTATTGGTGTATAAGAATGCTTGTGATTTTTGTACATTGATTTTGTATCTGAGACTTTGCTGAAGTTGCTTATGAGCTTAAGGAGATTTTGGGCTGAGACGATGGGGTTTTCTAGATATACAGTCATGTCGTCTGCAAACAGGGACAATTTGACTTCCTCTTTTCCTAATTGAATACCCTTTATTTCCTTCTCCTGCCTAATTGCCCTGGCCAGAACTTCCAACACTATGTTGAATAGGAGTGGTGAGAGAGGGCCTCCCTGTCTTGTGCCAGTTTTCAAAGGGAATGCTTCCAGTTTTTGTCCATTCAGTATGATATTGGCTGTGGGTTTGTCATAGATAGCTCTTATTATTTTGAGATATATCCCATCAATACCTAATTTATTGAGAATATTTAGCATGAAGGGCTGTTGAATTTTGTCAAAGGCCTTTTCTGCATCTATTGAGATAATCATGTGTTTTTTGTCTTTGGTTCTGTTTATATGCTGGATTAAGTTGATTGATTTGCATATGTTGAACCAGCCTTGCATCCCAGGGATGAAGCCCACTTGATCATGGTGGATAAGCTTTTTGATGTGCTGCTGGATTCGGTTTGCCAGTATTTTATTGAGACTTTTTGCATGAATGTTCATCAAGGACATTGGTCTAAAATTCTCTGTTTTTATTGTGTCTCTGCCAGGCTTTGGTATCAGGATGGTGCTGGCCTCATAAAATGAGTTAGGGAGGATTCCCTCTTTTTCTGTTAATTGGAATAGTTTCAGAAGGAATGGTAACAGCCCCTCCTTGTACCTCTGGTAGAATTCGGCTGTGAATCCATCTGGTCCTGGACTTTTTTTGGTTGGTAAGCTATTAATTATTGCCTCAATTTCACATCCTGTTATTGGTCTATTCAGAGATTCAACTTCTTCCTGGTTTAGTCTTGGGAGGGTGTATGTGTCGAGGAATTTATCCATTTCTTCTAGATTTTCTAGTTTATTTGCATAGAGGTGTTTATAGTATTCTCTGATGGTAGTTTATATTTCTGTGTAATCGATGGTGATATCCCCTTTATCATTTTTTTATTGCGTCTATTTGATTCTTCTCTCTTTCTTCTGTATTAGTCTTGCTAGCAGTCTATCAATTTTGTTGATCTTTTCAAAAAACCAGCTCCTGGATTCATTAATTTTTTGAAGGGTTTTTTTTGTCTCTATTTCCTTCAGTTCTGCTCTCATCTTAGTTATTTCTTGCCTTCTGCTAGCTTTTGAATGTATTTGCTCTTGCTTCTCTAGTTCTTTTAATTGTGATATTAGGGTGTCAATTTTAGATCTTTCCTGCTTTCTCTTGTGGGCATTTACTGCTATAAATTTCCCTCTACACACTGCTTTGAACGTGTCCCAGAGATTCTGGTATGTTGAGTCTTTTTTCTTATTGGTTTCAAAGACCATCTTTATTTCTGACTTCATTTCGTTATGTACCCAGTAGTCATTCAGGAGCAGGTTGTTCAGTTTCCATGTAGTTGAGCTGTTTTGAGTGAGTTTCTTAATCCTGAGTTCTAGTTTGATTGCACTGTGGTCTGAGAGACAGTTTGTTCTAATTTCTGTTCTTTTACATTTGCTGAGGAGTGCTTTACTTCCAACTATGTGGCCAATTTTCAAATAAGTGTGGTGTGGTGCTGAAAAGATTGTATATTCTGTTGATTTAGGGTGGAGAGTTCTGTAGATGTCTCTTAGGTCTGCTTGGTGCAGAGCTGAGTTCAATTCCTGGGTATCCTTGTTAACTTTCTGTCTCGTTGTTCTGTCTAATGTTGACAGTGGGTTGTTAAAAGTCTCCCATTATTACTGTGTAGGATTCTAAGTCTCTTTGTAGGTCACTAAGGACTTGCTTTATGAATCTGGGTCCTCCTGTATTGGGTGCATATGTATTTAGGATAGTTAGCTCTTCTTGTTGAATTGATCCCTTTAGCGTTATGTAATGGCCTTCTTTGTCTCTTTTAGCCTTCTTCTCTCAACTTGTCAAAGTCATTCTCCATCCAGCTTTGTTCCATTGCTGGTGAGAAGCTGCATTCCTTTGGAGGAGGAGAGGTGCTCTGATTTTTAGAGTTTCTGGTTTTTCTGTTCTGTTTTTTCCCCATCTTTGTGGTTTATCTACCTTTGGTCTTTGATGATGGTGATGTACAGATGGGTGTTTGGTGTGGATGTCCTTTCTGTTTGTTAGTTTTCCTTCTAACAGTCACGACCCTCAGCTGCAGGTCTGTTGGATTTTGCTGGAGGTCCACTCCAGACCCTGTTTGCCTGGGTATCAGCAGCAGTGGCTGCAGAACAACGGATATTGGTGAACCGCCAATGCTGCTGCCTGATTGTTCCTCTGAAAGTTTTGTCTCAGAGGAGTACCTGGCCGTGTGAGGTGTCAGTCCGCCCGTACTTGGGGGTGCCTCCCAGTTAGGCTACTCAGGTGTCAGGGACCCACTTGAGGAGGCAGTCTGCCCGTTCTCAGATCTCAAGCTGTGTGCTGGGAGAACCACTACTCTCACACCACATTTTCTTTATCCACTCATTGGTTGATGGGCATTTAGGCTGGTTCCATAATTTTGTAATTGCAAATTGTGCTGCTATAAACATGTGTGTGCAAGTGTCTTTTTCATATAATTACTTCTTTTCCTCTGTGCAGATAACCAGTAGTAGGATTGCTGCATCAAATGGTAATTCTACTTTTAGTTCTTTAAGGAGCCTCTACACTGTTTTCCATAGTGGTTGTACTAGTTTACATTCCCACCAGCGGTATAAATGTGTTCCCTTTTCACCAGATCCATGCCAACATTTATTATTTTTTAGTTTTCAATTATGGCCGTTCTTGCAGGAGTAAGGTGGTATCACATTGTGGTTTTGACTTGCATTTCTTAATAATTAGTGATGTTGAGCATTTTTCACATGTTTGGTGACCATTTGTTTATCTTCTTTTGATAATTGCCTATTCATGTCCTTAGTGCACTTTTTGATGGGATTATTGTCTTTTTCTTGCTGATTTGTTTGAATTCCTTGTAGATTCTAGATATTAGTTCTTTGTTGGATACATAGTTTGTGAAGATGCATAGTTTGTGAAGATTTTTCTCCCCCTCTGTGGGTTGCCTGTTTACTCTGCTGATTATTTCTTTTGCTGTGCAGAAGCTTTTTAGTTTAATTAAGTTCCATCTATTTATCTTTGACTTTTTGCATTTGCTTTTGGGTTCTTGGTCATGAACTCTATGCCTAAACCAATGTTTAGAAGGTATTTATGATGTTATATTTTAGAATTTTTATGATTTCAGGTCTTGGATTCAAGTCTTTGATCCATCTTGAGTTGATTTTTGTATAAAGTGAGAGATGAGGATCCAGTTTCATTCTTCTACATGTGGCTTGCCATTTATCCCAGCACCATTTGTTGAATAGGGGGTCCTTTCCCCACTTTATCTTTTTGTTGGCTTTGATGAAGATCAGTAGGCTGTAAGTATTTGGCTTTATTTCTGGGTTCTCTTTTCTGTTCCATTGGTCTATATGCTTGTACTTATAACAGTACCATGCTGTTTTGGTAACGATAGCCTTGTAGTATAGTTTGAACTTGGATAATGTGATGCCTCCAGATTTGTTCTTTTTGCTTAGTCTTGCTTTGGCTATGCAGGGCCTTTTTTGGTTCCATACAAATTTTAGGATTATTTTTTCTAGCTCTGTGAAGAATGATGTTGGTATTTTGATGGGCATTGCATTGACTTTATAGATTGCTTTTGGCAGTATGGTCATTTTCACAATATTGATTCTACCCATCCATGAGCATGGGATATGTTTCCATTTGTTTGTGTCACCTATAATTTCTTTCAGCAGTGTTTTGTAGTTTACCTTGTAGAGATCTTTCATTTCCTTGGTTAGGTACATTTCTGAGTATTTTATTTTATTTTTTTGCAGCTGTTGTAAAAGGGGTTGAGTTCTTGATTTGATTCTCAGCTTGGTCGCTGTTGGTGTGTAGCAGTGCTACTGATTTGTGTACATTGATTTTATATTCTGCAACTTTACTGAATTCATTTATCCTATCTAGGAGCTTTTTGGAAGAGTCTTTAGGGTTTTCTAAGTATATGATCTATACCTAGAAAACAGCAGCAAATCAGCAAACAGTAGCAGTTTGAATCCTCTTTACTGATTTGGATGCCCTTTACTTCTTTCTCTTGTTTGATTGCTCTGGCTAGGACTTCCAGTACTACGTTGAATAGAAGTGGTGAAAGTGGGCATCCTTGTCTTGTTCCAGTTCTCAGGGGGAAAGCTTTCAACTTTTCCCCATTCAGTATAATGTTGGCTGTGGGTTTGTCACAGATGGCTTTTATTACAGTTAGGTATGTCCCTTGTATGCTGATTTTGCAGAGGGTTTTAATCACAAAGGGATGCTGGATTTTGTGAAACGCTTTTTCAGAGTCTGTTGAGATGATCATATGACCTTTGTTTTAAATTCTGTTTTTGTGGTGTATCATATTTATTGACTTGAGTATGTTAAACCAACCCTGCATCCCTGGCATGAAACCCACTTGATAATGGTGGATTATCTTTTTGATAAGCTGTTGGATTCGATTAGTTAGTATTTTGTCGAGGATTTTTGCATCTATGTTCATTAGGGATATTGGTCTGTAGGTTTCTTTTTTTTTTTCTGTGTCCTTTCCTGGTTTTGGTATTAGGGTAATACTGGATTCATAGAATGATTTAGGGAGGATTCCCTCTTTCTCTGTCTTTTGGAATAGTTTCATTAGTATTGGTACCAATTCTCTGAATGTCTGACAGAATTCAGCTGTGAATCCATCTGGTCCTGGACTTTTTTTGTTGGCAATTTTTAAATCCCTCCCTCCCTCCCTCTCTTCCTCCTTCCCTCCCTCCCTCCCTCTCTTCCTCCCTCCCTCCCTTCCTGTTTGCTTGCTTCCTTTCTATCTTTTGTGACAGATGTGATTCTCCTGTCTCAGCCTCCTGAGTAGCTGGGATTATAGGCGCACACCACCACACCTGGATAATTTTTGTAGTCTTAGTAGAGACAGAGTTTCACCATGTTGGCCAGACTTGTCTCGAACTCCTGGCCTCAAGTGATCCACCCACCTTGGCTTCCCGAAGTGGTGAGATTATAGGCATGAGCCACCGCACCCAGCCAAGAACCATCTTTTTGTTTCATTTATCTTTTGTACATTTTTTTGTTTCAATTTCATTTAGTTCTGCTCTGATATTTGTTATTTCTTTTCTTCTTCTGGGTTTGGGTTTGGTTTGTTCTTTTTTTCTAGTTCCTTGAGGTGTGAGCTTAGATTGTCTATTTGTGCTCTTTCAGAGTTTTTGATGTAGGCATTTAATGCTATGAACTTTCCTCTTATCACTGCTTTTACTGTATCCCAGAGGTGTTGACAGGTTGTGTCACTATTATTGTTCAGTTCAAAGAATTTTTAAATTTTCATATTGATTTCATTGTTGATCCAAAGATCATTTGGAACCAAGTTATTTAATTTCCATGTATCTGTATAGTTTTCAGGGTTCCTTTTGGAGTTAATTTTCAATCTTATTCCACTGTGGTCTGAGAGAATACTTGATATAATTTCAATTTTCTTAAATTTATTGAGACTTGTTTTGTGACCTATCATATGGTCTATCTTGGAGAATGTTCCATGTGCTGATAAATAGAATGTATATTGTGCAGTTGTTGGGTAGAATGTTCTGTAAATATCTGTTAAGTCCATTTGTTCTAGTGTATAGTTTAATTCCATTGTTTCTTTGTTGACTTTCTGTCTTGATAACTTGTTTAGTGCTGTTAGTCGAGTATTGAAGTCCCCCACTCTTACTGTATTGCCATCTGTCTCATTTCTTAGGTCTTGTAGTAATTGTTTTATAAATTTGGGAGATCCAGTGTTAGGTGCATGTATATTTAGAATTGTGATATTTTCCTGTTGGACTAATCTTTTTATTATTATATAATGCCCCTCTTTATTTTTTTTAACTGTTGTTGCTTTAAAGTCTGTTTTGTCTGATATAAATAAGAACAGCTACTCCTGCTTACTTTTGGTTTCCATTTGCATGGAATATCTTTTTCTACCACTTTACCTTAAGTTTATGTGAGCCCATATGTGTGAGCTGAATCTCTTGAAGACAGCAGATACTTGTTTGTGGGATTTTTTTTTTGAAATTTATTTATTTATTTATTTATTTATTAATTATTATTATACTTTAAGTTTTAGGGTACATGTGCACATTGTGCACGTTAGTTACATATGTATACAGGTGCCATGCTGGTGTGCTGCACCCACTAACTCGTCATCTAGCATTAGGTATATCTCCCAATGCCATCCCTCCCCCCTCCCCCCAACCCACAACACTCCCCAGAGTGTGATGTTCCCCTTCCTGTGTCCATGTGATATCATTGTTCAATTCCCACCTATGAGTGAGAATATGCGGTGTTTGGTTTTTTGTCCTTGCGATAGTTTACTGAGAATGATGATTTCCAATTTCATCCATGTCCCTACAAAGGACATGAAGTCATCATTTTTTATGGCTGCATAGTATTCCATGGTGTATATGTGCCACATTTTCTTAATCCAGTCTATCATTGTTGGACATTTGGGTTGGTTCCAAGTCTTTGCTATTGTGAATAATGCTGCAATAAACATACGTGTGCATGTGTCTTTATAGCAGCATGATTTATAACCCTTTGGGTATATACCCAGTAATGGGATGGCTGGGTCAAATGGTATTTCTAGTTCTAGATCCCTGAGGAATCGCCACACTGACTTCCACAATGGTTGAACTACTTTACAGTCCCACTAACAGTGTAAAAGTGTTCCTATTTCTCCACATCCTCTCCAGCACCTGTTGTTTCCTGACTTTTTAATGATCGCCATTCTAACTGGTGTGAGATGGTATCTCATTGTGGTTTTGATTTGCATTTCTCTGATGGCTAGTGATGGTCAGCATTTTTTCATGTGTTTTTTGGCTGCATAAATGTCTTCTTTTGAGAAGTGTCTGTTCACGTCCTTTGCCCACTTTTTGATGGGGTTGTTTGTTTTTTTCTTGTAAATTTGAGTTCATTGTAGGTTCTGGATATTAGCCCTTTGTCAGATGAGTAGGTTGCGAAAATTTTCTCCCATTTTGTAGGTTGCCTGTTCACTCTGATGGTAGCTTCTTTTGCTGTGCAGAAGCTCTTTAGTTTAATTAGGTCCCATTTGTCAATTTTGGCTTTTGTTGCCATTGCTTTTGGTGTTTTAGACATGAAGTCCTTGCCCATGCCTATGTCCTGAATGGTAATGCCTAGGTTTTCTTCTAGGGTTTTTATGGTTTTAGGTCTAACGTTTAAGTCTTTAATCCATCTTGAATTGATTTTTGTATAAGGTGTAAGGAAGGGATCCAGTTTCAGCTTTCTACATATGGCTAGCCAGTTTTCCCAGCACCATTTATTAAATAGGGAATCCTTTCCCCATTGCTTGTTTTTGTCAGGTTTGTCAAAGATCAGATAGTTGTAGATATGCGGCGTTATTTCTGAGGGCTCTGTTCTGTTCCATTGATCTACATCTCTGTTTTGGTACCAGTAACATGCTGTTTTGGTTACTGTAGCCTTGTAGTATAGTTTGAATTCAGGTAGTGTGATGCCTCCAGCTTTGTTCTTTTGGCTTAGGATTGACTTGTCAATGAGGGCTCTTTTTAGGTTCCATATGAACTTTAAAGTAGTTTTTTCCAATTCTGTGAAGAAAGTCATTGGTAGCTTGATGGGGATGGCATTGAATCTATAAATTACCTTGGGCAGTATGGCCATTTTCACGATATTGATTCTTCCTACCCATGAGCATGGAATGTTCTTCCATTTGTTTGTATCCTCTTTTATTTCCTTGAACAGCGGTTTGTAGTTCTCCTTGAAGAGGTCCTTCACATCCCTTGTAAGTTGGATTCCTAAGTATTTTATTCTCTTTGAAGCAATTGTGAATGGGAGTTCACTCATGATTTGGCTCTCTGTTTGTCTGTTATTGGTGTATAGGAATGCTTGTGATTTTTGCACATTGATTTTGTATCCTGAGACTTTGCTGAAGTTGCTTATGAGCTTAAGGAGATTTTGGGCTGAGACAATGGGGTTTTCTAGATATACAATCATGTCATCTGCAAACAGGGACAATTTGACTTCCTCTTTTCCTAATTGAATACCCTTTATTTCCTTCTCCTGCCTAATTGCCCTGGCCAGAACTTCCAACACTATGTTGAACAGGAGTGGTGAGAGAGGGCATCCCTGTCTTGTGCCAGTTTTCAAAGGGAATGCTTCCAGTTTTTGCCCATTCAGTATGATATTGGCTGTGGGTTTGTCATAGATAGCTCTTATTATTTTGAAATACGTCCCATCAATACCTAATTTATTGAGAGTTTTTACCATGAAGGGCTGTTGAATTTTGTCAAAGGCCTTTTCTGCATCTGTTGAGATAATCATGTGGTTTTTGTCTTTGGTTCTGTTTATATGCTGGATTACATTTACTGATTTGCATATATTGAACCAGCCTTGCATCCCAGGGATGAAGCCCACTTGATCATGGTGGATAAGCTTTTTGATGTGCTGCTGGATTCGGTTTGCCAGTATTTTATTGAGGATTTTTGCATCAATGTTTATCAAGGATATTGGTCTAAAATTGTCTTTTTTTGTTGTGTCTCTGCCTGGCTTTGGTATCAGAATGATGCTGGCCTCATAAAATGAGTTAGGGAGTATTCCTTCTTTTTCTATTGATTGGAATAGTTTCAGAAGGAATGGTACCAGTTCCTCCTTGTACCTCTGGTAGAATTAGGCTGTGAATCCATCTGGTCTTGGACTCTTTTTGGTTGGTAAGCTATTCATTATTGCCACACTTTCAGATCCTGTTATTGGTTTATTCAGAGATTCACCTTCTTCCTGGTTTAGTCTTGGGAGAGTGTATGTGTCAAGAATTTATCCATTTCTTCTAGATTTTCTAGTTTATTTGCGTAGAGGTGTTTGTAGTATTCTCTGATGGTAGTTTGTATTTCTGTGGGATCGGTGGTGATATCCCCTTTATCATTTTTTATTGCGTCTATTTGATTCTTCTCTCTTTTTTTCTTTATTTGTCTTGCTAGCGGTCTATCAATTTTGTTGATCCTTTCAAAAAACCAGCTCCTGGATTCATTAATTTTTTGAAGCGTTTTGTGTGTCACTATTTCCTTCAGTTCTGCTCTGATTTTAGTTATTTCTTGCCTTCTGCTAGCTTTTGAATGTGTTTGCTCTTGCTTTTCTAGTTCTTTTAATTGTGATGTTAGGGTGTCAATTTTGGATCTTTCCTGCTTTCTCTTGTGGGCATTTAGTGCTATAAATTTCCCTCTACACACTGCTTTGAATGTATCCCAGAGATTCTGGTATGTCATGTCTTTGTTCTCGTTGGTTTCAAAGAACATCTTTATTTCTGCCTTCATTTCGTTATGTACGCAGTAGTCATTCAGGAGCAGGTTGTTCAGTTTCCATGTAGTTGAGCAGTTTTGAGTGAGATTCTTAATCCTGAGTTCTAGTTTGATTGCACTGTGGTCTGAGAGATAGTTTGTTATAATTTCTGTTCTTTTACATTTGCTGAGGAGAGCTTTACTTCCAAGTGTGTGGTCAATTTTGGAATAGGTGTGGTGTGGTGCTGAAAAAAATGTATATTCTGTTGATTTGGGGTGGAGAGTTCTGTAGATGTCTATTACGTCCTCTTGGTGCAGAGCTGAGTTCAATTCCTGGGTATCCTTGTTGACTTTCTGTCTCATTGGTCTGTCTAATGTTGACAGTGTGATGTTAAATTCTCCCATTATTAATGTGTGGGAGTCTAAGTCTCTTTGTAGGTCACTCAGGACTTGCTTTATGAATCAGGGTGCTCCTGTATTGGGTGCATATATATTTAGGATAGTTAGCTCTTCTTTTTGAATTGATCCCTTTACCATTATGTAATGGCCTTCTTTGTCCCTTTTGATCTTTGTTGGTTTAAAGTCTGTTTTATCAGAGAGTAGGATTGCAACTCCTGCCTTTTTTAGTTTTCCATTTGCTTGGTAGATCTTCCTCCATCCTTTTATTTTGAGCCAATGTGTGTCTCTGCACATGAGATGGGTTTCCTGAATACAGCACACTGATGGGTCTTGACTCTTTATCCAATTTGCCAGTGTGTGTCTTTTAATTGGAGCATTTAGTCCATTTACATTTGAAGTTAATAGTGTTATGTGTGAATTTGATCCTGTCATTATGATGTTAGCTGGTGATTTTGCTCGTTAGTTGATGCAGTTTCTTCCTAGTCTCGATGGTCTTTACATTTTGGCATGATTTTGCAGCGGCTGGTACCGGTTGTTCCTTTCCATGTTTAGCGCTTCCTTCGGGAGCTCTTTTAGGGCAGGCCTGGTGTTGACAAAATCTCTCAGCATTTGCTTGTCTGTAAAGTATTTTATTTCTCCTTCACTTATGAAGCTTAGTTTGGCTGGATATGAAATTCTGGGTTGAAAATTCTTTTCTTTAAGAATGTTGAATATTGGCCCCCACTCTCTTCTGGCTTGTAGGGTTTCTGCCGAGAGATCCGCTGTTAGTCTGATGGGCTTCCCTTTGAGGGTAACCAGACCTTTCTCTCTCTGGCTGCCCTTAACATTTTTTCCTTCATTTCAACTTTGGTGAATCTGACAATTATGTGTCTTGGAGTTGCTCTTCTCGAGGAGTATCTTTGTGGTGTTCTCTGTATTTCCTGAATCTGAATGTTGGCCTGCCTTGCTAGATTGGGGAAATTCTCCTGGATAATATCCTGCAGAGTGTTTTCCAACTTGGTTCCATTCTCCCCATCACTTTCAGGTACACCAATCAGACATAGATTTGGTCTTTTCACATAGTCCCATATTTCTTGGAGGCTTTGCTCATTTCTTTTTATTCTTTTTTCTCTAAACTTTCCTTCTTGGTTCATTTCATTCATTTCATCTTCCATTGCTGATACCCTTTCTTCCAGTTGATTGCATCAGCTCCTGAGGCTTCTGCATTCTTCACGTAGTTCTCGAGCCTTGGTTTTCAGCTCCATCAGCTCCTTTAAGCACTTCTCTGTATTGGTTATCCTAGTTATACATTCTTCTAAATTTTTTTCAAAGTTTTCAACTTCTTTGCCTTTGGTTTGAATGTCCTCCCGTAGCTCAGAGTAATTTGATCGTCTGAAGCCTTCTTCTCTCAGCTCGTCAAAGTCATTCTCCATCCAGCTTTGTTCCGTTGCTGGTGAGGAGCTGCGTTCCTTTGGAGGTGGAGAGGCGCTCTGATTTTTAGAGTTTCCAGTTTTTCTGTTCTGTTTTTTCCCCATCTTTGTGGTTTTATCTACTTTTGGTCTTTGATGATGGTGATGTACAGATGGGTTTTTGGTGTGGATGTCTTTTCTGTTTGTTAGTTTTCCTTCTAACAGACAGGACCCTCAGCTGCAGGTCTGTTGGAGTACCCTGGAGTGTGAGGTGTCACTGTGCCCCTGCTGGGGGGTGCCTCCCAGTTAGGCTGCTCGGGGGTCAGGGGTCAGGGACCCACTTGAGGAGGCAGTCTGCCCGTTCTCAGATCTCCAGCTGCGTGCTGGGAGAACCACTGCTCTCTTCAAAGCTGTCAGACAGGGACATTTAAGTGTGCAGAGGTTACTGCTGTCTTTTTGTTTGTCTGTGCCCTGCCCCCAGAGGTGGAGCCTACAGAGGCAGGCAGGCCTCCTTGAGCTGTGGTGGGCTCCACCCAGTTGGAGCTTCTTGGCTGCTTTGTTTACCTAAGCAAGCCTGGGCAATGGTGGGCGCCCCTCCCCCAGCCTCACTGCCGCCTTGCAGTTTGATCTCAGACTGCTGTGCTAGCAATCAGCGAGACTCCGTGGAGTAGGACCCTCCGAGCCATGTGCGGGATATAATCTCATGGTGCGCCGTTTTTTAAGCCCGTCGCAAAAGCGCAGTATTCGGGTGGGAGTGACCCGATTTTCCAGGTGCCGTTCGTCACCCCTTTCTTTGACTCGGAAAGGGAACTCCCTGACCCCTTGCGCTTCCCAAGTGAGGCAATGCCTCGCCCTGCTTCGGCTCGTGCACGGTGCACGCACCCACTGACCTGCGCCCACTGTCTGGCGCTCCCTAGTGAAGTGAACCCGGTACCTCAGATGGAAATGCAGAAATCACCCATATTCTGTGTCGCTCACGCTGGGAGCTGTAGACCGGAGCTGTTCCTATTTGGCCATCTGGGCTCCTCCCTTTTGTGGGATTTTATCCGTTCTGCCATTCTCTATTTTTTAAGTGGAGCATTTAGGCCATTTACATTCAGTGTTAGTATTGAGATGTGAGGTACTGTTCTATTCATCATGCTGATTGTTGCTTGAATTCCTTTTTTTAACTGTGTTATTGTTTTATAGGTCCTGTGAGATTTGTGCTTTAAGGCGGTTCTATTTTGGTGTATTTCAGGTTTTGTTCCAAGATTTAGAACTCCTTTTAGCATTTTTTGTAGTGCAAGCTTGTTAGTGGTGAATTCTGTCAGCATTTGTTTGTCTGAAAAAGACTTTATCTCTCCTTCGTTTATGAAGCTTAGTTTTGCTGGATACAAAATTCTAGGCTGATAATTATTTTGTTTAAGAAGGCTACAGATCCTTTTGGCTTGCAGGATTTCTGCTGAGAAATCTGGTGTTAGTCTGATAGCTTTTCCTTTGTATGACAGGTTACCAGATGGTTTTACCTCACAACTCTTAAGATTCTTTTCTTCATCTTAATATTAGATAACCTGTTGACTCTGTGCCTAGGTGATGATCTTTTTGTGATGAACTTACCAGGTGTTCCTTGAGCATCTTATATTTGAATATCTGGATCTCTAGCAAGACCAGGGAAGTTTTCCTCAATTATTTCCTCAAATACTTTTTCCAAACTTTTAGATTTCTCTTCCTCAGGAATACTAATTATTCTTATGTTTGGTCATTTAACATAATCCCAAATTTCTTGGAGGCTTTGTTTATTTTTTAAAAATTCTTTTTTTCTTTACCCTTGTCTGATTGGGTTAACTAGAAAGTCTTATCTTCAAGCTCTGAAGTTCTTTCTTCTACTTGTTCGATTTGATTGCTGAAACTTCCCAGTGTATTTTGCATTTCTCTAAGTATGTCTTTCATTTTCAGAAGTTGTGATTGTCTTTTCTTTATGATGTCTATTTCTCTGGAGACTTTTTCATCCATATCCTGTGTTGTTTTTTAGGTTTCTTTAAGTTGTTTTTCACCTTTCTCTTGTGCCTCCTTGAGTAGCTTAATAATCGACCTTCTGAATTCTTTATTTGGCAATTCAGAGATTTTTTCTTGGTTTGGATTGCTGCAGTGCTAATGTGATCTTTTGGGGGTGTTAATAGAACCTTGTTTTGTCATATTATCAGAACTGCTTTTCTGGTTCCTTCTTTTTTGGGTAGACTGTTTCAGTGGAAAGATCTGGAACTCAAGGGCTGCTGTTCAGATTGTTTTGTCCCATGAGGTGATCCTTTGGATGTGGTACTCTCCTGCTTCCCCTAGGGATGGGGCTTCTTGAAAGCTGGACTGCAGTGATTGTTATTGCCCTTCTGCATCTAGCCACCCAGTGGGGCTAACTGGGCTCCCGTCTGGTATTGGGGAATGCCTGCAAAAAGTCCTATGTTGTGATCCATCTTTAGGTCTCCCAGCCATGGATACCAGAACCTGCTCTGGTGGAGGTGGCAGAGGTGTGTTGTGAACTCTGTGGGAGTCCTTGGTTGCAGTTTTTTGCAACCAAGTTTTTGAATGGTTGTTATGCTAGCATGCTAGCAGTAAAATTGTCATGTGGATGGACTCAGGACCTCTGGTTAGCTAGGGTGTTGCCGGCAATGGAATCAGTTGTTATTTCCTCCTTCTTTGGAGCATGGTTGTGAGAGACATGACTAGCTGGATTTCCTAGGCCAACTAAGAATCCCTAAGCATAGCTGGGAAGGTGACCACATCCACCTTTAAACATGGGGCTTGCAACTTAGCTCACACCCGACTAATCAGGTAGTAAAGAGAGCTCACTAAAATGCCAATTAGGCAAAAACAAGACAGCCAGTCATCTATCGCCTGAGAGCACAGGGGGAGGGAAAATGATTGGCATATAAACCCAGGCATTCGAGCTGGCAACAGCAACCCCCTTTGAGTCCCCTCCCATTTATGGGAGCTCTGTTTTCACTCTATTAAATCTTGCAACTGCACAATCAGGCTAAAGGCTTGCCATTGTTCCTGCATAGCTAAGTGCCCGGGTTCATCCAAATCAAGCTGAACGCTAGTCGCTGGGTTCCACGGTTCTCTTCTGTGACCCACAGCTTCTAATAGAGCTATAACACTCACCACATGAGCCAAGATTCCATTCCCTGGAATCCGTTAGGCCAAGAACCCCAGGTCAGAGAACAAGAGGCTTGCTGCCATCTTGGAAGCTGCCCGCCACCATCTTGGGAGCTCTAAGAACAAGGACCCCCTGGTAACAGTTGTTCTGTTATGAGTTGCTGTAATGGCTTGAGTTGGTTTGCCTCCAGCCAGGAGGTGGTGTTTTCAAGAGAGCACCAGCTGAGGTAGTAGGAGGGGTATATAATCTTGCCCTACATTTGGCAGGATGGGTACTTAGGTTTCTCAGGTGATGGGTAGGGCCATAGAGCTCTCAAGAGCTTATGCCTTTTGTCTTCAGCTACCAGAGTGAGTAGAGAAAAACCATCAGGTGTGGGCACTGTTAGGCAGGTCTGAGCTTAGGCTTTTCTTGGACGGGGCTTGCTGCCACCACTGTGGGGGGTAGGAGGTGGTTCCCAGGCCAATGGAGTTTTGTTCCCAGGGGGATTATGGCTGCCTCTGCTGCATCATACAGGTCACCAGGGAAGTGGGGGAAAGCCAGCAGTGACAGGCCTTACCCAGCTCCCTCATAACCGGCAAGGTCAGTCTCAATCCTGCCATGCCCCAGCAACCATATTGAGTTTATATCCAGTCAGCCTGCAATCAGGGCTTAGATCTTGCCCAAGGCTACAACCCTCCCTGCTGAGAAAACAAGCAGGGCTCTCAGGCTTCGCCCCTCCCTGCCTGCCCACTGAGCACTCCAATGTGCACTATGAGCTTCCTTCACCCTGTGGCCTCTCTCTGATTCTGCTGGCTGCCTTCTCTTCCCCAAGGACCTCTGTCAGATAAGGCCAGGAATGGCTTCTTTGCCTTCAGTGGGCACTTAATAAAATGATCATCTAATTTTTTTCCTTTAACCTCAGTGTGGTGCATTGCATTGATTGTTAAATATTAAACATTACTCTCATGAAATAAATCCAATTGGTGTGATGCATTATCTCATATATATATTAGGGGACTAATGCTCATTTGCATATCTTTGCATAAGAAAAATTGGCCTATTTTCTTTTCTTTTCTCCTATCATTCTTGTCAATATTTGGTATGCAGTATAATGGTAGCATCATAAAATGAGTGGAGTGTTTCATTTTTTCATAGTTGTAAAAGATTGGGTTTGTTTTCGTTTTCTGAACATTTGGTGAAATCTGCTGATAAAATTACCTGGAGCTAGAGTTTTATTTTTAGAAGGATTTTAAACTATTGCTTCAATTACCTTAATTGTACAGGACTATCCACGTTTTCTGCTTATTTTTGAGCAAATGTTGATAAGTTCTATTTTTCTAGGATATTGCTCATTTCCTCCAAATTTTCAGATTTTTTGGCAGAAAATTATTCACATTTTTCTTCTCTTTTAAATATCTGCAGCATATGTAGTAATGTCTCCTTTTTTATTCTTTTTTATTTTTATTTTTTGAGATGGAGTCTTGCTTGTTGCCCAGGCTGGAGTGTGGTGGCATGATCTCGGCTCACAGCAACCTCTCCTTCCTGAGTTCAAGCAATTCTCCCACCTTAGCCTTCAGAGTAGTAGCTGGGATTACAGGTGTGCATTACCACATCTGGCTAATTTTTGTATTTTTAGTAGAGATGGGGTTTCACCATGTTGGCCAGGCTGGTCTCAAACTCTTGACCTCAGGTGATCCACCTGCCTTGGCCTCCCAAAGTGCTGAGATTATAGGCGTGAGCCACCACATCTGGCCACCATTTTTATTCTGATATTATTTGAGGTCTCTCTCATTTTTAATTTTGATTAGTGTCACTGGAATTTTGTTAACTAACATTTTCAAAGTGCAAATATTTGACTGTGTCAATCTTCTGTATTATATATTTGTTAAACATTTTATTGATTTTGCCTCTATATTATTTTCTTCTATTAATACTTCCTTTAGACCTATTTTATTTTATCAAAATTCTTAAGCTAAGTAGTAATTTATTTGTGTTTAGGTTTTCATATTTTCTGTTATAAACATTTGAGGCTTTAAGTTTTCCTTCAAATAGATACTCTAGCTGCATTTTACAGATTTCAATATAAAATATTTTTATTTTCTTCTAGATACACTTTAGTTTCCTTTATGATTTCTTGATTTTGAATTATTTAGAATTGCTTTTTGTAATATCTAAATGTGTGTAAGTGTGTATTTGTTATTGATATCTACCTTAATACCATTGTGGTCAAAGAATGTGTTGTAAATAATTTCAATCCTGTCAGATTTCTTGAGAATTGCTTCATTCATTGATTCATCCATTCAAAATATTTATTCAGTATCTACATGTGTCATGATCTGTTAAAGACACTGAGAATTCAGCAATGAATAAAATAGAGTTCCTGTCCTTGTAGATCATATTGGGTGAAGCAGACAATAAACAAACAAGATTATTAAAATAATTGACTATGTTAATGACAGAATACTAAGAAAAAATACAACGGGGAGAGGGATTTTAAAATGTCTTTTAAATTTTTTATTTTAGAAGGATGATGTTAACTGCCCAAGGGGTTCACCTTGCCTGCTGCCTCAACAGAGCCAATTCATCAAGACAGGGGAATTGCAATAGAGAAAGAGTAATTCACGCAGAGCTGGCTGTGTGGGAGACTGGAGCTTTATTATTACTCAAATCAGTCTCCCCAGACATTCAGGGAGCAGAGTTTTTAAGGATAACTTGGTGGATGAGGGGAAGCCAGTGAGCCAGGAGTGCTGATTGGTTAGGGATGAAATTATAGTGAGTCAAAGCTGTCTTCTTGCACTGAGTCATTTCCTGGGAGGGGGCCACAAGATCAAATGAGACAGTTTATTGATCTGGGTGGTGCCAGCTGATCCATCCATCCTGTGCAGGGTCTGCAAACTATCTCAAGCACTGATCTTAGGAGCAGTTTAGGGAGGGTCAGAATCTTGTAGCCTCTGGCTGCATGACTCCTAAACCATAATTTCTAATCTTGTGGCTAATGTTAGTCCTACAAAGGCAATCTAGTCCCCAGGCAAGAAGAAGGTCTGCTTTGGGAAAGGGCTGTTATCGTCTTTGTTTAAACTATAAACTAAGTTTCTCCCAAAGTTAGTTCAGCCTACGCCCAGGAATGAAAAAGGACAGGTTGGAGGTTAGAAGCAAGATGGAGTAGGTTAAGTTAGATCTCTTTCACTGTCTCCGTCATAATTTTGCAAAGGTGGTTTCAATGGTCAGTTACGACTTAGGTGACACATGAGAAAAGATCTTAAGAAGTGAAAGGAGAGCTATACAAAAACGTAGGGAAAGAACAATTTTAGTGGTCCTGAGGCAAACATGTTCCTGCCTATTCAAGAAACATTGAGGAGGTCATTATGGTGACAGCAGAATGACTAAGGGGAAAAACAGAAGATGTGGTCAGAGAGATAATGGGGGACTAGATCCAGTAGGGTCTTGTGGTAATCAGAATAAGGGCCCCCCACAAATGGGATTCCCCACTTCCTAATCCCCAGAACCTGTGAATATATTACCTCCTATGGCAAAGGGGAATTAACGTTGCTGATGGATGCTGTTCAACTGATCTGGAAATGAGGTCATTCTGGATTATCTGTGTGGGCCCAGTGTAATCACGAGGATCCTTAAATGTGGAAGGAGGTGAGAAGGGCTTGGCCAGATGTTGCTGGATTTGAAGATAGAAGAAGGGGACCATGAGCCAAGGAAAGTAGGTGGGCTCTAGAATCTGAAAAAGGTAAGAAAATGATTCTCCCCGGAACCTCCAGAAAGGAACACAGCCTTGTCCACACCTTGATTTTAGTCTACTGAGAATCATTTTAGACTTCTGACCTCAAGAACTATAACACATTTGTGTTGTTTTACGCCACCAAGTTTGTCGTAATTTGTTATAGCAGCAATAGACAACTAACACGGGCCCTGTCATTTACAGTAAGGACTCATCCTGAGTGATACAGGAAGCCATTGGAAGGTCTTGGACAGACCTGATCTGACTTCATCGGATCACCATGGATGCTGTGTTGAGAATGGACTGTAGATGGATTCCTTCCTTTGTGCAGCCTTTGGCTTTAGTTTTCCATGTTTTATTCATTCAAGATTACAATGGATTCATTTAAGATTATAAAAATATATAATCTCACATTTTTAATAAATCAAGGTCTCTAACCTGTTTTGTTGCTGGAAGTGAAAGTCTGAACTGCACTTTAAATTAAACTTCTATGGAAAACACCTCAGAATTGGAAAATACTGAGGTAACTTCCTATACCCCAATATAAAATCAAGTGAATTAATCTGAAGCATATTACCTTTAATGAAAACTGGTAAAGAAACTTGGCAGAATATTTGAAAATTATATTCCTTATAAAAATGAAAATACAAAAATTTTTCAGGTGACATACAAAATGCTACTTATGCTATTGCCTTTTTCAAGTCCTAAAAAAACCTAGTGGTATTATTTTAAATTTGCTATTAGAATTAATTCAGTAGCATTTCGTTACAATGTTCCCTGCTCAGAGAGTAACTTTACCCAAAAATAAATTAGGGCTTCAAGAAAAAGAGCTAACTTTTCCCAAAATGGATGAAGATGGGAAACTTTGACAATATTCACAACAGTGATAGGGATTGGGCTATGGGGAGGAGGATGGATATTGCTGTTTAGCTCCTTGTAAATCCTATCTAGGAATGGTTGACAGAGGAGTGGGAAGAAACAGATGTAAGAAAGACAACAAGATATCAATATATCTACGTTATGAGTTAATCCAAAATTTGAGAGTGTTGTTTTAAAATATTAAGTGGTCTATTTATGTCAACATACAATAAACACTTGTTGGTTTACTTTCTTTCTTACTGTAATGATGCCACTATTTTGTTTCCCATTCCTTTATTGTCATTTTAGAGCTTTTCTTGACATTTTGCAAAGGGGGAGGGGGAGGGAGAAAAATTCCTCTAAAATTTTACTTCTAAAAGGACCAAACTGTGCTCTAGACTATATGCTGGCTCTAAGCAGCTGGGTTAAAATATATACAGAATGAGTTACTGGCTCAAGCAAGGATCAAACAGGTTTTTCCTAACTTTAAGAATAATGTTCTTATAAAACACTCCATAGACAAATACAGACCAAAACTTAAATGCAATTAACCTTTAATTTATATATATGAATGAAGAGGGATCTGAGGTATTAAAAACTTAAAATAGCTAATTCAAAAATAATTTATACTTGGCATTGGAAATCCTTATAATTCCCTACATCATTTTTCTTTCTTAATTATGTTCCTCCTAAGCTAATAATAAAGTTAATTTTCCATTCTTGAATGCAGATTAACTGATTGTGGAAAGAAGTGGTCCAGCATTTTGATGGGTTGAGGAGAGCCTGCCTAGGATTAAAATGTGAACTTTAGCAGTTGACTTATTTTCACGTCATCAATGTTTTTGAGTCAAAGGTGCCATATAGCAGAGTCTTCTACCAGGATTCCTCATCCTGATCATTCCCCTCTCCACTTCTTTCTTGGTAAGGTAGACCAACTATAACTCTCTCAGAGATGAGGGTGGGGCCAATCTCATCCAAATTTTATAGCTTCTCAGGTGGTGTCTGGGTGTGGTAGTGATCATGGTGGGGCAGAGGTGGGATAAATCTTTAGGAGGCAAGTACAGTGTTACCCTCAGATAGCTTTAAGACACAGTATCCTCCTGTGTGAAGACAGGGTCATCATACATGCCTTACCCATCCCCCCTGGGTTTGCTGTGAAGATTAAATCAGATAATAGGTGTGAAAGCACTTTGAAATTTGTAAAGTGTTACACAAATATAACATATTGTCTCTGTCTTTAGTACTCAGAATACTTAAGGGATTTAAAGAAATCCTTCTGTGGTCGTAAAGCAGATTAGGATAAAAGAGCTGGTGAAACTCATCATTACTAATAAAAAATTACTCAAAGTATATGTCAATGGTATTATCTCTATGAATTTTTTTAAAAACCACACTTTTTGTTTCCTGGGAGAGTGTCCTTGGAAGCCTCTGTGTACAGCACTTGGAGCTTCTAGTACTCCTGATCTGCTTTCTTCTGGTCCACCATCTACCATCTGCCCTCATGCTTCTCAGCAGCTGGATTGCCTCCTGAAATCTGATCATCCTCACTCTCCCTTCAGAAGCCACACTTTTTTTTTTCTATTGAAAGGGCTCCTTTACTGAACTGTGAGCATTGTCCTCTTAATGACTCAGTAGCTCTTGCCTGGCAAGGCAGAAGTATCCTTAGGTGACAAAGAGGCAGAACTCTATCTGCTTATTTATGATAGCACAGATATAGCCCATATGCAATTGGAACTTATTTGGGGTCAGGGGTCATTTTTTTTTTTTTGGTTTAACCTTAAACCTGGTGCCTTACAAAGTGTAGGTACTTGGTAAATAGTTGTTAAATTGATGCGATAAATATATCAGATAACTTGCTTTATCAGAGCTTTAAGCTCAGATTATTAGGTTATTTAAAGGATATTTATTTAAAGGATAAATATTCTGCCTCTATATTTATATCTGGGATTATGGTGACATGAAGAGTTGCTCTCAGTAGCTCCTATCACTTGACCGCTTCCTTGTTTTTCTTCTTATATTGCTTACTCTTATACCCTGCTTAGGACTGGATTAGACTGCAGGAATATGTACAAGAGAGGGTGAGGGATTGAATTGGATGGAAAAAAGAAACTCTAGTCCTTACCCTGGAGTTTAAAAGAATGAGAATGAGCCTCGTGATATCATAGTTGGAAATTTAAATTTGTTATTAATATGAAAAACTCTACTGTCATATCATTTATTTCTTGCCATTAGAGATCTGGTAGGGAATTCTAGCAAGTTGGAAGTAGTGAGCAAAGTTGAGGCATCTCTACTTCATAATCAAAATTTATCCTTTCAGGATATTCTTGTTAAAAGTTATTAACATTTCTTAACATGTTTCATTTTTTTAACCTTAAAAATATAATATCCACATTTTCAAAAAGAAGTACATCCATAACTCCACCATCTTGATATTTTAATTTTACATATATCTTCCAATCCTTGTCCAAATGTATGTTTAAAAAATATTTTACATATTTTTCTTCTGTGCATATTATTTTTGTTTCTGAGTTTCCCTGGGAGGATTGTATTTGCCAGATGAGGGCTCAATTTCTGAATGGCTCCGAGAACCCTAATTTATGCTGCTGTAGAAACTGACCAAAATGGGTTGGCATCCCCTGGGCAGGTATGTCCTCAAATTTAGAAGGCTCAGTTTGGAGGCTGAAGCAGGAAGTGACTATGAGCTGTACAATAAAGAGCAGAGCCCAGTATAAGAGAATAAAGATAGGTTTTACAAGAAAAGATGTAGGTAGATATTTAAGTAAAACAATTTCAGATGCTAGGAAAGTCTTTCTCCCCACCCAACCCAAACAAACAAGAAGCAAAAACAAAAAACCCAACTAAACAACGATTACAATAAATGTACATACCCCACTAGTTAACATGTATACTTAAGGTCAGTTTAAGAAAGCACTAACGTTTAAGCTGGAAAACTTAAAATATTAGAAGTTGACATAAGGTTTACAAAAGGGGCAAGAGAAGATGGCAGTCTCTCTGATAGGAATGGGGAGTTAGGGGCATGGTCCAGCCTCTATCCACTTTTCAAGGAAGAAAGGTGAAAAGGCATCCAGGAAACAGCGCAAAACCAAAACACTGTAAAATTAGGAATTCCTAATTCTGCCAGAGTCAGGTTCTTTCAGATTATTTAGGTTTTATAAGAGAGGACTGAAAGTGAAAAAGCCAAATATAAATTATCCGAAAACTGCAACAGGAAAGACTCTTGCAGGCTCAGAGGAAGGCTGTGGAAAAGTCATTGCTAGAGCTCTCCAGGATGCATCAGGCCGACACCACCTGTTTGCGGAGGGGTTTAGACCAAGGGAGGGGCCCTAACTCCGGCGAGGAGGGCGCCCACCCCTCGGTTCCCGGAGCTGGTGGAGGCGTGCGGGGGAGCGGGCGGCGCGGTGCACAGGTGGCGGGGGCCGCGCCAGCTGCGCGCCGCGCTCTGCTCCGCGGGTGGGCCGCCAGGCGTCGCGCTGGAGCCGCGGTTGCCCTGGAGACCAAGCGGGGCGAGTGGGCGGCGCGGCGAGGAGCCGAGCTGCGGCTGGAGTAGCGGGGCGTGAGTTGGGGGGAGTGGCTCCCCGGACTGCGCGAGGGGTCGGCTAGTCCTGGGGCAGGGCTGGGTGGCACGGCTGGCGAGCCCGGAACGCCTCTGGTCACAGCTCAGCGTCCGCGGAGCCGGGCGGCGCTGCAGCTGCACTTGGCTCGTCTGTGGGTCTGACAGTCCCAGCTCTGCGCGGGGAACAGCGGCCCGGCGCTGGGTGTGGGAGGACCAGGCTGCCCCAAGAGCGCGGAGACTCACGCCCGCTCCTCTCCTGTTGCGACCGGGAGCCGGGTAGGAGGCAGGCGCGCTCCCTGCGGCCCCGGGATGACTTCTCAGCGTTCCCCTCTGGCGCCTTTGCTGCTCCTCTCTCTGCACGGTGAGTAGCTCCAGCCCTTTCTTCCCGGTGGGGCCAGGCCGGGTCGGCGGGCCCGGGGCGAAGCTGTTTGGGGACGGCAAAGAGCCTCCTTGCTTTGCCGAGGGTCGGGAGTCCAACTTTCTCAGGGGCGGCGTTCGTTGCTGCGGCCGAGGCTCGCGCGCACCTGCAGCGGCTGCTTCTGCCGCCCGCGCAGCCCAGGTGTTCCTTGTCAGAGAGGTAACTAAACTCGTCCGGCTACCTCCGGTCCCAGGCCGGGCCCTGACTCTCACCTCGCTGCGCTCTGCGGAATGCAGGATCCTTTTTAGATAACGAACTCCCTTACTCACTGGTCCAGTTAGAAACTGTATTTAGAACCAGTTGTCTTTACTAGGCGGCCCTAGGAAAACTAGAAGTGCTTTTAAAATCATTTGGAAAACTTTATAGCTTTAACGTAACCTTTTAGAAGCCTATACACGTTTTGGCCGAAAATGATCTTTATTTTAAAACTAATTGTATACTGTGCTATACTACAATCGAAAACAAGAATTTATTTACACTCTAGCTTCATCTCCAAAGGACTTAAGTTGGCTCTCAACAATACATAGAATATAACAATATTAGAACAAAATAAATAAATGTCTTTAAATTTCTTGTTAACGGTTTTTAAAACATCTGTTTATAAATTTAGCTTTTAATCTCTGCTTAATCTTTCTTACATTTTCGGTGAATAGCCATCATATTAATTTAGATCCTGATTTTCATCCTATGCAGTGCTGTTTGTTTTTGTGTGTGCATTCTCCTGTGGAATCCAGTTTTCTGTCCCATTTATTGCTGAGATTTACTGAGATTTTTTTTCTGAAGGATGTTATTTAAAAAGCGGGTTCAGTGATTTTGGAACTTTGTGGTTAACCCTGTTTTTTTTCTGGAGACACCAGCATGTTTCCAGTCATTTCATGGCCTTATTCGAACTGATTTTGAAGTAACCTAATACTAGCCAACTTAACTTGTGCAGATTCATTGAATAGGGGAGAAGAGAATACGAAAACTTTTTGTATGTCTTCTCCGTAGAAACTAATGAAGCTGTTATCATCAAAATTAACTTTTCTAGAGTTCAGTAGGTATATTTTTAGTGATGATGTGCACACAATAACATCAATATGTCCATGTTATGAACTTGTGCTTCCAAGTATCTTGTACTGTTACTAGTTTGAGATGGCCAGTTTTTCTCTCTGTCCTACTACTTTTAAGTGTGAAATAAGAGAGTAAATCGGCTTTTTATGCAATCCTTGGACACAGCTCTAAATATTACCAATATTACAAGAACAGCTCAAATTTTTGGTAGAACATTCTATTATTAAAGTTGTATATTATAATAAATGCTCCTCTTTTTGTAAATAGCATTTGTGTATAGTTTGTTTTTGAATTATTAGGCAGTACTTTAAAAGAGTTGATACAATTCGCAGACTCAGCCTTGCAAGGTCATCTGATTTGTTCTTTTTTCTTCAGCAAAACTATTCCCAAGCCATAGAAAAATGTTTTTAAAGACTTCCAAGGACTTCTCAGTTTTGGCAATAACCTGTTATGTAGAGGCATTTTCCACTTTCAAAAACAGTGTTCATTGTTCAACAGATATTTACAGAGCCATCACTCTGTGCTTTTGAGTATCTGGTGGGGAAAGGTGGTGGTGGAATACAAAGACGCGTGTGAGTGTCTGCAGCCCGTAAGGAGTTTGCATTTTTAAAACAGGCTGTAAGCATGCACAAATAATTTATGGTACAGGGAATGTATGATGAGTTCTATTTGTTAATGTAAGTATCAAGTAAGACTTCTTGGAAAAGTTTACTTTTTATCTGGACATTGAATGAATAGGGTATGAATTGGCTCAGATGGGAGTGGATGGGCTTTCTTAACCAAAGGAACAGCCTGAAGGAAGGATGTAAAGTGGAACAGGCAGGGGTATACTCTTGAAAGGCCAAGCTGCTAGAGCAGGAGATGTGTGCAAGGGAGAAAGAGCCAAAAAGTAGTTGGGGGCAAGATAGTAGAGAATCTTGAATGCTGCGTTTGGGCTTTATTCGGCTGGCCATGGAAAAAGTACTGATGTTCAGTTTCCTTACTGTGGGGCGGGGAAGAGGATGAACAGTTAGCACGCCTGTTTGTGCTAGCATACCTGTCTCCAGGAGAATACCTTGCCCTAACCGAATTTAATTCTTGAACTAGTCAAGGGCAAACTTGGTTTGAATGAATTATGGCTCATCCCCAGAATTTTCAATGTGGAATAGCAGGAGGGGTGTATATCTGAACAAAGCTGGTTCCATTACAAAGGGGTAAAGGGAAATGGATGCTAGGTAAATAACCAATAGCAGTGGCCACTACAATGAAATGATACACCAAAGGTAGAAATAGAGGGTCTTTTCAATAAATGAAAGAAAATCGATGTTAATAAATTTCTGTTTCTATTTCTGTTTATTCTGTTTTCTTATTGTTATTTTGTTTTTATTTGTGAAGTAACTTCAAAGGGAATTTGAATTGAAAAGCTGACTTCTATATAGTTCTTCTAATGGGTTAGATATAACTAAAGTGTTTCTCATACTTGTGATTCCTTGAAATAGCAGATAACTTTTCAGAATTTGAGAAAATGTATAAAAAGAAAGAAATGACCACATAAAATGCAATGAAAATGAAAAAAGTCATGAACCTTTTCAGTGTTACCATTATTAAAAATTTATTGTAAAATCCAATTTATCAGCTCTAAATTTCATACTGTAATTGTTTTAGAAGGATTCACCTGTTAGTAAAAATCTGTAGTTTGACCTACATGAAAGATGACAGCTACGGGATGAAAATTTCAGAGATACTAAGCCTAATACACATATATATTCAACATGGACTATTCAGGAAGCAATTTAAATATTAAATTACCAAGCACTTAAAAAGCGTTATGCTTAGAACTGTTGTCAGACACAAGGTAATGATGCAAGGGGTAAAAGTACTTGTTTTGGCTTCCCCTCCCCAGGTGACAGTATGTGGCAGATTTTGAAATGTGTTTTCACACTTTCATAGTGGAGAGATTTATAATGAAAATTCTCATTTGAGTCTTCATACTTATGCCATGTGATTTAGTGTCAAACAAGGTGATGTGCTGGTGCAAAAGATTCTTTAGTTGCAGTGAGTAATACAAAGCAAGGGACAGGCAGTACTTACTGAGTTGGGAGAAAGTTCAGAAAATTCTGGCCTTCCCACTAAAACTTTTCATCCATAACTACTTAGTTAGTTTGTTTATTTATTTATTTATTTGAGATGGAGTCTGGCTTTTGTTGTCCAGGCTGGAGTGCAGTGGCGCCATCTTGGCTCACTGCAATCCCCGACTCCTGGGTTCTAGCAGTTCTCCTGCCTCAGCCTCCCGAGTAGCCAGGATTACAGGCGCATACCACCACACTTGGCTAATTTTTGTATTTTTAGTAGAGACGGGGTTTCACCACGTTGGCCAGGCTGGTCTCAAACTCCTGACCTCAAGTGATTTGCTCACCCCAGTCTCCCAAAGTGCTGGGATTACAGGCCTGAGCCACCGTGCCTGGCCCCATAACTAGTTTATTTAGAATAGGGATTCCACATCTATTGTTATCTAGACTAATGACAATTTTTTATACTCTCTCAACACTGAATTATTTTAGGCAGTTTGGGGAGGGTTTGCTGAATTTCTGTTTTCTAATTTACTTCAAGTGAACACAGTCATCTCAACTTTCTTTGTTTGGTGAGGGCTAGCTGGCACTAACACATCTCATCCCTGCATTTTGAAAACTGCCCCCACACCATCTGGAGGATCTGAAATCTTCTCTTGACCATACTTTGTGAGCAACTGGCTTAAGAGAGGTTGTTGGTTCTTGGGTGGTATTCAAAAAGCCATCTGATTTGAGCTGAGTTTGGTCTTAAAAGTGGAAAGTTAATTAGTTTACTTATTAGTTAAGCCTATCTTACTAAACCATGGAAGGATTTTTTTTCTTTCTGTTAACATTTGGGTAATTAATTTTCTGTGTACCTGGTTTTCTGCCACCCAAGAAAAAGACCACAGTAGTAGTTTGCATTTGTAATGGTTTTAAATTGCAGAAATATGAAGTAAGCCACAGAGAGAAAATTGGTTTCCAATTTGCAAATAATAGACTCAGCCAATGATCTACCGCATCATCATTGCCTTTATCAGATATTATATAGGTACAGTATGGGTCTGCCTCACTCATATATTACAGAAAGAATCATATTTTGATAAGTATAACTAAAATTTTTATTTAGAGTATAGGATGAAACCCATACAAATTTACTGTTGTGGACAAAGTGTATTCAATAAAAAGTTACTTGAAAAAGTCTACTTACTGGTTTGTTTTCATTTAGCAGTTAACTCTGTTGATCTTGAGAGAGATATAAGCTGACAGTATTAGAGGACACTTATATTTAGAAAAGGATTCCTGGAAAGAAGCTGAGATCCTAGAAGGACCGAGTTCAGAAAATTCTTATACCATGTAGAGTTCCTTGGGAAGATGTTCAGAGAATTAGGTCAACGTTAGCAGCCACTAATGGTAGTGTACCAGGGTTTAGGGTTGGAATAGGTGGTTAAAGTGTAATAGATTTGTGGGATTGGAAAGTCAATGCCATTTTTTCACTGAGGGTAACAAATATGTAATAATACAATATGACTTTGTGAATGTAACTCTAATATATTGGGGCCACTTGTAGGCTGGTCTTAAAAGAATCATCAGTTCAATATTTTTAGAAATTTAAGTTTAAATATTTACCAAAGTCTATTGAAGATCCCAACAATGGAAACAGAACAGTGTCCTAATTTAGAGAACCCCTATACTCACTTTTGCCCAAAGTTTCACTGTTCACAGCAGTCACACTCATAAAACCACTCTCTTCTGTATTCCCCTTAATGATTCTTTTTTCTTTTTACTTGTCGTCCTCTCGTTCCACTTTGGAAGATGTTACGTTCCTCTGCTAGTAACATCAGGTTCTTCAAAGGTAATAAATCCAGTCCTGGTTCTTTCCAGTTATTCAGCTCTACCCATTTCAAGGATTGATATTTACAAAAAATTAACCCTGGAGCCAACCAGGCAGACACAGAAATCACCATAGAAGCTGAGCATTGGTGGGGTATGTGGGAGTGTGGGCATAGTTATATGCTAATATTTTCCCCTTGTTTAATGAAGTTAACTGTATAATAAAATTCCCTTTCTCCTCCTGTGCTTGCCCGCTCTCTCTCTCGCATTCTCTCTCTCTCTCGGGTGTGTGTGTGTGTGTGTGTGTGTGTGTGTGTGTGTGTATTCCCAAAAGGCAGTACCATGTCTACCGTGTGTGTGTGTGTGTGTGTGTGTGTGTGTGTGTGTATTATCCCCAAAAGGCAGTACCATGTCTACCATGCTGGGCACTATAGTAATGCTCAGTAGATACTTGTGAATGAAGGTTTACTAATATAGGTGGTACACCTGAGAAGACTGTTGTTTTCTTTTTTTTTCATATTTTAAACTTTTTATTTTGAAATATAGATTCATGGGAGGTTGTAAAGAAATGTACAGAGTGGTCCCATGCACACCCTTCACTCAGCCTCCCCTGACGTTACCATCCCCAAAAACCAGAATACAAAATAAAAACCAGGAAATTGGTGTTGGTACAATCCACAGAGCTTATTCAGATTTCTCTAGCTTTAAGTGCATTTTCTTTTTTAAAGAAAAATAAAATTTTTGTTAAAAATTTCTTTAGGGATTTGGTGTGACTATGTCAGCTTCAACTAATCTTTACACCTTGGTAAATATTTTGTGGAACAGGTGATAGAGATCAATTTTCATAGTTTTTTTTTCAAATTTTATAACTTCTGTGGAAGTTTATTCAAAATTTTAATCCTTACAGATCTTTTGAAATTGATTTTTAGCTTATGTTTAATCCTAAATATTTGAAATATTTTTTCCTAAGGAATTCTGAAGCCTTTGCTTCATGTTGTAAGGAATGATCTTGGACTTTTGGCAATTTCTGTAGAACCTTGAAGTTTACCATTTTCATGTCTGGTATTCTTAGTCCTGAGGGACCTGTATGTTAGAACTAGTCTCCCAAGAAGAGAGATAATTACTTAAAATAACATCTTTTGTAGCCTGAGGCCTCCCTCTTTTTCCCTACATTACTATATACAAAGTACTGGAGACACTTTTCTAGAAATAGGAGCATTAACTATAAATCATCCTTATGTTGGGGGAGTTTGGCAAGACTGGCAGTTGTCTGCTTCTCCTATTCCCTTCTCTCCTCCTGAAGTCTATGTATTTCCATTCATAGTTTATCCCAGCCATGATTTATACCCTTATGGACCACACTCTCAGTCTGCAGTATTTATACATCTCTCAAAATATCAAAAGTCATTTACTAATCATAAATCCTCCACTATATGCTTAAAGATGGCTTAAATAACATCAAACATCAAGGCTTAATACTTAGTCTTTTTTTTCTTTGGGCCAGGTTCATGACTATCAGGTATACAACTTCTGTTAGCTCCCATGGGTCAAGATCATTAGCCAGAACACAGAATACATGGCAAAAACAGAGGCTGCAGTACTGTAGTAAGCATCACTTCTTGCAGGACATATTCAAATCAGACTAACATTTTAGGCTTTTATTGGTTAAGTACACTTATGTACTTATTTATTGGTACAGTTCACTTATGTATATTGCCCATGTGTAAATATAGATAGCCTTGTTGATCAAGACTTGACAGTATGCAGGGCATGTGAAAAATTGGTTAACAGTGTACTGCAAAGATTCTTAAACTTCCTGGCCTTAAAGATTATTGGGGCTTTAAAGATTATTGAGGACTGCAAAGAGCTTTAGTTTATGTGGTTTATGTCTATTGATACTGTATTAGAAATTAAAAGTGAGAAAATTTAAAAGAATCTATTAATCTGTTTAGAAACAAAGCATCCATTACACATTGACATAAATGTTTTTATGACAAGTAACATATTTTTTCCCCAAAGCTGAATAATATTAGTGAGAGAAGTGGCACTTTCACATTTTTGGGACCTTCTTTAATGTCTGGCTTATTAGAAGCCAGTCTCCTGTCTGCTTTCTCCTGTCTGCTTTCGCATCTCATTTATTGTGATATCCCATCTTGGTTTGGTGTAAAATGTGAAGAATATCTGGTCTCACACTGATATATAGTATTTTGACAGCATTTTCAGATAATTTTGGATATTCATCTTTGGTATTCTACCAAAACATGATATGCAGTAGTTTCTTAAAGACTGGCTGAAATGTGGAACCAGAAACCATATCAGTGAACATTTCCTACTTGTTATATTAAAATCCACTGGTTTATCTTGTACTTTGAGTGGATCTTTTACTCATGCATGAGTTTTCATAAATCTATGCATTGATCATTGGAAAATACTGGTTCTCTTTGTTACACAGATCTTACAAATGTTACTGTATTACATTATATAAATTTAAAAATTATGTTTATCAATATGACCACTGAGATGATCAGAACAGTCTTTTAAGTATTATGAAGCTGCTAAGCTCACAATGTCAGATACAAGTTTTCCAAAATTTTGATATTGCTTGAATTTTATCATTGGCCGCAAATGACTGTCAGTTATTTCACTTGAAGTGATGATCTCATTTTGTACAGTTTTGAGAAAATGTCTGCTAAATATATAAGTTTGAATAACCATAGTCTGTGAGTTGTTCATTCAAGTAGATATGAAGGAAAGTGATTAGTTCCTTCAGCCTTGAGCTCAAATAATTGCACCAATGCCTTACTTTGGGATGACCATTTTGCTTCAGTATGCAGCATAAGTGGTTTTATACTACCCATTTTGTCACACAGAATATTACAAAAGGTCAAGATTTAATGAAATTATTGTTATTGCTTCATCAAAGACATTCTTTAATGAAACTGGATTTTTTTTTTAACTGTGACTACATAATGGCGAAGACTACAGTGACTACTAGTACAGTCTTAATGTCAAAGCCTTGACCTGTGTTAAGGTGCCAACAGTTTCACCCACTACTGCTTTTGTACCATCAATGCACATGTTAACCCAGGGAAAAAGGCATAAAACTCTACTGTTAGTAAGAAAAGTAGTTTTTACTACATAGACTTTCCGAAAGGGTCTTGGGAATCTGCATCAGTCCATGGACTGTACTTGAAATGCTGGTATCCGTAATAGAATGTTAGATTCTCTTTTTTTTGAAATTGCTGTAGAGACAACTAGCCAGACAATAAATCTGTGCTATATGGGGTGGCATTAAATGGAATATACATGTGTTATTTTAAAATAAAAAATGAACTCATTTGAAATTCTTTATTTTGTATTATAATTTAAAAACATCTAAAAGTAACATATTCTAGGGTAAAAACTCAATGAAGAAGTATTTAAGAAGATTTTTAAGAAGAATTTTTGTATTTTTAGTAGAGACGGGGTTTCACCATGTTGGTCAGGCTGGTCTCGAACTCCTGACCTTGTGATCCGCCCACCTCGGCCTCCCAAAGTGCTGGGATTACAGGCATGAGCCACCATGCCCAGCCTAATATAGGCATCTTACCACATCTGTTACATGGATCTACCTCATTCTTTTTAATGGAAGTTTAGTATTTCATAGCAAGTATGCCATAATTTTTAGCTGTTTCTCCATTATGCACATTTGTGTTTTCTCTGATTTTTTGATATTCATAATGTTTTAGTGATCATCTTTGTACATATACCCTATACATTTGTATAGATATTTCTGTGGTCTAGCTTGCCCAAAGTGCAATTGTTTGGATGTACACATTTAACATCCGGGGAGAGAAAAAAAGCATTGTCGTAATTCAAACCCAGTATGTCTGACTATACAAAGCCCATGTCAGAGTTCATGGGCTTTGTATAGTCAAACATACTGGCTTTAAATTATGACTCATCATTTCTTTGTCCTATGACTTTGAGAATGTTATTTAATGTCCTGAGCTTGAGTTTTTCTTGTGAAATGGAGATGGCCTTCTTACTGTGTTGAGAAGTACTAAATTAAATGAAAACTGTTATCTGTAAAGTGTCTAGCATAGTGCCTGACATACAGCAAGTGCTCAGTTAGTGGCAGTTACTGTTACAAGGATTGATCAGTCCCAATTTTTAAGTCAGGAGATGAGTCTATTTAGGGTGTGCCACTGGAGCTGTGGCCTAGGGCATATCATGTAATTCTCCAGGCCTGCTTTCATTTGCAAAATGAGGGAATTAGACTAGGTAATCTCTTGTTCTTTTCCAGTTCTATAATCTTGTGATTCTTTGACATGGTTTCCAGTATTGAAAATATTCGTAGTAAGATAAAGTGGAGAAATTATGTGGCTGGTTTTAACATGTTTGTAAAACTTTTCCTAAAATAGTTACTTGACTTTCCTCTCTCTCTCCCCCTCCCAATATAATAAAATGTTATAGTAATTTCTATCCTCAGAATTAAAACTATCTCCATCTGTTGTAGAAAGATTACAAAATGTCATTCGAATATAGTCTTATTTTTAAAATTTATTTTAAAATTGATTGCTACTTACTTTGACTTAGGCTGTGTACATACCTATTTTTTCTCTTCAATCCTTTGTATCACGGACAAATCTTGTATGTGTCAGGAAGGGGTCAGTTCAAAGCAGGCTGTAAGTATGACAATATCTTCTTTTTACCTCAATCACTGTATTCTAATCCTTTAACTTGATTTTTATGATCTTTCTCTGCTTTTCTCTGATAATGAGCTTTCTTTGTCTAAGCCAAGCATAGTTGTCTAAATTTTAACTATACTAGGTTATGTGATAAATATAGACATTTTACTAGTGTTATTATTGATTAAAAGGGACAAGCTTGTGAGCTTAAAAAAAAAGCAAGTTTTAGGCAGGGATATAGTGATACTTAAACTGAAAGCTATGGAGGAGTATGGTTAGGGCACATCTTAATTTTGATTTTATATCGTTGATTATATCATCAATAGTGTTGCCTAGCTGTTCTTTTTTTGCATTTTCAAGAGAGAGGTTGTTTTTGCACAAAGCCAGGTGGTCTCTAAAATGGATAGAATTAGTTACATTGACAAAACTTAAATAATTCTGAGATTCATAAACTCACTGCCTAGTATTTTATCTTGGTAAGTAGAATCTGTTTTCAGGTCATTAAATTTTTCCTGAAACAACCTACCGATAAGAGATGGTTCTTGAATTTTGTATTCCAACATATTAATAGTAAAAGAAATTTAAACATGATTCATTTTCGTGAGAATATTTTCTGAAATTGTGACTTTTGATGCTTTCTAATTTGTGATTTCGTTGTCCTCAGAACAGGACAAGTTTTAGTTGCTTGTTGATTAATATGTGTATTCATTCTCGGTCTTAACATTTGCATTTCTTTGAACAAATTAATTGTGCTCTTATCCTCCCAACCCCTTACTCCCACCACAGTTATTTTGAATTTAGGGAGTTATCTTTCTCATTAATAAGAAAGTATAATGTTGTGAGCTACAGGGAGCTGGACAAGTAAGGTCTCTTAGAGCCCTTTAATTCCATAATGTCCTTGATCTGATGAAGCTGCTCGGTAAATCTCTTCACAATTTCCATGACCAAGCCATCTGCCTGCATTAAAATAAATCAAATCTGCTTACTCCTTCAGTGTCTAACAAATATTCTATAAACTGATGATGATGAAGACCATGAACACAAAAATAATTTGCAGTCTTCAGCACTTCCTTTTGAGTTCTCAGCTCAGATTCTCTTGACATAGTGGGGGTCGGCATGTTAGCTTTTTCTTCGACTTGAGTGGAGAGTAGTGAAGTCCATTCTCCTAGTCCTTTTCATTGTATTTATCCCAACTGTGGCAAGTGAACTAATTCATGTTCATGTTTAGGTTAAACTTCACAAAACTTTACTTTTTCTTCTACTTCATGTATGTTAATTAGACAAATGCACTTAGATGTATCTAATTTTATATGTGGCAGTTTACATATGTGTAAACTGGGTGTGGGGGGTGCGTACATGTGCATATGTGTTTTTAAATCTCTGGCAGGCTGATTTTGTATCTGGTTCAGGCTTCTGATATTGTCCAGACTTTAGGAACTATGTCAATTGTAGCAGCACTATGCTGTAAAAGTGCATGATCCCATAGTCCATTTGTAGGCAAAAATAGTTATTTTTTTTAACATCTTGAAAAGCATTGAATTTTTGGAGTTATTTCATCTTCGTGATCTTCTTACTATCCTTTCTTTCCTCACCACATTTTTTTTTTTTTTTTTTTTTTTTTTTTTTTTGAGACGGAGTCTCGCTCTGTCGCCCAGGCTGGAGTGCAGTGGTGCGATCTTGGCTCACTGCAACCTCCGCCTCCCAGATTCAAGCAATTCTCCTTGCCTCAGCCTTCCGAGTAGCTGGGATTACAGGCATCAGCCACAACGCCTGGCTGATTTATGTATTTTTAGTAGAGACAGGGTTTCGCCATGTTGGCCAGGCTGGTCTCATACTCCTGACATCAGGTGATCCTCCTGCCTCAACCTCCCAAAGTGCGGGGGTTACAGGCATGAGCCACCGTGCTCAGCCAAAGACATTTTTTTTTTTCTAGTTTTGGCCTACAATGAATAATGCTGCTGCAAATGTTCTTGTGTGTGTCTTTTGATGCATATCAGAATGCATTTCTGTTGGGTATATCCCTATGAAACAAATTGCATATATTTAACTTTAGTAGGTATGGCCCATTTTCTGAAGTGGCTGTGCTGATCTTTCTCCCACTAGCAGTGTATGAGAGTTTCATTTCCTTTACATCCTTGTCAGTGAACACTAGGTATTGTCAATCTATTTTATTACTTCAGCCATTCTGATAGGTGCATAATGGCATCTCATTGTGTCTGTGTGTGTATGTATGTAGGTGTTTTGTACTTCCCTGATTACTAATGAGGTTACGCACCTTTTCCCCTTTTTACTAGCATTTAGGTATTGTCTTTTACAAATTTTCTATTCAAGTCATTTGCCAGTTCTTAAAACAACTTTATTGAGATATAATTCACAAACCATATGGTTCACCCGTTTAAAGTATACAGTCCAATCATTTTTGGTATTTTACATTATTTTAAAAATTGTGGTAAAATATATATAACATAACATTTACCATTTTAACCATTTTAAGTATATGATTTGGTGGCATTAAGTACATTCACAGTGTTGTGCAGCTATCACCGCTATTTCCAACACTTTTACATTACCCTAAACAAAATCTATAACTATTAGGCAATACCTCCCCGTTTCCACTTAACCCCTGGTAACCTCTAATCTACTTCTTATCTCTATAAATTTACCTATTCCAGATACCTCATATAAGTAGAATTATACAAAATTTATCCTTTGTGTCTGGCTTATTTCACTTAGCATAATGTTTTTTCAAGGTTCATTCATGTTGTAGCATATACCAGAACTTCATTTCTTTTTATTGCTGAATAATTTTTCATTGTATGAGTATACCACATTTTATATGCTCCTCTGTTGACGGATACTTGGGCTTCTTGCCAGTTTTTAAAATTAAGGAGTCCATGTCCCCTCCCACTCCCTTGGTTTCAGTGGGTTTAAAAAACATGTTTGTGGAAGTACTGGCACATTATTGTTTATATGTGTTGTAAAATCTCTTACTCTATGACTTGCTTTTTTACTTTCTCACTTTGATGTCTTTTAAAGAACAGAAGTTCTTAATTGATTCATTTAAGCAATTTTTTTCTCTTTTACTAGCATTTTTTGTGTCTTGACTATAAATTTTTTGCCTTTCTCAATGTCATAAAGATATTTCCTGGTATCTTCTGTAAGCTATACTGTTTTACCTTTCATATTTCAACCTACAGCCCATCTAGAATTCATTGTCTTGTGTGCAATGAGAGTCGGGGGTAAGGACAAAAATTTATTTTTTTGTGATGGCTGGCTTATTTATTTTTAGCCTTTTTAGGTAGATAAGATGTGGTCTTACACTTTGTTATGGTCTTACACTTTGTTTTACCTATAGAGTCTAGTACAGTGCCTACATATGGTGAGTGATCAATAAACTCTTATTAATAAATAAGTCATGAAGACTCATCTCCCAAAAGACACATATGGTCCCAAACAGAATTCTATATATGAATGCTATATAAGCATTATTTTTTCCTCCTTTTGTTGTCTTTTTCCTCTTCCTCTGTTGTCACCATCATCTTTATCACTGTCATATCCTTTTACTTCATTAACATAATCTTCATCATCTGGAGTTGAGGTTAAGTTTTTTAATCTCATGATACTAATTTTTCTATTATATAGTAATTTGTTTTAAAATAATCATTTTAGTTTTAAATGACTTTTTACATTGTTGAATCCTTTGCATCGTATAACCACTGCCTACATTTGTATTGTATAAGGGATTTTAACCTGTGGCCAAAAGATGGTTTTTGGGAGGTCACAGAAATTTTATTCCAAATTCAGTGTCATATGCCTTGATATTTTTCTTTTCCCTAGGGAGAGTGTCTCGTCAACTTTTAAAAATATGTTATTTCATTTTCTAACAAACTGTTGAGAACCTATGCTATATACACCACTGTGAGTTATAAAGAGATGTTCAATATGATATCTGGTCTTAAGTAACTTTATACTTACATAACTACAGTTGGAATTATAACTGTAGTTACAGTTTGGAGATGTATGTGAATCAGAAAATAAGTAATTGTGGAATACTTACTGTCAGGATTGTGTGGGGAAGCAGAAGTATAGATATATCATAGTTAAAATGTCATGTGGAGGAAGATATAGCCAGATAGTTAATAAACTTGTGTATTGCCTGCCTGGTATTTATCCCAGCCAGTGAGGCATGGCACATTTGATTCTTATGTATTCAATAGTTTGTAAGGAGAAAAGGAACAACTGAGGGTTTATTATGCTTCAGGCGTCTGAGGATAGAAGGATGACAAATGTGTATGATCCAGTCTTCAAGTTTAGACTAAACTAACATGATTTGCTCTAAAAGACAAACATAACTTAGCTCATTATGGTGTAATGTGTTACATTCGTGGAGTGAGTGAAGTGTTATTTCCTGCTCAATTCTCATTCTTGTTCTCACCAAGCCATTTGATTTTCCCTGGTAGTATGTGTTCTTTGGAGTGTGGTTCTTTGGAGTCTGTATGCTGTGCAGCTGTGCATGAGTGTGTAAGAGTGATGACATCGAGGCAGTGGCAGAAAACAGGTGGAGTCTGAGGCAGTGCTCCTGGTTACTCAGGACTTCCTGAAGTGTATGAGAGACCTAGTAGTGTCTGTGTGTCCTTGTGAGGGGATTGATAGAGGCCTATGTTATAATGTAGAGGTCTGTGCAGGGATTTCAAGATCAGCATCTTCCTCTGTTTGGGCCGTAGTAACACAATACAATAGACTAGGTGGCTTATAAACAACAGAAATTTATTTCTCACAGTTTTAGAGGCTGGGGAGTCTAAGCCTGCAGATTTAGTGTCTAGCAAGAGCTTGCTTCCTGGCATATGAACAGCTATCTTCTTGTGGTGTCCTCACATGGTGGAAGGGGCAAAGAGCTCCCTGGGGCTTCTTTTATAATGGCATAAATCTCATTTGTGAGAGCTCCACCATCACGACCTAATCATCTCCCAAAGACTCTGCCTTCAGATATCACCACTTTGGGTTTCAGGTTTCAACATAGGAATTTTGTGGGGTATACAAACATTCAGTCTATAGCAATCAGAGACAAATGGCCAGGGTCACAGTACAGGGGTGGGAACCTGCACACACCCACCACTGTTCCTGTTCAATAACAGCAACAATGGAAAGAATACCCTCACGGAGGAGCATTTATATTTTACTGGTTACCAGTCTGGCCTAGTCTGTCAAGATATTCTCCAGCAGAGGCAGGTAAAGAAACCAGAGAACTTGGTGTGGCTATAGGGGCAACTCTTTCCTTCTCTGGCTGGGGGTAATTTGAGCACTCTCTCCTTCATGCAGGAAGATACTGTCTTGAAGTAAAGCAGGACAAGGGGAAAGAAATCTGAAAGACCAAGAGTTTCTCTGAGCTGTTGAAAAGAGAAATCTAGAGGTTTCTTAGGCTGTGCAAATTCTTGGATCTGCCTGAAATAACTAAATTCAGTCCAATCTAATCATCTTCCTGACCCCTGCCACCCATCTAGTATGGGAGTGAGTTGGGGGTGTGTGTGAGTGAGAAGTGGTAAGATAAGATCAGTTTGAGAGAAAATAGACTCTGTTTCTTTGCATATGCCTATTTATTAACAAAGGAATGTAAATGTACTTATTGCTGTCCTTTTGATAAAATTTGCTGTGGATGTATGGCTAATCCCACAGAATCAAGGATCCTTATCTGGCCAGATGCACCAATTTTGACCTCTGTCCTAGTTTTTAACTTAAGCTGATATACCAACAGGGCAGCAAATATATAAGCAGTTGCAAGAACTGCACTGCAATGGTTTATTGAATCTCAATAAATGATACTTTCTTTTAAGAAAACCCTCTTTATTCGCTTCATCACTTGAAGTGCTTTTTAAAAATACTTGGATTTGGCAGGCTTTTTCTGATACTGAGGTGCTCACAGTAAACTGAATGTGGTTAAACAGCTTGGAACACTGGAGTTGAATAGTTTCTGGGCACATGTGCCAAAGGATGGCAAGCCAAGTCATCCAGCCTTCAGTGCCAGCTCTGATGAGCTTCAGTTCTGCTGCTGCCAGCACTTCTGCATGCCTCTCTGAGTCTCACACATTTCTTCTTTTAGTGTCACAAGTGTCCAGTCTGGATGTCAAATTTTCATTAAGGGCATAGCTGTCATTATTGGGTAACCACCATGTGCCATGTATTGCCTAGACATTTTATGTATGTTTATTCATTAATCATTAAGCCCGTGAGATAGATGAGTATTAGTCCTATTTCCAAGTGAAGAAATAGATGTTTCAGTTGTAGAGCAGAATGAATTCCAGTACCTATAGTTAAGAGCCTGGAATATTAAGTAAGATAATAGGTAAACATAATATGTAACATGTAAAAATAATAAAGTGCCTAATACTGTGTCAGGCTTAAGTGATCAGTAAGTGGATTACATTTTCTCTTATAAGCTGTATTTACCTTTGTGGTGATTTTGTCTGCATTCTAGGGCCTAACTAGAGAATTTGGGAAACATTTATAGGAGTTATGAGCAAATCTTATAACAGACCTTTAGAACCCTAAACATTAGAAACTTAAGCACTATGAAGCTCCAAACAGTAAACTGTAAAGTATAGGTGAGCAGGTAACACAGTTCTGAGTTTTTTATCCTCAAGAGGACTTCTCTCTCTTTCTCACTCATTTACCTCTATCTCTGCCTTGCTGATGCCTTATTTATTTGTTTGGTGTGCCTATTGAGTAATAAAGCACTAGCTATGAGAGTTTACAATTTTAATTTGTATCAAATAAATGTGTTATCAAATTCAAAGGGGAATTATTAAAAATCCTGTTTTAGAGATTACCAGTCAATAAGAAATTGTGCTCGACTCTTGGGTTAGACAGTGTAGGTGATAGGAAAGAGGTATAAAACTCAGTTCTTACCAACATGGAGAAACCCCATCTCTACTAAAAATACAAAATTAGTTGGGCATGGTGGCGCATACCTGTAATCCCAGGTACTAGGGAGGCTGAGGCAGGAGAACCGCCTGAACCCAGGAGGCAGAGGTTGCAGTGAGCCGAGATCACACCATTGCACTCCAGCCTGGGCAACAAGAGTGAAACTCTGTCTCAAAAAAAAAAAAAAAAAAAAAAAGTAAAACAAACAAAAAACTCAGTTCTTGCCTCCACTGAGTTTATAATTTTAGAGGAGAAAAGGGAAAAAAAAATTTTGAATGCCTAACTAGTCTTTCAGTGTGCATCATATAATTAATTTTTACCACAACCTGGCATTGTTTTCATTTTATAAACAAGAAAAATGATCAGAAAGATTAAATAAGATCACATGGCTCAATTCCTTTGGTTTCCAAAACTCATCTTCCTGGTTTAAGAAACAGAGAAGAGGAAAATACAGTTACAGTTGGGAGCTGCATGATGATGTTTTGGTTAACAATGGACCACACATACAATGACTGTGGTCCTATAAGATTATAACACCGTATATTCTCTGTACCTTTTCTGTGTTAAATATGTTTAGATACACATATTTACCATCATGTTATAATTGCCTACTCTATTCAGTACAGTGATATGCTCTACAGGTTTGTAGTGTAGATGCTCCACCATATAGTTCAGATGTGTAGTAGGCTGTATACCATCTAGTTTTGTGTAAGTACACTCAATGATGTTCACACAATGATGAAATCACCAATGATACATTTCTCAGAAGGTATCCCTGTCATTAAGTGAAACGTGACTGTATTTCACCTTCCAATTTCGCTTACTCTTCTTTTTTCTGGGCTTGGAAAATAATGCTTATGCTTTAGTACCCAGCTTGGATATCACCTCCCAAGTGAAGTTGGCCCCATAGTTGGCTTTTTTTTTTTTTTTTTTGTCCTGCGTCCATTTAACTTTGCTCATGCTTTAGCCCATATCTGTTTACTGTAATTTATGTACTTATCTATTTGTTTAATCTTCTTCCTTTCTTAGCCAGTGCTTAATACATGTTTATTTCATAAACAATACATGATAATTGTATTGTCAGGTTAGAAGTACAACCAGAGTCAGACACTTTATGGAACAGGTAGGAACTATAAGTGAGTCTTGCAGGATCTGAGTGGGATTTAGACTAGCACAGAGGTGGCCTGGTACACAAGACTGGGGAGGGAGGAGGGTGGGAGATAATGTTAGAAATAGTCGTGTGGAAAGGAGCGTTGCTAGTTCCTGTTAGGAAGTAACGTGGGTTAAATTTGGATGCCACGTTTATCATTTCAGCTCTTTGAAAACTGCCCCTAATGATATGTCTTTTCTTTTGTTTCCTCAAAATTAATTATCCTTTGGTAGCTATGGTAACTCATTTGAAGCTCTGTTATGCATATAATCTGTACACATTGAACTATTTGCTTCAGCATTCTAAATATTTTCTTGCATAGTCAATAATCCTATATTTACAATGTTCTCTTCCTTCTGGTGAAAATTGGCTTTTCCTCTTAGATTTCTAAAGATTTTTTTTAAAAGAATTAGGAATGACAGCATGAATAATAAATTACCATAAATGACCATCATCTTTGTCATTCATGTTCATGCTGTTATTTGCTGGAATCGACATATTTCTGGGCAGTTTTTACTTTGAGAACCTTTGAACACATGCCATATGCCACCTGGCTTCCCCAGCTTCCCAGCTCCCAGGACCCTTACAGCCTCGCTCCTGGGGGCTGCCACACCTCTCTCCCTTCTTTTCTGTGCCCCACAGCCCAGTGTGACACCCTTTGTGCCTCCTTCCTGGCTCTGGCCCAGCCAGTTACACCTTTGTGTTTGTGGCTGTTCTTTTCCCATGCTGCCTCTTACTCAATCCCTAACCTTCCTAGCTCAGCCTTTCTGCCTGGTCTACTCAGACTGGCTTTCTCTTTATGTCCTCCCTCACTCTTTCAGATGAGTTTTGCACCTGCACCCCCATTCAGTGGTTAGACTAGATGGTTCATGTTTTCTTCTGGTTGGTCAGAGTATTGTTTAACCTTTGAATCGTTTTTCTCTCATGGAAAGTGGGACAGGTAATGCCTACCCGCACCAAGTGGCTAGACTAGATGAAGTGATGGACGTCAGGCACCAGGTGCTTAGTGAATAGGAGTTTCTAACTTTTCCTTTCCCCCAGCTCTTAACATTATAAAACAGTTTTTTTTTTTTTAGCATTTATTCATATTTGGTAAATATTTATCTAGTGCCTGCTTTGTGTTAGGCTATGTTCTAGGTACTGAAGATATAGCAGAGGCAAAAATAGACTAAAGACATTTGTAACAACATCTAAGGCAGCAAAAAATGAGATAGTACTAAATTGTTTTTTCTCAAGTTCCTGCCTCTTAAAATGTTTACTTACCTCTAAAATAGAGGCATGTGAAGAATAGCATGATACAGAAAAAATATTATGTTAGGTACTTAGGTGTCCTTAAGTCGTGGTAAATATACCTTTTAAAGCTTTTATAACCTTTCAGTTTAGTTCGTGTCCTCCAGGTTTATAACGGATTCCTTAGTGAAGTGACAGGGTTGTAGTGGGTTGGAGGGTCTCTGTCTCTGACACCCCTGCAGTTAATTGCGTTAAATAAGGTAGATCTTGCACAAGCATTGTTTTCATTTCTAAATAAATGCTAAGAGCAGTAACGAAACTTTAATAATTTTGTCTGAAACAATCATTGGCCAATGTTTCCTATACCACAGTGCCTTACAGAGGGAAGGTATTTAGGAAAGATGTGTGGACCCAGCAAATGCTTATTTCCGGAGATAGTTTTATACTTCCGTTTTGGGGGCTTTATCAACAATTACATGTGATGTTTGTTTGCAGTAATAAACATCATCCTAGATAATGTCTGTCTCTTATTTGTATACTTCAGAAAAGTAAAATTGTTCTGTTTGAACTGTTTATTTTAAAAATACTTCCAAGTTGTTTTAGTACTGCTAAAAAGACATTTAGCATACTGTATATGACTCATACACTTTTTAGATACATAAAAAGGTGTATAGGTATTTACTGATTTGCTTCTGAAGGTTTAATGTTGATAATTCCAAGCCAGAAGGTGAAGATTTCTTCCGCTTACAGTGGCTTCCTTGTGAAATTTTATGTAGCTGTCATACAGCCCTGGAATTGTAGATCTGGAAGATACTTTCAGTCTTCTGGGTTCTCCTCTATACTCAACTCTTTCCTCCTGCTTCTATCCTTGCATGTCATTTAATAAAAAAATCTAGAGAGGTAAAGTGATCTTTTTAAAACCACACAGCATGTAAGTGGCAAAGTTTAGGCCAGAATCCATGTTGATGCTCCTTCCAATAACATGAGTGAAATAATAAAACTAAGCAATATTTCAGTTACTTTTTCTGTCTTATTCAAACTAATTTTAACTTCTTTAGGGTCAAAAATCATCTCTTCTTGGGGCCTTTCTGTCTCTGTCTTTCCATCTCAATAAAATACTACACAAGAAAAATGTGTATGTCCCATGAATGTACACAGATATATTTATGCACTATGTATAAATAGTATATGTGCTTGTGTAATTGTGGCAGGGTTGTTTAGGTACAATGGGGATGTTGTGTGATAGAGTAAAATATGTATTGGATACATTGCCTGTAGCTACCTTTTTATGCCTCTGTCATGCCATTGTATTCCAGACTGGGTAAGATGTAACAGAAGAAAATACTCAAATTTCATTTCAGAATCTGCAGCAGCTGGAGTGAACGTCAAACAGATGGGCTTTTCCACCCTGATTATCCTAACTTCCTAAATTTAGAAATACATGCTTTAAAAAAATGTAAATTACCCGAGGGGGTGGTGTAGCACATGCCAGGCAGTGCTAACGAGTGCAAATAGATGTCATCTGCTGACTTAGATGAAGCTCAGCTTCCACTGCTGGGTTTCTGTTATTTCATCCCCTTTAGATTTGTTTTATGTTGCTGCTTTTCTTTCTGTAAAAGTAGTGTCAAGCCTCTTTTCACATATAGATTAATATTGTTTTAAACTTTGAGATGTATATCGTATCTGAAACCAAAAGTAGTGTTTAATCTTATTACTCAAGATTCCTTCAGACTGGTAAAATAGGTTGGAAAGAGAGAGACATTGAATGAGAAAACTCTTGTATCTTATCTTTGCCATTAACTAGATGAGTGAATTTGGGCAAGACACACGTTGTCCACTGTAAAATGGGTGGATGGGACTCCATGGTCTCTAACGTATCTTTTGTTGTTAAGTTACAAAGTTCTTTGTTTTTATAAATGAATATGTGTCTATAAATTCTTTTGTATCCTGTTGTGTCGCCAGAATCTACCACAGTGCCTGGCCCACATTTATTAGTCGATGTCTAATAAACATTGTCAAAAGAATCGATACTGTTTGCCTTATGTTTTCAATTACCAAAATTCATTGGGAAACTTATTTAGGAGCTAAGTGTCGGCCACCACTAGAAGACATTACTTCTCTTTGTTACAGTTAAGTTGAGGAGACCAAAAAGGGATCCAGGGACATAAAAAAGCAATAACCAAACAAGTGAGGAGGTTTGTATATGCAGATTGCCTTTCATTGGAGTGTGAGTTTTGTGAGGAATCACATTTTATACAAATGAATATGTTGATAGAACCACTTTTATTCCAAAGTTCCAAGAGGAAATTGCAGAAACCAGTCTGAGTCCATCACCAAAGGAAGTCTTGCAAGATGAGGGGCAGAAGAAGTGAGCCTAGAAGGATGGACTTGCTGAACTTCTGTTTATCCTCCAAGATGTGATTAGTCTTCATAGAACTCCATAGAAGTTCAGGAAGCAAGGAGGTAATGGGGAAAGGAGAGGGCATGGGAGAGCTAGCCTTTCTGGGCAAAGAGAATGGGTAAGCAGAGTTACAGAGGCATAAAATAGCCTGGGAGCCGCAAGTAGTTCTACATGACTGGAGAGTAGGGTAGGGTTTAAGGGGAGCAGAGGCTGGAGATGGGGCCAGAAGGATAGGCAAGCACCAGATATTTGGACTTTATCCGTTGAGCAGTGGGAAGGCTTCCAAGGGTTTTAAATAGAGGAATAACTTGCTTAAACTTGCTTTTTTAGCAATTTGACTTTAGCAGCAGTGTGGAGGATGGATTGGAAGTGGACCGGAGGAGATCAGTTGAGGCTGTCGTGGTTGTTAAAGATCATGTGAGATTCCTCATAAGTGCTAGTAAATTAAATTTAAGAAAAGGGATGGATTTTCAATAGATCTTTAAAACACTTGTTATAATTTCTGTTTCAAAGCAAAAATAAAAGTGGATGGGGGAAATGTATGAAGGGAAAAAATGTTGATGGGAGTTTTATTTAAGAGATGAGAAATGTGAAAAACTGAGAGGTTACTGGTGTTGTATTGAGACCGAATTATAGCCATTTGTATCCATTTTCTACTTCTTGTGTTGATGAGCCAGCCAGATCTTAGAAATCTAGATTGCATGGTAAAGTGGAAATTTAGTTTCAGTTTACTAAACAGTATACCTCTGAGCACAAACTAAGCCACCTTTTTTTGGAGGGTTGGTATATAAATTACAAATATGTTGACTAAAACCTGTAAAATTATAGTTTAGAACTTATTTGGGAAGCTCACGAAAGGTTTGGAAATACCATAATGAATAATTCTGAGAATAGCAGACCTTTGTAGTTTTTTTCTCCTGAATTTGCCTTGAGAGACTAATCACTGATAGTTTGCCAGTTTCTCCATATTTCTCAGAGGTCCCCAAGAATCTCTGGCAATCTCTTGTCTTTAAGGGTATTTTTTGGGATATTGAGTTGCCTGTGTCTCACTTTTCTTTTCTATCTTATGCTTCCTGGGAATGGACCCTTGCAACGCCATTCCTCAACTTGCCACCAGTAATTCTTTCTAGTGCTCTCGCACTCACGCTCTCTCTCTCTCTCTGTGTGTGTGTACACTATATTGCTAGAGGAAAGAATATATACCTATATATATGTGTGTATACACACACACACACACACACACACAGAACACTATATAGCATCTGTTGATTGTCTTTTTCTTTGAGAATGAATCAGATTTTCTTAGCCTTTTTTTAGAGGATTAATTTTAGATTATATGTTCAACATTTTGAATGCTGTGTTGTAAGATTCTGGTTTCTGTTATCTTGATCCAAAGTATGTTGAATATTTTCCTTTGTAAGCAGGCATTTAACATGGTTAGACTCAAGCTGCAGCCTCTGTTATGCCTGCAATAGATGGTGACTCAGATCTAATTTCAGGCCGCCTTGAGTCTGGCCTGTACATATATGGCTCCTTGGTTAGCCAGATACTTATATAGTATTTCTATAAAATTTTGGGTTCTCCTTCTGTGGCCCTCTTCTTTCCAGGGTTCCTCTTTCTCTCTCTGGTAGCCTATGTTGCCTTGGGCCCTGGTTTCTTCTGACAGAAGGATGGCAGATTTTTCTACTGGAGTTTCAGCCTCCACATGCTGTGGCCACAGTAGGTGGTGGCTCTTCTCACAGATTATACTAATTTTGGTCTGTCCCATGCACATGTGCTTCAGGGGTCTAAAACTTGGGCAGACTTTTTATATAGAATTTGATGTTCTCCTTCTCTTGGTCTCTCTTTTCCATGGTTTTCCCTCACTATCCGGGGGCTCTGGTTTCTGAGTTCCTTCTGTTGGTTCTACAGGCCATTTAGATGTTTTATTTTTTTAATGGGAGCTTAGCTGCCCAGCACCACGATCACCATGGTCCTCAGGGAAAAGCTGCAAAACCCTGAAATTTGCCCCACGCCAGTCACTTCCACAGTTGAGACTTCCCTCCCAAACATGGCCGGTTTTGGTCACTTGCCAGAGCCCTCAGGTAATTGTTTTTCATATGTTGTCCAACGTTGTTATTTGTGGAAGGATTAATTTGTTAGAAGCTTATCCTTCCATATGAAACCTGCAATGATTTTTTCTTCAAGTGCTTTTTATCTCAGTAACTTCTAAGTAGGAGGAATGAATTGAATGACTTCTTAGTTCATTTTTAACTAGTATGATTCCTTGAGTCTAAAATTACATTTACTGAAGAGAGCCAGATGTCCTGTTTTGGCTGCCATTCTTGAGTACACAGGTATTTAGAGAAGCATCCTTGGTGTTTGCTAACCTGGGAAGGTATATCATTCATGGTTCTCCAGAGAAAGGAAACCATTAGATATATATAGATATGTAGAAAGAGATTTATTATGAGGGATTGGCTTACACAGCATTGGAAGTTGAGAGTCCCATGATCTACTGTTGGTCAGTTGGAGGCCCAAGAAAGTGAGTAGTGTAGCTCCAGTCCAGTGGGCCTGGAGGATTGAGAATTGGGAGTTTATGTCTGAGGGCAAGAAAGAGGGAAGTCCCAGCTACAGAAGAGAGTTTAATTCACCCTTCCTCTGCCTTTTGTTTTTATTTCGGCCCTAAATGGCCCACTCACATAAGGAAGAGCCATCTTCTTTACTCAGCTTACCAATTAAAATGCTAATCTCTTCCAGAAACACCCTCAGAGATACACCCAGAAATAATGTTTACCCACTTTCCGGATATCCCTTACTCTAGTTAAGTTGACACATACAATTAACCGTCGCTCTCATCTTTTCCTACTTTTCTCCTTCTTGTGGTATTTCTATTTTTTATTCCTTTTAAACAAGACAGTGGAGTGAGAAGGTTGCTGGGGAATACCAGCTGAATTTCAGTAACCTCATGTACACTGCTTTGCCAGAAGGAGTCCTGTTCCATGGGTATACTCTGTGGTTCCTGCAGGGAATCTTCTCAGCTCTGCAATAGGAGTCTGACGGAAAGGAAAACAAATTGACACTTCACAGCGCCCCAGAAGGAGGCCAATAGGATGACTCTTCTCTGCATGACTTTCTCTACTTTTTTCATCTGTCTTTCCATCTCTTTTCCCTTTTTTGTTTATTATGCTTCTACTCATTCTGATTATTAATTTTATTAAATTCATATTCAAAATATCAAAATATCTTACTCTTAGCAAATAAAACATGATTTTATGTTTTAAATTGTTTAATCTGTAATCTAGGTATAGTATAATTCAAGGTAGATGTCAAGGTAGATGTCAAGGTAGATGTTACGTTCCTTATAGTACCTTGCCTTTTCCCAATTTGTATGGTAGTTGAAAGTAGCATGACAAAACAGGAATAAATAAAGCAAAAAGCCTATGAAATTTCCCAACTACTTAACAATCAAAATAATCAGGCGAAATGATAAGGAAAATAATCTTTTTATCTGTTAATTCCTGTTGATCATTGTATTCGTTCTCACACTGCTATTAAGATACTACCTGAGGCTGGGTAATTTATAAAGAAAGAAGGTTTATTTGACTGACAGTTCCACATTGCTTGGGAGGCCTCAGGAAACTTATAGTCATGGTGGAAGGTGAGGGAAAAGCAAGTACCTTCTTCACAAAGCAGCAGGAGAGAGAGAGAATGCAGGGGAAACTGCCACCTTTAAAACTATCAGATCTCATGAGAACTCCCTCACTATGAGAACAGCATGGGGGAAACTGCCCCCATGATCCAATCACCTCCCACCAGGTCCCTCCCTTGACACGTGGGGATTACAATTCTAGGTAAGATTTGGGTGGAGACACAGCCAAACCATATCAATTATTTATAGGTTCTTTGTTTTTGGTCTTCATTTTGCTCTTTTTTTTGGTAACATGGATGTTGCAAAGGGCTTTATGCAAGATGGGAAAGCTTGGGTAACAGAATTTCAAATGTTTTACTCTAAGATTATTAGTTGGCCTCTAAAATTTAGTCTGAAAGGGTGAACATTGAAGGAAATAGACTAAAGAATGTGTACTTTTTCATGCTCAGATGGTGTATTAAGATTCTCCAGAGAAATTTGTGTGTGTGTATGTGTGTGTGTATGTATGTATAAATAAATTTATTACAAGTAATAGGCTTCTGTGTATATGGAGGCTGGCAAGTCCAGTATCTGCAGAGGCAGTATCCTAGTTTGACTCTGAAGGCTGGAAGCTGCTTATAGAACCAGGAAGAAGTGATGTTGCAGTTGGCAGGAGAATTCTCTCTTGCTTTTCGGAGGTCAGTCTTTCATTCTTTTCAGGCTTTCACCTGATTGGATGGGGCCCACCTGCACATGGAAGACAATCTGCTGTACTCAGTCCAATGACTTAAATGTTAATCTCATTAAAAAACACCCTCACAGAAATGCCCAGAATAATGTTTGACCAAATATCTGGGTACCTCATAGCCCAGTCAAGTTGGCACATTAACCCTCATAGGTGATGGGCATGTTTCTTTGTAGAAGAGATTATACCCTAATTCAGGAACACTCTGTGGACTTATTCAGAATCACCAAAAATGTTGTGGAGGTGTATAGGGGAGAAGATGTGAAAAATTAGCTTTTAGCACTGTTGATTGCTTCCTCCTCCTAAAAACTTCCTCCTCCTTGTTTCCCTGATTCTCTTTCTACCTCTCTGAATACTCCCTAGGTTTCTGTACAGGATCTTTTAATATCCAGATTTAGACTGTGTACTATAGTGCATGGCAGATAGAGGAGTAGAGAAAAAATTGACTTTCCTGAAAAGCTTCCACAGTGGAACTTTATTATTTGGTTTGGAGATTTTGGAATTCAAAAAGTGCAAGGAAGGCCATATTCCAAAGACAATTGGAATGGGTTTTGGATGATCTCTTGGTATATTCCCGTTGACTTCTATTTTAGACAAATGTGGCTTTTTCTTTTGTGGAGATTTCTGAAATAATCTGGAGTTTTTATTTACGTTTTTTTTGTTGTTGTTGTTCATTTCTTAACCAAGAAAAGTCTATTCTTCTGGATGGAAGGTTGTTGAGATTTCAACCCTCAAGAGTCACTATAATATTGGTAAAAATAATCTCTCATAGGTCTCAGCTTCCTTGTCTGTAGAGGGGAGTGAATGGAGTAGATTAACATGGAAGTTGCTTTCACTTTTGAGTCGATGATTAGGAGGACATTAGGGAACTTTGATAAGGCTATTTTAGTAGAGGATTTGAAGCCGAAGCATATATTTTCTGAGGGAAGAAGGAGGAGGCAATGGAAGTGAACTACATATTTAGGCAGCTTGACTAGAAAAAGGAAAGAAATATGATAAAGGAGGAAGCATGATCAAGATACATTCTTCAAAATATCAGAAGATCTTTGCTTTTTTGAAGGCATAAAGCAAGGGACCAAAGAAAAGGGAAAACTTGAAATGTCGAGTTGTAGGATGATTGAGCAAACAAGATCTTGGTAGAGGTTGGGAGATGGGTTAAAGCAAGGATGGGGCTTACCCTGCTTTCTGTGGTGTTGGAGAGAAGGGGAAAGGATAGGTGAAAAAGTGGATACTCTGAGATGGTTGGGGGAGAATTCCTTCAATTTAGTCTAATAAAGATAAAAAATGAGGTGTTTGCCAAAGGTTGGAAGGGTGTGATAGGAGTTCAGTTTAAGAATAATGAATCTGGGGGAGGAGCCAAGATGGCCGAATAGGAACAGCTCCGGTCTACAGCTCCCAGCGTGAGCGACGCAGAAGACGGGTGATTTCTGCATTTCCATCTGAGGTACCGGGTTCATCTCACTAGGGAGTGCCAGACAGTGGGCGCAGGCCAGTGAGTGCGCGCACCGTGCGCGAGCCGAAGCAGGGCGAGGCATTGCCTCACCTGGGAAGCGCAAGGGGTCAGGGAGTTCTCTTTCCGAGTCAAAGAAAGGGGTGACGGACGCACCTGGAAAATCGGGTCACTCCCACCCGAATATTGCGCTTTTCAGACCGGCTTAAAAAACGGCGCACCACGAGACTATATCCCACACCTGGCTCGGAGGGTCCTACGCCCACGGAGTCTCGCTGATTGCTAGCACAGCAGTCTGAGATCAAACTGCAAGGCGGCAGCGAGGCTGGGGGAGGGGCGCCCACCATTGCCCAGGCTTGCTTAGGTAAACAAAGCAGCCGGGAAGCTCCAACTGGGTGGAGCCCACCACAGCTCAAGGAGGCCTGCCTGCCTCTGTAGGCTCCACCTCTGGGGGCAGGGCACAGACAAACAAAAAGACAGCAGTAACCTCTGCACACTTAAATGTCCCTGTCTGACAGCTTTGAAGAGAGCAGTGGTTCTCCCAGCACGCAGCTGGAGATCTGAGAACGGGCAGACTGCCTCCTCAAGTGGGTCCCTGACCCCTGAACCCCGAGCAGCCTAACTGGGAGGCACCCCCCAGCAGGGGCACAGTGACACCTCACACTGCAGGGTATTCCAACAGACCTGCAGCTGAGGGTCCTGTCTGTTAGAAGGAAAACTAACAAACAGAAAGGACATCCACACCGAAAACCCATCTGTACATCACCATCATCAAAGACCAAAAGTAGATAAAACCACAAAGATGGGGAAAAAACAGAACAGAAAAACTGGAAACTCTAAAATGCAGAGCGCCTCTCCTCCTCCAAAGGAGCGCAGTTCCTCAGCAGCAACGGAACAAAGCTGGATGGAGAATGATTTTGACGAGCTGAGAGAAGAAGGCTTCAGACGATCAAATTACTCTGAGCTACGGGAGGACATTCAAACCAAAGGCAAAGAAGTGGAAAACTTTGAAAAAAATTTAGAAGAATGTATAACTAGAATAACCAATACAGAGAAGTGCTTAAAGGAGCTGATGGAGCTGAAAACCAAGGCTCGAGAACTACGTGAAGAATGCAGAAGCCTCAGGAGCCGATGCGATCAACTGGAAGAAAGGGTATCAGCGATGGAAGATGAAATGAATGAAAAGAAGCGAGAAGGGAAGTTTAGAGAAAAAAGAATAAAAAGAAACGAGCAAAGCCTCCAAGAAATATGGGACTATGTGAAAAGACCAAATCTACGTCTGATTGGTGTACCTGAAAGTGATGCGGAGAATGGAACCAAGTTGGAAAACACTCTGCAGGATATTATCCAGGAGAACTTCCCCAATCTAGCAAGGCAGGCCAACGTTCAGATTCAGGAAATACAGAGAACGCCACAAAGATACTCCTCGAGAAGAACAACTCCAAGACACATAATTGTCAGATTCACCAAAGTTGAAATGAAGGAAAAAGTGTTAAGGGCAGCCAGAGAGAAAGGTCGGGTTACCCTCAAAGGGAAGCCCATCAGACTAACAGCGGATCTCTCGGCAGAAACCCTACAAGCCAGAAGAGAGTGGGGGCCGATATTCAACATTCTTAAAGAAAAGAATTTTCAACCCAGAATTTCATATCCAGCCAAACTAAGCTTCATAAGTGAAGGAGAAATAAAATACTTTACAGACAAGCAAATGCTGAGAGATTTTGTCACCACCAGGCCTGCCCTAAAAGAGCTCCTGAAGGAAGTGCTAAACATGGAAAGGAACAACCGGTACCAGCCGCTGCAAAATCATGCCAAAATGTAAAGACCATCGAGACTAGGAAGAAACTGCATCAACTAACGAGCAAAATCACCAGCTAACATCATAATGACAGGATTAAATTCACACATAACACTATTAACTTTAAATGTAAATGGACTAAATGCTCCAATTAAAAGACACAGACTGGCGAGTTGGATAAAGAGTCAAGACCCATCAGTGTGCTGTATTCAGGAAACCCATCTCACGTGCAGAGACACACATAGGCTCAAAATAAAAGGGTGGAGGAAGATCTACCAAGCAAATGGAAAACAAAAAAAGGCAGGGGTTGCAATCCTAGTCTCTGATAAAACAGACTTTAAACCAACAAAGATCAAAAGAGACAAAGAAGGCCATTACATAATGGTAAAGGGATCAATTCAACAAGAGGAGCTAACTATCCTAAACATATATGCACCCAATACAGGAGCACCCTGATTCATAAAGCAAGTCCTGAGTGACCTACAAAGAGACTTAGACTCCCAAACATTAATAATGGGAGACTTTAACACCCCACTGTCAACATTGGACAGATCAACGAGACAGGAAGTCAACAAGGATACCCAGGAATTGAACTCAGCTCTGCACCAAGCGCACCTAATAGACATCTACAGAACTCTCCACCCCAAATCAACAGAATATACATTTTTTTCAGCACCACACCACACCTATTCCAAAATTGACCACATAGTTGGAAGTAAAACTCTCCTCAGCAAATGTGACAGAACAGAAATTATAACAAACTATCTCTCAGACCACAGTGCAATCAAACTAGAACTCAGGATTAAGAATCTCACTCAAAGCCGCTCAACTACATGGAAACTGAACAACCTGCTCCTGAATGACTACTGGGTACATAACGAAATGAAGGCAGAAATAAAGATGTTCTTTGAAACCAACGAGAACAAAGACACAACATACCAGAATCTCTGGGACACATTCAAAGCAGTGTGTAGAGGGAAATTTATAGCACTAAATGCCCACAAGAGAAAGCAGGAAAGATCCAAAATTGACACCCTAACATCACAATTAAAAGAACTAGAAAAGCAAGAGTAAACACATTCAAAAGCTAGCAGAAGGCAAGAAATAACTAAAATCAGAGCAGAACTGAAGGAAATAGTGACACACAAAACCCTTCAAAAAATCAATGAATCCAGGAGCTGGTTTTTTGAAAGGATCAACAAAATTGATAGACCGCTAGCAAGACTAATAAAGAAAAAAAGAGAGAAGAATCAAATAGACACAATAAAAAATGATAAAGGGGTATCACCACCGATCCCACAGAAATACAAACTACCATCAGAGAATACTACAAACACCTCTACACAAATAAACTAGAAAATCTAGAAGAAATGGATACATTCCTCGACACATACACTCTCCCAAGACTAAACCAGGAAGAAGTTGAATCTCTGAATAGACCAATAACAGGAGCTGAAATTGTGGCAATAATCAATAGTTTACCAACCAAAAAGAGTCCAGGACCAGATGGATTCACAGCCGAATTCTACCAGAGGTACAAGGAGGAACTGGTACCATTCCTTCTGAACCTATTCCAATCAATAAAAAAAGAGGGAATCCTCCCTAACTCATTTTATGAGGCCAACATCATTCTGATACCAAAGCCGGGCAGAGACACAACCAAAAAAGAGAATATTAGACCAATATCCTTGATGAATATCGATGCAAAAATCCTCAATAAAATACTGGCAAACTGAATCCAGCAGCACATCAAAAAGCTTATCCACCATGATCAAGTGGGCTTCATCCCTGGGATGCAAGGCTGGTTCAATATACGCAAATCAATAAATGTAATCCAGCATATAAAGAGAGCCAAAGACAAAAACCACATGATTATCTCAATAGATGCAGAAAAAGCCTTTGACAAAATTCAACAACCCTTCATGCTAAAAACTCTCAATAAATTAAGTATTGATGGGACATATTTCAAAATAATAAGAGCTATCTATAACAAACCCACAGCCAATATCATACTGAATGGGCAAAAACTGGAAGCATTCCCTTTGAAAACAGGGATGCCCTCTCTTACCGCTCCTATTCAACATAGTGTTGGAAGTTCTGGCCAGGGCAATCAGGCAGGAGAAGGAAATAAAAGGTATTCAATTAGGAAAAGAGGAAGTCAAATTGTCCCTGTTTGCAGACGACATGATTGTTTATCTGGAAAACCCCATCGTCTCAGCCCAAAATCTCCTTAAGCTGATAAGCAACTTCAGCAAAGTCTCAGGATACAAAATCAATGTACAAAAATCACAAGCATTCTTATACACCAACAACAGACAAACAGAGAGCCAAATCATGAGTGAACTCCCATTCACAATTGCTTCAAAGAGAATAAAATACCTAGGAATCCAACTTACAAGGGATGTGAAGGACCTCTTTGAGGAGAACTACAAACCACTGCTCAATGAAATAAAAGAGGATACAAACAAATGGAAGAACATTCCATGCTCATGGGTAGGAAGAATCAATATCGTGAAAATGGCCATACTGCCCAAGGTAATTTACAGATTCAATGCCATCCCCATCAAGCTACCAATGACTTTCTTCACAGAATTGGAAAAAACTACTTTAAAGTTCATATGGAACCAAAAAAGAGCCCGCATCACCAAGTCAATCCTAAGCCAAAAGAACAAAGCTGGAGGCATCACACTACCTGACTTCAAACTATACTACAAGGCTACAGTAACCAAAACAGCATGGTACTGGTACCAAAACAGAGATATAGATCAATGGAACAGAACAGAGCCCTCAGAAATAATGCCGCATACCTACAACTATCTGATCTTTGACAAACCTGAGAAAAACAAGCAATGGGGAAAGGATTCCCTATTTAATAAATGGTGCTGGGAAAACTGGCTAGCCATATGTAGAAAGCTGAAACTGGATCCCTTCCTTACACCTTATAGAAAAATCAATTCAAGATGGATTAAAGATTTAAATGTTAGACCTAAAACCATAAAAACCCTAGAAGAAAACCTAGGCATTACCATTCAGGACATAGGCGTGGGCAAGGACTTCATGTCCAAAACACCAAAAGCAATGGCAACAAAAGCCAAAATTGACAAATGGGACCTAATTAAACTAAAGAGCTTCTGCACAGCAAAAGAAAGTACCATCAGAGTGAACAGGCAACCTACAACATGGGAGAAAATTTTCACAACCTACTCATCTGACAAAGGGCTAATATCCAGAATCTACAAAGAACTCAAACAAATTTACAAGAAAAAAACAAACAACCCCATCAAAAAGTGGGTGAAGGACATGAACAGACACTTCTCAAAAGAAGACATTTATGCAGCCAAAAAACACATGAAAAAATGCTCATCATCACTGGCCATCAGAGAAATGCAAATCAAAACCACTATGAGATATCATCTCACACCAGTTAGAATGGCAATCATTAAAAAGTTAGGAAACAACAGGTGCTGGAGAGGATGTGGAGAAATAGGAACACTTTTACACTGTTGGTGGGACTGTAAACTAGTTCAACCATTGTGGAAGTCAGTGTGGCGATTCCTCAGGGATCTAGAACTAGAAATACCATTTGACCCAGCCATCCCATTACTGGGTATATACCCAAAGGACTATAAATCATGCTGCTATAAAGACACATGCACACTTATGTTTATTGCGGCATTATTCACAATAGCAAAGACTTGGAACCAACCCAAATGTCCAACAACGATAGACTGGATTAAGAAAATGTGGCACATATACACCATGGAATACTATGCAGCCATAAAAAATGATGAGTTCATGTCCTTTGTAGGGACATGGATGAAACTGGAAACCATCATTCTCAGTAAACTATCACAAGAACAAAAAACCAAACACTGCATATTCTCACTCATAGATGGGAATTGAACAATGAGATCACATGGACACAGGAAGGGGAATATCACACTCTGGGGACTGTTGTGGGGTGGGGGGAGGGGGGAGGGATAGCATTGGGAGATATACCTAATGCTAGATGACGAGTTAGTGGGTGCAGCGCACCAGCATGGCACATGTATACATATGTAACTAACCTGCACAATGTGCACATGTACCCTAAAACTTAAAGTATAATAAAAAAAAAAAAAAAAGAAAACCTGGGGCCAGAAAAAAACAAAAACTAAAGCAAAAAACAAATATCTTTTGAGTTACCACTGCGTGCCAGGTTCTGTTCTGGGCTCAGGAAGTACACTAGAAGCCAAGCAAAAAGAAGTTCCCTGCCCATGTGGAATTTACATTCTATTGGCAAAAGACAGAAAATAAATATAAGTAAGTAAATTATATAAAATATTAGAGGACGGCAAGTACTATGAAAAAAATTAAAACAGAAAGAAATATGGAGAGGAAAGGGATTATTATAATTTAACATAACATGACAAGGGTAGGCTTAAATGACTAAGTGCCAATTGAAGGATATAGGCGAATTGAAGGATGCAGCCATGCAGACATCTAGGGGAAGGACATTTCAGACAGAGAGACAGCCAGTACAAAGGTCCTGAGGTGGAAGCATGCTTGGCATGATTGAAGAACAGCAAAAACACTGCTGGAGAAACAGTCAGAATAGGCAAGGAATATTATAGAAAATATGGTTGCTGGGCAATGAAAGAGCAGACAGCACAGAACCTTGTGAGGATTTTGGCTTTTACTTTGGGTGAAACAAAGGGCCATTGAAGAGATTACAACCGAGTGATATGATCTAAAGCTAGATTTGAACAGAGGCACTCTGGCTAATATATTAGGATTCAACTTCAAGGGGACAGGAAGATGAGTTAAGAGTGACCTGTTTGCCCAGAATAATTTTGGGCAATGTGTTTCAATGCAATTGTTAATGCCCTTCTCCCTTTGAGTCTTCAAAATTATCATCCTGATTAAGAGGACACACTACTGGAATAATTCAGATGAGAAATGATGATGGTATGACACAGATTAATAATGATGAAAGAGAAGTGGTTTGATTCAAAATATATTTGGATGGGAGAACCTACAGGATTTCTTGGTGGATCTGATGCATGCCATACGAAAAAAAAAAAAGAATAGTCAAGGATGACTAAGATATTTGGGTCCTAGCAACTGGAAGGACAGAGTTGCCATTAAATACGATAGAATAGACTTTGCAGAAGTCCCAGAGTCTCATTTGAGGCGTGCAAACTCTGAGCAATCTCTTAGATTTCCCAGAAGGGTGTCAATTAGGCAGTTGGAAATATGACTGGAGTTCCAAAGGGAGATCTGGCCTGGAGGTATAAGTTTGTGAATCAAGAGTGCACAGATGGAATTAAAAGCTATAAGATTAGAAAGAATCATCAAATAATATGAGTGTGGAAAGAGGAGAGGTCCAAGGACAGAGTCCTAAAGAGCCTAGATGGTAGAAAAAGAGTAGAATCCAGCAAAGGAGATTGAGAAGAGCAGCCAGAGAGGTAGGAGGACAACCAGGCATTTCTTCATATTTACAATAAATGGGTTGCACTACACCACCAAAAAAAAAAAAAAAAAAAAAAGAATAATGAATCTTTGGAAGAGCTTTTAAAGCCAATCTGTCAGGAACTTAGTGAGGGATGAATAGTGGGAGTATCTATTTGAATTTAGATGGTTAATTGAGAAGCCAACCATTTTTGTTCATCTTGTTTTACATTGTTGATTTTTGTTTTCCAACAACTCTGGGTGTCGGTTGCTGGTACTCTAGTCATCTTGCTTTGTTCTCAACTTTTTTGGACCCAAGACCTTATTTCTGAAGAATGCTCTATGAATTATTTTTTAAAAAGCATTCTGTCATTTTGGGTCTATAAAAGATAACGTGAATAAGATATGGATTTTAAATGGATATTGTATTATTAAGTAGTGTTATGAAGTTTATTTTAATATATGATTTAATATAGCATTATGAATGAAGAGACATTTTGACTTTTCATTTAACAAGTGACATACAGTGCAATGAGAAAAATTGAATATTTTCAAAATTTTTTGCTCAGTCACTTACAAGGATATGTCAAGAACCTTATGTTTGCTGCCTTTTTCCTGTAGTCCTGAAGAGTGAAGGAACCCATTGTTGTTGCTGTTTCAACCATTGATGGAACATCTGAAGGGTTTGGGATGAAATTAACTCTAGAATTTTATATGTCATATTACTCAATGGAGTACATAGTGAGAAGTTTTAAGAGAAGACATAATTATAGCAGTTTCTTTCCACATTGGTTTTATCTGTGTAATTATATATAACCTAGTCATTGAGCAATATGTTTTCGAAAGTATTCATTTCTTTTCAAGTACTCTTATACATGGTTCACTTTTTAAAAATGTTATTTATTTTGACCATTTCTTTCTTAGCTAATATATTTATATGGCTCAAATTTCAAAAAAAGTAAGATATTTATTAGTAAGTTTTTCTCATATCCTGGCCCCATTCACTCGATTTGTTTCCCCACAGGGCATTAGTATTGTCAGATTTTTTTTTTAAAGTATAATTCTAGAGTTATATTACCCATATACAGTCTAATATATTTACATATTCCCCAGTGCACCCCCATTTCCTACACAAGTAGTAGCACAGTTATACCCATTTCCTTATTATTAAAAAATTTTTTCATAACATTTCATTGTATGGATGTAACATAACTTGCACCCTGTATTGATGAATACTTAGATGGTTTCCACTGTTTTACTATTATAAACAATGCCAAAATGAATAACTTTGTACATACTGTTTTACAATGTAAAGGTTGCTTAATTTAACCGCATAAAATAGATACCATTTGTCAACTTTTAAAATCACATGCTTTTGGGAATGAGCGTAGATTAAAGGGCAAATTGAAATTTAAGGTTATATTGAGGCATCAAAAATAAATAAAAACCTTAGTCTGTCACCCAGCAGTTGAAAGTCTTGTATTTTCTCCTTATTTATAAAAAATAGTTTTGGGGCTTTCTTTTAAAATACAGTAAAATATGACATATTTGAAATTGCTATTTGCAAACTTTTTTTTTTTTTGCAAATAATACTTTGTGGGTGCAGATAATACTTATTCACCATAAATGAAAGAAGTCAGTTTGATGTTATGTTTGCTGCGTTTTCATTTTTTCTTTTTTTTCCCCCCCAATGGATTTTGAAGTATTGGAGACATTTTTAAGTCTTAAGAAATTTGATCAGATAATGCAATATACAGAGCTGGTAAAAGTCATCTTGAGTTGAAGTTTCAGGATTTAACATTTATGTTCCTTATTGACTTCAACAATTCTAATATTTCTTGTATTTAACCAGTAGTCCTTTATAGATATAAAACAATTGATTTAAAACCAAGTGTAAATCAGTGTAAAACCTTAGGATTGACAAAGTTACCAGGCTGTCACCTCTGATCACCTGAATAATAAACCAAACAATTAGGTCATAAGCCAACTCATCTGACACTTACTGTTGTACACATTCCCTGGATATGTAGGCAGAGGTTCTCAGAAGCTCTGTTTTAAAAGAAAATATATTATTATTTTATATATTGACTTAAAAATCAAAATAGAAGCGCCATTACCAGCTTACTAAACTTGAAGTGTTTGTATACAGTAGTTAAACACTGATGTTGGCAGAAATTAAGGAGGAAAAGGGATATTGGATATTATAATCAGTGTCTCTTACATGTGTCTTTGGAAAAGTAATGGTTACTTATTAGAAACCTGGAAGTTCTTAGCATTTGCCATGAACAGTACATTATATTAAATATTTTTGTGTAGTACTGTAGGAAATCTGCAATAAATTACAATTTTATTATTGTTTGAAAGTCCTCATAACAGTAACGTCCTAAGACAGCTATCTAGGGTCAGTAGAAGAGAGGAATGAAGGTAACTTTTGCATATGTTCTCTAAACTGTTAATTTTACCCAGACTGAGCAATTGCCTGGTATAGTTGTCAGAATACAGGCTTCTAGGCACCACCCTAGATGTGCTGTCTGAGAGTCAGGTAAGATTCATGATTAACTAATAGAGAAGTCATTTGGAAATTGGTGAGGACATCAGGGAGCCGGGGGAGGGGGGTGGTGTGGCTGGGGGGGGGCAGCAGAGGTGTTGTGAAAATAGTTTGAAGAAAGTGAGCAAATCACAGGCTTTGCTGCCAAATGGCTTCTGTAAAGATTCCACCACAAATCTAGTGCTAGGTCACTGGTTTCTGTGGTCCTTGAAATGCTGACCTAGACCTGACCCAGTGCTGCAGAATTCCAGATTAGAGAGACACTTTAATCTTTCTAAGAAGCTGAGCTTGCTTCAAGCTTTGTTAACTTAGTTTATGATTATCTAAAATAGTCTTAGTCCTGTTTACCGTAGATAACTCTACTTATTTAGTCCTGAAATAGTGATGCCAAATGTCAGTTTGGATTCAGGCTTCTACTACTGTTTAGCCCTGAAATAGTGAGGCCAAATGTCAGTTTGGATTCAGGATCCTATTACTGTTTAGTCCTGAAATAGTGAGGCCAAATGTCAGTTTGGATTCAGGCTCCTACTACCAGTTGCCATAGGGTCACCCCTTGCACATCCCATAGACACCTCAAATCCAAGAATCCTGAAATAAAACTCATCATCTTACTCTAGGCCTGATCCTTTCTTTTTTGTTCTTTTAAAAAATATTTATTGTCTACAGTGTATTAGGCACTGAGTGTCCCAAGATGAATAAAACAAGACATGTTCTCGGCCAGGCGCGGTGGCTCACGCCTGTAATCCCAGCACTTTGGGAGGCCGAGGCAGGCGGATCACAAGGTCAGGAGATCGAGATCACCCTGGCTTACACGGTGAAACCCCGTCTCTACTAAAAATACAAAAAATTAGCCAGGCATTGTGGCAAGCACCTGTGGTCCCAGCTGCTCAGGAGGCTGAGGCAGGAGAATGTCGTGAACCCGGGAGGCAGAGGTTGCAGTGAGCCGAGATCGCACCACTGCACTCCAGCCTAGGTGACAGAGCGAGACTCAAAAAAAACAAAAACAAAAACAAAAAAAAAACAAGACATGTTCTTTGTCTTTAAAGTGCAATGGGAATCCACGGAAGGGTTTTATGGTTTATAAAGCTCATTGTTGTGTGTAGAATGGTTTGGAGTGAGTCAAGGATAGTAGCAAGGAAACTGGATTAAGAGGCTGTTGTAGAAATCAAGGTATAAGATGATGGTGGCATGGAAGTAGCGTGGTAGCAGTGGTGATGGAAGTGGTGGATAAATGAAACAAATTTTGAAATTAGAATCAGTGACACTTGGTGATGGACTTAATGTATGGAATGTGTGGGAGTAGCTACCAGAGGTGATTCTGAGGCTTCTGTCTCAAGCACCAGCATAATCTGGTGCCATGTACTGAGATATGAAACTGCTAACACTGCTAACACTAACAGGTTTGACAAGGGGCAAGAGAGTTCAATTTTGGGAATTACTAAGTTTGAAGTATCTTTAGATAAGCCAAGTATCCCTGTCCATTTTATCAACCGAGTCATTTCCCTTCACCTAAACCATAACCTGCTTGCTGTCCATGCGTGGTGGCTCACGCCTGTAATCCCAGCACTTTGGGAGGCTGAGGCAGGTGGATTACCTGAGATCAGGAGTTTGAGAGCAGCTTGGCTAATATGGTGAAACTCTGTCTCTACTAAAAATACAAAAAATTAGCCAGGTGCAGTGGCTCACGCCTGTCATCCCAGCGCTTTGGGAGGCCGAGGCGGGCGGATCACGAGGTCAGATCGAGACCATCCTGGCTAACACAGTGAAACCCTGTCTACTAAAAATAAAAAAAAATTAGCGGGGCGTGGTGGCGGGCACCTGTAGTCCCAGCTACTCAGGAGGCTGAGGCAGGAGAATCGCTTGAACCCAGGAGGTGGAGGTTTCAGTGAGCTGAGATCATGCCATTGCACTCCAGCTTGGGCAACAGAGCGAGACTCTGTCTCAAAAATAAATAAATAAATAAATAAACAAGCAAACCATAAGCCCGGAAGTCATCCTTGATTCTGTCTTCATTCTTATGCTACATCTAGTCAGTCTTGAAATTCTGTCAGTTGTTTTTGTTTGGAGCTTTCTGGACTCTCTTTTCTTCTTTGTTGTTTTAGGTACTGATCATTTTATCCTGGACTATTAAACTAGCTTCTTAATTAATCTCCAGTCTTCCGTTATTATTAATACCTCTCTTTAGTTCAAAAATTTCCACACCATCTTCTGCTGAGCTGTCAGGGTTCTTCAGTTGTGGGGGCTAAACGGTGATCATTGCCTGTACAGGGCTCCAGGCCTTCCAGTGTTTCAACCAGAAGTGATTTGCTTTTTGCTTTCTTTCGTCTCGGGTTACTATGTAACATTGCATTTGAAAGCACATGAAAAGTGATTACTTAGGTGAATAAAACCTGGAGAACCCTTGTTCTAGTGAATCGTCATTCTGCAAATGATTGGCTAGGGTGATATTTCTAAAATAAATCTGATAATTTCATTCACCTGCTTAAAACCCTTCAAAGCCTCACTGTTGCCTTAGGAGAAGGTTTGAAATTTGTAGCATATGCATAGTCTAGCTTAATTCCCCAAACTCATCTTCTGACATTTTTTGCATGACGCTTAATTTTGTTTCCAAATTTCTTTCAGCCCTTCAAGCCGCTTTTCTATTACATAACCCCTTTTCATTGCCTTGACTGTGGCCTGCTTTCCTTCCTCCACGTTCTTCCCTGTACCATTCCTCTCCTGTCTACCAATCCTTTAAAGCCCTGCTCAGGTATTCTTACTCCTGTGAAACCTGTGTGGGTCATACTGAGATAAAATTAACTACTCCCTTCTCTGTAATATTTCTCTGCCGCCATGCTTATTCCTGTAGTTTGCACATGGTATACTGAACTGGAACCATGGGCATATGTATCTGTCTTAGACTTAACAAGCAGTGAACTCCTTGGGTATTAGGCCCACTATTTTCCTCTTCTCGTCTCATCTCTTCTCTCTTGACAAGGTCTAGGCTGGAGTGCAGTGGTGCGATCTTGAATCACTGCAGGCTCAACCTCCCAGGCTTAAGTGATCCTCCCATCTCAGCCTCCTGAGTAGCTGGGACTATAGTTGTGTGCCACCACACCTGGCTAATTTTGTTTATTTCTGGTAGAGATGAGGACTTACTATGTTGCCCCAGCTGGTCTCAAACTCCTGGGCTCAAGGGATTCTCCTGCCTCAGCCACCCAAAGTGCTAGGGTTACAGGCATGAGCCACTGTGCCCAGCCCCACTATTTCTTTTGTCTTTGTATTCTAGAGGTAGTCCTTAGCCAATTATGGGCCTCAATCAATGTTTACTGAAGTAAATGGAACCAAAATTGGCAGTAGGTGCTGCTAGGCTTCGGTAATTCTTAGGAATTCATAATGTTTAGGATGTATACATTGAGTTCTCTGGTGCCCCCAGAGCCAGCCCAACTCTAGATTAATGCTTGAGATATAGACACAGGTTGATAGGAGAATAATTGCTCTACTTCATATGTGCCTTTCCCCATCAGATATCAGGTAGCTTGAGGGACTGCTTTCAGAAGTGTGAAAAGGTTTGCAGTTTGGCACAATGCAAAACTATTTTATTGACATATAATTCATATACCACAACATTTACCAATGTACAGTGTACAATTTGATTGTTTGCAGTATGTTTAAAAAATTTATGCAGCGAGTACCATTATCTAATTTGAGAACATTTCCATCACTCTCCAGAAAGAAAACTTGTACCCATTAGTATTCACTTCCCACACCCTTGCACCCTCTCTCAGTCCTTGGAAACCTCTAATCTAGTTTCTATCTATATAGACTTGCCTTTTCTGAACATTTCTTATCAATGTAGTCATGCCACATGTGGTCTTTTGTGACTGGCTTCTTTCACTTTATATAATGTTTTCAAGGTTCATCCATGTTTTAGCGTTTATCACTACTTTATTGCTTTTTATTGCTGAATAATATTACATGTATGGATATATAACTTTTTATTTTTTCATTCATCAGTTGATGGACATTTGGGTTGTTGCTACTTTTTGGCTATCATGCTGTGAACACATATTCTATAAATATAGGTAAAAGTTTTTATGTGATATGTTTTTATTTATCTTGCATATATAACTAAAGGTGGAATTGCTTAGTAATTACAGAATTGGCAACTCTGTTTAATCGCCAAACTGTTTTCCAAAGTGACTGCACTCTTTTACATTCTCCACAGAATTGTCTGAAAGCTCCAGTTTCTCCATATCCTTGTTAACACTTGTTATTGTCTTTTAATTGTAGCCATTCTAATGGATTTGAAATAGTATCTTGTAGTTTTGCATTTTTATAATGATTAATGATACTGGACATCATTTCATGTCTTTGCCTATTTATTTACTTACTTATTTACTTACTTCATTGGGATCTTGCTCTGTTGCCCAGGCTGGAGTGCAGTGGCACCATCAAAGCTCACTGCATCCTTGAACTCTTGGGCTCAAATGATCCTCCCACATCAGCCTACTGTGAGTAGCTGGGACTACAGGTATGTGCCACCATGCCCAGCTAATTTTTAAATTTTTTGTAGAGACAGGGTCTTGCTATTTTCCCTAGGCTGGTCTTGAACTCTTGGCTTCAAGCAATTCTCCTGCCTTGGCCTCCCAAGGTGCTGGTATTCTAGATGTGATGCACCTGACCTTTATTTGTATTTTTGTTGCTGAATTTTAAGATTATTTATGCTGGATACAAATCCCTTGTGTATGACTTCCATTCTGTTGGCTCTCTTTTCACTTTTTCGGTAGTGTCACATTTGGAACACCAAAATTCTTAATTTTCATAAAGTTGAACCTCAATTTTTTTCTTTTATCACTTGTGCTTTTGACATTATATCTAGGAAATAAGTGCTTTAACTCCAGTGAAATTTCTTTTGCCTATTTCCTTGACATTTGTGTTTTTCAACACCAAGGTAGCCATGGAATAATTGTAACTTAATTAAGGGCCTGCAAACTTCTATAGTCGCAGGATCAGATTCATAAAACCAGATCCATAAGTCAGATAGGCCATAATTGTGTGTGTGCTTGGGGATTGGAGTGAGGTTGGTGATTATGTGCCCTGCTAGTCTTGAAGAGATATTTGCAAGAATCTGTTAATCTGGTGAATAAACACTTTTAAAATGTAGATTCAAATGTTGTATAAACAGACTTTGCACTTTTTGCTAAATGTTTAAAGAACGCCATCTAAATTAACTATGTGCTGAAATCTTGGACTACAGTTTAAACTTTATGTAATAAGAAATTTACAAAGGGAGAGTAGTTGGATAAAATTTATCAGTATAAGTTGATAACTGGGAGACTCATAACATCCAGACTTACCTTATGTCTGCTACGTGAGTTTTTCAAAATGTTAACAATAGTCATCTTTCTTATTTGTTTCATATTTTGGAATATAGGTTGTTTGTGATAATTTTTGGTACATTTCTCTTTTCTTCCTTTCAGTGCCAGTTAAAGGAATTACTAATTGTCTATTCTTGCTGGAAAGTACTGATTTCCATTTGAATATAACAGTCTTTTTGCTAAAACTTTCCTATGGTTGATTCGAGCAAATACAGAAGCCTTCTGTTTGTGGACTGAATGTTCAGCCAGCTGTGACGTAGTCACTATTATCAATGAAGCTTATTCATCACTTTCCATGCTGGTGCATTGTACGGGACTAGCAGAGGATCTTGGAGACTGAATGGAGAGCTTCTCCTTGCTTACCTCCATACACTGGTGGTATTAAGTGATTCTGTTCTCTATCTTTTCCAGACCTTGTGGATAATTAGATCTTTTTGTTTTCCATTGATTCCCAATAGTGTCTTGCAGATGGTAGGCACTGATTGAGAATTTGTTCATTTTCTAAATTAAAAAAATGGTAGTTAATGCTCTTAGGAGATAATTTTATGTTCTGTTCTCTTATACGTGAGCATTTATCTTATATCCATTGTCATTTTACAAAGGCAGAGGCTAATAATGTTTTTATGAAAGAAAATTAAGTGGCAGTTGATGATTTTATGTTAAAAGCTTATTACTCTTTAGGGAAATTAAACTTTTTAATATTTAATTTTGTATACTTGTTGAATATTTAGATTAAATTCACAGGTTAATTGTGGTATTTCACTTGAATAGATGCAGCTGTGGAGTACAAAAAGGCTTATTTATCCCAGTTCATGACTAGAATACAGTAGATGTTGTTATAAAACTAAGCCTGTTACATACTTTGGTAAAATCATGTGCCCTGAAATATAGTAGGCACTTATGAGAGCCTCATAAGACACGGTCAGACCACCATAACATAGATATTGGGCCTGCCCACAACAATAGTGTTATGATAAGTGGTGTTCCCTGTATGTGTTATGGTTAGTGGGGATACAGAATATCTGTGATGGAACAATAATTGAATTGTTTCTGACTCCGTCTAATTTTCTGTTGCATTTTAAAAAATACTCCCAGAAGAATGGTGTATGTTTGCCCAGTGCTTCCACTCTGGTCCTTTCTAAGTGAGTTTTATGGGCTCCCTAAGCCTGTGACCTGTATTTTTAGGAGATGCAATTCTCTGGATCTCTGTGGAATTTATATTGGATTTGAGAGGGCTGTGCATTCCTTAGAGACTAGGTAATTCCAGAGGAGCTGGTTGATTCAACGGATTTCATTCAAGGGACTTGTATTTTCCTTGGGAACATTTCAGGAAATATTCATTTCTTCCAATCAAGGAACTCTCCCTTCCTACCTACACATATATACATACCCTTGCCCTTTAGAGATTCCCTGAACCCACAGGATTTCTCTGGGTTGAAAAAATGAGTCTTGGTTTGAAATCTATTGAAATACTTCAGGTTTCTGTTGTCCAGAACTAACTTCTAGGTGGAGACCCTCAAGTTGCCCAGGGGTTAGAAACAGTGAAAGGGACTATATTGTTTCCCTTTGGATTTTCCATAGTGTCTACAATACTGCTCTGTACATAAAATGTGGAAAATAAATGTGTTGGCTATAACTCTTTATCCATTTTTCTTCTCCATTTATATATATGTGAATCTATGTAAGATTATTAAAACCCAAGATTTTTCTAGAATTTTGTATTTCATTCCCAGGTCTATCTCCTATCTCTCAGTTAACTTACTTAGCATCTTTATGTTTACTGATCTCCCCTTCATAACATCAGGACACTTAATTGAATTGAGTGAACAGAATCTAATTACAGATTCTGACCCATCTTAAGTAAGGCACATTATGCATCCATACTTTCAAAACATTTCTCTAAGCCATTCTTTCTTGCCTGTTTTCCTTGATATAATGCAGGTTCTCTTCACTTCACATCTAGGTTATTTCAGTATGTTCACAACTGGTCTGTATCCCTCCCTCTATTCTCTCTCCCTTTCAAATCTGTCTACCACACTGCTGTCAGAACAATGAAAACATAAATATATCCTTCTTTTGCTTATAAAACTCTTCAGTGGTTCCCTATTGCATTTTGGGGGAGAGTCCAAAGCCTGAACTGTAAAATCATGCCAGTCTCTGTGAATCTCTTTGTAACCTAACTTTCTGCACTTTTACTGTTTATTACTGTGCCTCAAAGTTTATTTTTATAAAAATACCATCCACTAGTATGACCCCGAGCCTTTGCAGATGCTCTTCCTCTGCCTGATACTTCTCCTTAATATGTCTGGAAAACCCCTGCTTATCCTTTGCTGCTAAAAAGTTATCTCCCCTTTAGAGCCTCTCTTAAATCCGAAAGGCCATTTCTTTTCATCTGTGTTTGTATAGTATAGTATAGAAAATAGTACTTCTGTTATGTCACTCTATTCATTGCTCCTTAAACTATTTTTGGGCTGATGATTTTGTAAAATGTAATAAAAATGAAATACTAGAAAAATGAAGTGTAAAAAACATAAGATAGCCTCATTTAAAAAATTGTTAGCTTCAACAGACCTAAAATTACTATTAAAATGCTATAAAGGGGCTGGGTGTGGTGGCTCATGCCTGTAATCTCAGCAGTTTGGGAGGCCGAGGCGGGCAGATCACGAGGTCAGGAGTTCGAGACCATCCTGGCTAACATGGTGAAACCCCGTGTCTTCTACTAAAAATACAAAAATTAGCTGGGCGTGGTGGTGGGCGCCTGTAGTCCCAGCTACTCAGGAGCCTGAGGCAGGAGAATGGCGTGAACCCGCGAGGCGGAGGTTGCAGTGAGCTGAGATTGCGCCACTGCACTCCAGCCTGGGTGACAGAGCGAGACTCAGTCTCAAAAAAAAAAAAATGCTATAAAGGTTTTCTATATATTTACTCTTAACGTGTGTATTTAGCCATCTTCTTGTGGATCAACAACCAACAATTCACAGGTCTGCACTGGTCCAGGGCCACATTTTGGGTAGCATTGCTTTGTAACATTTATCAAACAATTTTACAGTCCTTTGCTTGTGTATTTGCTCTTGCTTTCCTCACTAGACAAGGGTTGTGTCTGATTGATCTTGTGTTTTGTCTTCCCATCTTTTGTTCCCTCCTCTCAAAATCTTAGTTAAAATAGTTCATGACACAGGGTTAATCAGTAAATGTTTGTTGAATGAATTAAGGGTAGCATTGGTCTTATTACCCTATAATCACAACTGGCCTGCATTTCTTTGGGTAGGGTTTTCTTTTAGTTTATATGGGACTTAGAACTTCATGATGTCATAGTGAAAGTCTACTGGAGAAAGAGCTTTCTAACTCAGTCTGAAGTAGAGATATTAATGTTGTAACGTGCTTCAGTTTTGCTGATCTCTGAGAAACCTCACAGTTCAGGAAGGAGACATTTCCATATTATTAGCACAAGTGATAAAACAGTTCTTTGCTGTAGGAGAGGAGAATAGAACTCGTAGTGCCATTGAAGCAAGTTTTTTTTTAAGCAAATAGTTGCTTTGAGTTACAAATGCAATGCTTTTTTAAGCTTTTTGTTTTTACTGACAAACCACATGCAGATGCCATTCTGTCCTCCAAGTTTCCCACCCCGAGGACAGCCAGCTGCCATGCACTTCCCCCATCCTCATTCACAGATCATTAATCAAAGATCGTTAATCAATATGTCTTTAGAATCTGCAGTTTTGAAAGTCATATTCCCAGCTTCGGAAGGCTGCAACTTGCCCAATTTCCTGTGATTTTGGAAAAGTGTTCTGCTATGGTGGAAAGCGCTGGAAACCTGAGTTCCAGCCTAGGTTTTGCAACTAACTGTATGACTCTGGGCAGGTCATACTCCCTTTTTAACATGTGTCCTCATTTGAATTCCAGACTGAATTATCTCTAGGGTAGCTTTTTAACTCTTCCTTTTAGTCCTCACAGGGGTTAATTGACATTTGCTTGCTTTGCTTGTGGTCTTTTAACCCTGGCTAGTGATCTTCATACACTATCATGTACATACTGTGCCAGCAATTAGGATATTATATTGACATTCTCTTTGCTTTTTTTCCTCCTACAGTATACTGTACTTTCCTCAAAGATACCTTATTCATCTTTGTATTAGCTGCTCTTGGCCCAGTGTCTTAATTCATGCCCTATTAACGTTGGTTGACTTGAGCTGAACTCTGTCCCTTGCTTTTGCTTCAGACCTTTGTTTAGCAGTCTGCCTATCAGGTGAGAAAACTTGGATTGGTTGCATATTGATATCCAATTAATATATTACAGAACTGTTTAAGGTTGTAAAAGTAATAAAGCCCAGTTGGAGTAATGGTGATCAGTCATATGCATGTGTAAAACAGATGAAAGTTGTGGTTATTCATTCATTGTTCTCCTTAGGAAGGTCTTATTGATTATTAGCTTGTTGAAGGATCTGAGTTGGTATTCGTCTGTCTGTGCCTTCTTGGCTTCTGGCTGCAGGAAAAAAATATGTGAATTTTCTGCCCACAGACTGTCCAGCCCTGCCAAGGCAGCCTGCCAAATCTCAAGTCACATGCCTAGTGAATTGCTGCTACATTTTTTCTTCCTTGTCTTTTTCAAGGCTGCTGATGTTGGGCTCTTTGCCTGGTGTCCCTGAATCGTAGCCCTTTTAACTCTCTGAGTGATGAGCTCCAAACATTGTTTAGCAGCAGAAGCAATTTTTATTGGTACTAGATTACCTCCACTGACTAGGCCAGGCTTGTTTTTATGGCTCCACACTACTAGGCAGGACTTCTAGAAGTGTCAGGCTTTGGACTTGGTTTAGTCCTTACTCCTGAGCTTGAAGCCCTGATTCATACCACCTCATAGTTCTCAATGTCCACCATTTGTTCCCAGTGTCCCTAAACCTAGAATATATGTGGGTGTCGTGTGAGAGGCAGTTTGTCCTCACCCATTTCCTGGAGGAGAGGTGTTCTCATCCTCTGGGATGAACACAAGAAATAACCCTCACACTTATCTGGCCTCACTTTTCTAGTTAGGCATTCTATTTTGCATTCCATTCGCAGAGCTGAGCCTTGTACCTCTTTATAGTATCTTTCAAATACCAAAATGTGGAAGCACCATTAGGAAGGTTAGTACTTCCAGTTGTATTTGTAAGGATGGTGATGGATTTAACCTGAGCTTCCACACGTTTTCCTGGTCCATGTGTTTGTGAGATAGGTTGCAAGGGTTTAGTGGACAGATGTCTAGATAAATGAATCTAATTAGTGCCTAACCTTATGGAACTGCTAACCATAACTCTCCTTTACCGCTGTGTTCTAAGCAACAGCCATGGTCTTAGAGTGACCTCATTACCCAGAGTCACATATTCTGCTGAGGGATGTGGAGAAAAGAGGAAGTTGTGAGACTGGAGGAGAACTTAGAAAATTTTCTTTTATTTATTCTTTGTATTGCCTTTTCTTTTTGCTCAATTTCTGTGTTCTTCTCTTTCTTACCTGAGAAGCACTAGTGTATACATGTAAAACCTATATTTCAATATGAACCCATCCTTTCCAGCTAGAAAATCCTGGAAGGGTTTACTATCCCCTCTAAGCTGTAGTTTCCTTCTCTGTGAAAACAGACTATAGCCACTGCTTAACATGCATGGCTATATTACATATTAAATAACATGGTGAAAGTATGTACTTGGCACCATGCACTGCTGACCTGGAGAACACTTTAGTAAAAGCTCCTTTCCATTTTCCTGTTAAATTGAGCATACAAATTATTATTTACTATAAATTCCCCACTTGTGCCTATATTAGAAACTAACAGAAAATGTTACAGATAGTATAAAGCAGAAATTGAGGCACTTAATGAATAAAATTCAGTTCAGTTCAATGAACATTTATTGCATACCAGGCACTGTGAGTGGAGAAGGCAGCTTCTTTTAGAAATTTACAGTCTAATGAGGAAAACAGATGAGTGAATAGACATTTAAATGGGGTGCGATGGGTGCTTTAGAGGCATGACTGGTTCCTCTGCACGTAAGGTAGAGGGCACTTGCTCTCATTCAGCGGGAGAGGAGTGAGGGGTGGCACAAAGTCAGGGAGGTAAAGCAATGGATTTTTGAACTGTGGCTCCTTGAAGAGAGGGCGCACATTCCAGGCAGAGGGAAGTACATGAGGGAAGATAAAGTATGAAGTTGCCTAACAAGTGTAACTGCAAATTGTTCAGGCTTGCTTAATTGCAGTTTGTGACATGGCAAGTGGCAGGAGGGGAAGCTGTTAATGGCCAGCCCATGGAAGTCCTTTTTGTCGTGCTGAGAAACTTGACTTATATCCTATAAAGAATGGGGGCCATTCATTTCAAGGCTCTATACTGAGGTTGTGACAAGATCAAATTTGCATTTTTTAAGAATCACTCTGGTGCTGGTGCTCAGGAAGACAAGGGAGAAGGAGGAATAGACATATCAAGAAGCTGGTGCCAGGGGTTCAGAGGAGAGATGATAAGGGGCTAAACTGAAAGAGCAAATGGCAGAGGGATAAAGAGGAGGAGACTAATTGAGGAGACCAATTTAGGAGGTAAAATGAGTGATAGTTTCATTGTAAAGGATGAAAAAGTGTCAAGGGTGACTCTTAGGTTCTTTTGTTGGGTATATGTAATTGGAATGGCAAATAAAGATCAGATTTGGGGAAAAAGATGATCAATTCAGTTTCAGACAAATTGAATTTGTTCTGCTTGTGGGATGTTATCCAAGGGGAGGGAAGACCGGCAGCCAGTTTGATAGGTAGGTCTGGGGCTTCACAGAGGTCAAGGCCAGAAACACAGCTTTTGAACATTAGTCTTCACTGATGACAGTGACGTTAGAAACAACAAGTAGAATGATCCCCTTGTCTTTGCATTGTGACAGAGACAGAAATTTAGAATATGTCACAAATGAAGCTGTCGTTAAAAATATCCAGTAGATTCCCCCCTTCCCTCCTACCTCAGTTCTCTCATTAATGGAGATAGAATATTGTTATCTCCCTTTTCTCTTTCAATTCCCATAGTGCCTTTTGATTTGAGATATAGCTTTGAAATTAAACAAGATTGAATTTTGAAGGGTTTTAAATTTTAATGTGATACTTTACATAACTCCAAGCTGCATTTTAATGTGGCTCAGCATATATTCTGATGCCTCTGGGAGTGCTTTAAAGTAATTTATTATTATTATTATTTCATTATTAGATCTCAGACAGAAGTTTAGAGAAAATTATTAGAAAAAGTCCGGATGTATTCCTTAGGCTGTGGAAGGGATAAATGTAAATGCCTTGGTGGCAATGGCTTCTTATCTTCTCACATGACTCATCCTGCCTTTTCTTTCCTGGAAGGGCTCTGTGGTTTTAGATCAGAATCAAGGTGTCACTGAGTGGCAGCTTTCAGTCAGTTTTTGCAGCACTGCATTTTTGGGATAATCTTCTACACCTTCACCTTGCTCCCTTACCTTTCCCTCCTCTTGTCTCAGCGTGGAGGGTACACTTCATTTTATTTCAGGAGATCTTAGGAAATCATATTCTTGGATGTTCTTGATTTATTCCTTTACTTTCTATACATATTTTTCCTTAATTATCTTCTTGTCAATATTGAGATTTATGGTAACCTGTCTCTTCCTACCCTCTTTCATTTGAATTTACATGGAAAATCAGCCATTCTGTTCTGGCTCCCTTGAAATTATGGGTTTGTCTGTCTTCCTCCTTCCCTTCTTTCTATTTTTTTCTATCCATTAAGGTAAAACATCCCAGATCCAATCACTATACCCTACTCCCAATTCATATGTATCTTTTAAACCTCTTTAATGTTCTGGCTACATGACCAGCAGTTCTTTTCTTAGATACATTTTGTATTGACTGGGAGGTTCATGATCTCATATAGTTCATTTCATTTTCAGCAACATTAATTGTTGAAGGGCCTTCCTTACATAACATGGAGATATCATGATACATTAACCAATGTGCTTTGTGTCCCTGTTATTTTCTGCAACCTTCTGACGGCTTTGCTTTTTCTGGTTATAAGGGGAGGGGAAGGATACTTCAGCAGGATGTAAAAAAGAGGCAAATGTCTGTTTTTTTTTTTTTGAATTTCAGAAATTACAAAGCCTGAATCTGGCTATAAGACTGAGTTTGAAAAAACAAAAGTCAAGAAAAAAGATTTTATAGACTAGAAGAGGAAGGAGAGCTGGGTAGGGGGCTGAATGAATCTAGATAGTGGGATTGTATTTGAACCCCCTAGGAAGGTTTGATAAATTCTAGAGGAGAGTGGACTTCCCCCTACCATGACTTACCCCACCCACTGACGGAAGCTAAAAAAGCAGAAAGACCTGAGAGGAAATGTGCCAAGATTAAGTTTCTGCCTCTCAACTGGGGTCACAACTGAAATTGTTTAGACATAGAAAAAAATAAAAATAATTATATTACTTTTTTTACCCCTGTGATTTATGGAGTGGGATTTGCATCTACTATGTCTATATTGAATAACTAACAGTGAGATATAGTGGAAAATTGCTTAGGCTCTGAAGCCAGATTGATTTGGGATTAAATACTGGCTCTGTGTAATACCCTAGGCTAGTTACTTAGTCTCTCTGAGTCTGTTTTCTCATTTGTGTAACTGGAATAATAATACCCACCTCATTTGAAGTGTTTTGATGCATGGATAGGATATATGTACAATATCTAGAATGGTGCCTGGGTGATAGGAGGTACTCAGAAATACTCTGCTTACATTTTAATCTCAGTATTACGTCTTTATTTTGTGTTCTTAAGACTTATAGACTACATCTAAACCCTTCTTTCATATGACAGCTCTACACATATTTGAGGGCCAGTGTCCTTAACTGTGTCTTGTATATTTGAGAAGCCGTATGCCATAATGTATTCTGGAGCACACTTCTTAGATTTGAATCTCAGCTAGCCCACTTACACACTTAGGTAAGTTACTTAACTTATTTGAACCTCAGTTTCCTTATTTGTAAACTGGAGATGATATTAATAATACCTATCTCTTGGGTTAGTTGTGAATATCAAAGATGTTAATACAGATAAAGACCTACAGGCACATGTTAGTTAATTATACATACAGTTAATATCTTATTGTGACAGAGGCAGTGCTTACATGTTCACCTAGTCCTGTTTTGTTTTCATCTTTAGAGCCAGACTTAAGCTGTTTTTTTCTGCCTTCCTTGCAATTATGTTGGGGCTATGTGCTTATTCTAACTGGTAGACTAAAAGTAGAGGTGATATGTGTCATTTATGACTCAAAGCCCTTTGCCATGTGGATTGTGGAGGCTGCATGTTGAGATGATGGATTCACAAGGTGATACTAGACTGAATTTCTAAATCACCATTTGGAATTAGCTTCTGAATGCATATAGGACATTGTATGGGCAAGAAATAAACTTTGTGTAAAACTGCTGCGAGTTTGTCATTGTGCTGTCAAGGCATAATCTAGCCTATGTAGATTAATATGACTAATATTGGTAGATGAATACTAAATGAAACAAACTGTCGAGGGGTCATTTTTAGGAGAAGGCCTTTTCAGTGAATTAAGGTATTCATTAAGATATCCTCCTTAATGATATTAAGGAGGAGGGAGGATTTTATTGAAGAAACAGAAACAAGGTTAAAAAAGGAACATTAATTTTTCTATTTGAAATGGGTTTTATGTAAATGCATGTTTTGGTGATAAAACCCTTTGTCCTTCTTTTTATTGTCCCATATCCTATAATAGAATTTTCTTTCTTTAAAGCTTCTTAACATCTTTCTAAATGGGAAACAGTTATATTCTGGAGTGGTCATTAATAATTTTATTAGTGAATGAGTTTATCAGCTCCTTTTTTTGGGAGAAGATTTTATCAAAGGGTATGGAGGAGAAAACGTAAGAGTTCCAATTAAGTTTTTGAGGAAAGGAGGGGGCTTTAAATGCAGGCTAAGAATGAAGCACAGTGGATGTTGTATTTTCCTCTAATTTGGTATTGTGGTCTCTCTCTGGAGAGTTGCTAGAAACTCTAGCTCTGCCCTGGTGGAGATCCAAGGGAGATGGCCTTAGATGCTTACAAAGTGGCTTTACGTGATACTTCTTTATCCCGGTGGACAGTCTAACCTAAGTGTCTAACTCATGACCAGGTTTCCCTCTTACAGGGAACTTGAATATACTGGCAGGTACCTTTGTGGTTCGTGCCTGACTTGTGTCCAGTGTATGAGATAGCCACTCTCTAGGAGAGCCATGACTGGGCAGAGAGTTAGGTTTGGTTGTGTTGGTCGGGTGAGACACAGAGGAGGCATGAAATAACAAGCAGTGTATGTTATTTACAGACCCAGAAAGAAGAGGGCAGCACACCTCAGGGCCAGCAGGAGGAAGGGGAGTCATCCAGGACATGTACTCTCAACTGGCGGTTGGGAAGAAGACAGAAAGAGATAGACATGTGGGTCGAAGTCTTTACTGGGGTCCGTCGTGTTACCCAAGTAAGTTTCCCACAGGGAGTTCTAATTGGTGGGTTTAGAGGAAGCAGGCACAAGTTCTATGTAGGCATGCTGTGTCTGAGAGGAGGTCACTGTGGCATATCTGCACAGTATGTATGGGGTGTGGAGGTCAGTGGAGCAAGTCTAATAGGCTCTGTTTAGCTGTCCCACAGGGAAGTGGTCACCAGGAGGCAGTTATATAAGGGAGATGTCTGGAACAATCACATTGAGGAACAGGGAAGAGGTGAAGAACTGGAAACTGTGTCAGGGATGACTTACCCTTCCTTCTGATATGAAAGAAATTCAACTTATGTTTAAAATGAATGCCAAAAGCTGAGCACAGTGGCTGATGCCTATAATCCCAGAACTTTGGGAGGCTAAGGTGGGCAGATCACTTGAGGTCAGGAGTTTGAGCCAACATGGTGAAACCCCATCTCTACTACAAAAAATACAAAAATTAGCCAGGCATGGTGGCATGTGCCTGTAGTCCCAGCTACTTGGGAGGCTGAAGCAGGAGAATTGCTTAAACCCAGGAGGTGGAGGTTGCAGTGAACTGAGATCACGCCACTGCACTCCAGCCTGGGTGACGAGTGAGAACCTGTTTCAAAATAAAAATAAAATAAAATAAAATGGATGCCAAAGCAACATAAAATAATTATAAGAATTTGCTACAGTGGAAGATGTAGTTAGAACTCAGCTCACTCATAAACACAAGTGATCCTTGAGGTGAAACTTGGTGAGTGGCAAAGTGTTGTAAACCACTGTCCCAGATGTTACTCTGCTTCCCTCACATACCACATAAAGTGGTAAATGGGTTTGATTCCTGGGAAATGAGTTTTCAAGTATCTTTAACCACTTAACAAGAAAATGTGACTTCTTAAAATGTACTTCTTAGGTTGACTCATTGTGAAGATAAAAAAGAAATACCAGAATAAAGTGTGAGAAAAAATACAAATCAAATATTTAAAAATTTTTTGGATACATTATATTTGTACATATTAATGGAGCATACATGAAATTCGGTTACATGCATAGATGTGTAATGATTAAGTCAGGATATTTAGGGTATCCGTCATCCAAGTATTTATCATTTCTGTGTGTTGGGCACGTTTCATTTCCTCTCTACTATTTGTGTTGAAAAATACAACCATTGTTGTTAATTGCAGTCACACTACTCTGCTATCAAACATTCGAACATATTCCTTGTATCTAATGGTATGTTTGTACCCTGTAACAAACCTCTCTTTATCTCACTTCCACCCTCTACCCTTACATCCGTCCCAGTCTCTGGTATCTATTGTTCCACTCTTTACCTCCATATGATCAACTTTATTAGCTCCCATGTATGAGTGAGAACACATAATACTTTTTGTGCCTGGCTTATTTCCCTTAACATAATGACTTACAGTTCCATCTGTGTTGTGACAAATGACATGATTTCCTTTGTTTTTATGGTCAATAGATTTCCATTGTATAAATATAAAATATTTCCTTTATTCATCATCTGTTGATGTACGCTTAGGTTGATTCCATATCTTTGCTACTATGAATAGTGCTGCAGTGAATGTGAGGGTACAGGTGACCCTTTGAAAGACTGATTTCTTTTCCTTTGGATAAATACCTGGTAGTGGGATTGCTGGATTGTATGGTAGTTCTGTTTGTGGTTGTTGTTGTTGTTGTTTTTTGAATGTCCATATTGTTTTCCATAGTGGCTGCACTAATTTACATTACAACCAACAGTGTGAGAGTTCCCTTTTCTCCACATCCTCACTAACATCTGCTATTTCTTGCTTTTTTTAATTAATAGACATTCCAACTGGAGTAAGATGATACTTCATTGTGGTTTTGATTTGTATTTCCCTGATGATTAGTTATGAGCATTTTCTTCTGTATACCTGTTGGCCATTTGTATGTCGTCTTTTGAAAATTTCTATGTACGTCTTTTGACTCTTTTTACATGCTATTAATATTTTACTGTTGATTGCATATTCTGGATATTAGTCCCTTGTTGGATGAATAGTTTGTAAATATTTTATTCCAATCAAGAAATTGCCTCTTCACTCCTTTGATTGTTTCTTTTGTTATGCAGAAGCTGTTAAATTTAATATAGTCCCATTTGTCTATTTTTGTTTTTGTTGCCTGTGCTTTTTAGGTCTCAGCCATAAAATCTTTGCCTACACCAATGTCCTGAAGAGTTTTCCGTAAATTTTCTTCTTGTAGTTTTACAGTTTTGGGTTTTACTTTTAAATCTTTAATCCATCTTGAGTTGATTTTTGTATATGGTGAGAGATAGTGTTCTAGTTTCATTCTTTTGCATGATTATCTAGTTTTCCAGCACCATGTATTAACGAGGTATATTGTTTTTACATTGTACCTATTTGGAGATCTCTGAACTTCTGTATCTGGATGTCTTAATCTCTTTCTAGACTTGGCAAGTTTTCATCTGTTATTTTATTAAATAGTTTTTCTAACTCATTCTCTTTTAGGTCACCAATAATTTGAATATTTGGTTGCCTTATTGTGTCCCCATATGTCATGAGGGCTTTGCTCTTATTTGTTTATTGATTTATATTGTGTTATTTTAAAAGACCTGTCTTCACGTTCTAATATTCTTTCTTTTGTTTAGTCTATCATTAAAACTTTGAATGTATTTTGTATTTCATTCCATGAATTCTTGAGAGTTTCTATTTATATCTTTTTTATTATATCTATCTCTTTGGTTAATTTCCCAGTCACATCTGAATTATTTTTCTGATTTCTTTGTATTGTTTTTCAGAGTTATCTTATAGCTCAGGGAGGTTTTCTTTTTTAACATTTTCAACATTTTGAACTCTTTTTCTGAGATTTCATGAATTTCTTTTTGATTGGGATTTATTGCTGGATAACGTGTTCCCTTGCAGGTTTCATATTTCCTTGTATTTTTATGTTTTCTGTGTCCTTACATTGGTATCTGTGCATCTGGTGTAACAGTTGCTTCTTCCAATTTTGTGATTTTGCTTTCATAGGGGAGGACTTTTTCCTGAAGATGAATATATGGTGTCGGTTGGGTAGGGCACTTTGGCTTGATTCTGGGTACATGCAATAGTGCAGTGTCTGTATGATTTCTTTGACTATAAACAGCATCAGTGGTGTCTGATTTTCTTGGCGGCTTAGGGTACAGTTGTCAGAGAAGGCTGTGGTGAAGTTGTGCTGAGATCCGGGATGCCAGTCTTCAGGCTTCAGTGGTGGCAGCAGGGAGCTGACTGTGCCTGCCCTTGGGCCCAAGGTGGCATACATTGGTACCAGTGTTAGCGGGTCCAGGCAGGCTTATTCTTTGCCTCCAGGTGGATTGTTGAGGTACCAGGCATGGATGGCGGTGGTGGGCTGTGTGGGTGGAAGAGTTCTTGAGCCCCTGGCAGTGGATGTGGCATGAGCAATGGCAGTGGCAGCAGTGAGACAATCCTCTGAAACCCAAGTGGTCTGTGCTAGTGTTGGCAGTGGCTGTGACCAGTTGGGTGGGCTGAAGACCTGCAGGTAGCATGTGAGGGGTGGGTGCCGGCTCTGGTGGTAATAGCAGGTTGAGTGGACCTGATCCTAGACACTGGGAGGAGTGCTCAGGTGCCACGGGCAGTGGACTGGATCAGGCAGTCTCCAAGCTCCTGGATGGTGTGCTCAGGTGGAAGCAGCAACATCTGTGTTGTGGACCTGCTATCAGAGAAAGCTTGGTTGCTTTCCCTGGGGGCAGCCATAGGCAGGCAGCTGGAGGGTGTGGGCTTTTCTTGCACCTCAGCCCACAGCAGTCTGTAGCTGCAGTGGTTGTGGGCAGTGGAATTTGTCCTCAGGATGCATGAGAATGCATGGCCGCCCCTCTGTTGGGCTGGGGGTGGGATTGTTGCTCTAGACTCTTGACCTGGGCCTGGTTGCAGGGCAGGACGTAGTCCATTGTGGGCTAGGCTCTTAAAATGGCACTGTGCTGCAGCTGCTTAGGACTCGGGTTTGTGGGACTCGATGTGAGCTCCCGGTCTGGAACAGTGCCTTCGTGTGGTTTCTAGGGCACACCTTATGTTACTTTCAAGGCCTCTGAGGGTCAAAGGGCTCTCCCCTGGCTAGGATTGTTGTAGTCCATGATGGGAATGTGGACCACTGGGGTCTCTCACCCGTTCTCCACACTGGGGAGTTCCAAGATGATCCCTGCTGAGCAGGCTACCTCATTTCCCTCTACTTTCTTGCTTTAGATGTTTCCTGTCACTTTGCTGAATTTCAGTGTTCTCTCTTGGATGATCTATTTGAAGTGTGATTTTTCTCCTCACTATTTTGTTTCTTCTTAGTGGAGGAGGTGAGTAGACATTAGGAGATGCCTCTAATCAGCCATCTTGAAGCTGGGACATTGTCTTTTTAAAGAATTAATACCCAAGACCAAACTAGAACATGCCTCAGAGGTTCCAGATATAGTGTGGGGCACTGAGGAATGTGGTCCTGCCCCTTAGCCACAAGGGCCCTGCAAGCTGTTGCTGCCTGTCTGAGGGCAACAGAAATAGACCTCAAAAAATAAACTTATGCAAACCAAGGTGCTGGGACCTCTGAGCTCACCCTCCCAGGAGTGTCCAAATCAAGTATTTAGGTGGCTTACTTAGAGATCCAAGCCAGGGCAACATTAAAAGAAAATCTGGGGAATATGTGTTTTCTTGCTGCCATTTTCTCAAAGCAGACATTATGATAATATAAAGTGAAATATGGGATAAATGATCACTGTCCTAATGCTGTGGATCAAATATTTTTTCACATATCAATTTCCATTAATAAATGAACATGCCCTGGCTTAGACCCCTAAGAGCAGCTGGTAAAATTCAGTATCTCTTTTTTTCCTACAGAAGTGGGTGACAGGAAGTTCACTTCTTAGAGAATTTATGACTATTTTTGAAAATATGATTATGAAAAGTAATTTCTGATATTGAGGTTAGAATGTTACATTATGGGGGTTGGCAAATGAAGGAAGGACTCTCCTGTTATCTTTCATATCTCTCCTGGTCCACTGTAGATTGCCATGGTAGTAGGAACTTTGATACATTTGATACATTAATATGGTCCACATGGAAATTATATGAGGAATGAAGCAAGTGGCTTATAACTTCGGGGAAGAAGGGTTGCCTATTTCCAGTTTTCAGAATGTTCACTATCTTCAGACTAGAATAAAAGTTTGATTCTATCTCTAGTCTCCCTGGTAGCAGGAGTTTTGTTCTCCTTTCCTGTACTCGCTGTAGCAGCATGGAAACTTCCTTGGAACCCCAGATCATGGCAGCAGTGGTAGATTCCTACTTTGAGATACTGGGAAGTAGGTGAAGAGAGCTTTGGGCACTTCAATGATGATGGTGGTTTTGGGGTCATGCCTTCGGGATTTCCTATGTACAAGGTGCTATTTGAAAGTACAGACAATAGCATGAGAACTAGAAAAGATAGCTTCAAGGTTTGAGCCTGTTACCATTAGCCAAAAAAGAACAAGTTGGGAAAACAAACTAATTTTTAAGGAGAAGACATTGACTTCATTTTTGGACATTGACTTTGAAGTGATGATTATTAAAATGGTGGCTGGAAGTTTGACACACCATCTTTTTTTTCTTTTTTAAGGTTAGAAAGAGGAATTTACTGGGGCATATAACCAAACCATGAAATGCATACAGCTTAAACTGCCTTTAGGGCTGGGCTGGGAACACATAACTTGAATTTAGTTAAGGCTGTCTCTTCTATTTCATGTATCGGTTTCATGTTCTGTTTTTTTTAAAATTTTTATTAATTTCAACTTTTAGATTCAGAGGGTACCTGTGCAACTTTGTTAAATGGATATATCCTGTGACACTGAGGTTTGGGGTACAAATGATCCTGTCACCCAGGTAGTGAGCATAGTACTCAATAGGTAGTTTTTCAGCCCTTGACTTCCTCCCCCTGCCCCCCAGTAGTCCCCAGTGTCTGTTGTTCTCATCTTTTTGTCCATATGTACCCAATGTTTAGCTCCCACTTATAAATAAGAACATGCAATATGTGGTTTTATGTTCTTGCATTAATTCACTTAGGATGATGGCCTCCAGCTGCGTCCATGTTGCTGCAAAGGACATGATATCATTCTTTTTTGTGGCTGCATAGTATTCCATGGTGTATGTGTACCACATTTTCTTTATCCAGTCCACTGTTGATGGCCACCTAGGTTGATTCCATGTCTTTGCTATTGTGAATAGTGCTGCAGTGAACATAAGAGTTGATGCTTCATCTTTTGTGAAAAGCTGGGGCTAACAGTGTTTTGGATAGAGACTTTTAGGCTCAAATTAAAGACCCCCTCACAAATTCGTTATTTGATAGAGCATATCTTTGAGATTATAGTTCAGGTTTGTGGAAGTATATGATTCAATATATAAACTCCTAACAACTTTCTATGAGCACATCTTTTTTTTTTTTTTTTAAATCCAGCAGGGCTACAAATTTATTTGTCACATATGGTAAAATCTATATGAAATGAGTAAATTTTTTTAAGGAAAGATATTATTGAAGGAAATAGAAAAGTGGTGGGATAACATTTTAAAAAACATATATTTGGCTTTGTGAACAAAATGATTTTATTTTAATTTTTTTGTTCAAGGCAAAATCTCTTCAATAGGAGGAGATAGAGGAGAATTTCTTCTCCAGAATATAATCTGTAGCCATCTGCTGCTGTATCTCATTATGTTCTTCATGTAATTAGAGCAATTAGGATGAGGCTTGCACTGTATATTGGTCATGGAAGGAGGGTTGAGCTATTTCTAGGCTTGTTTTGAGAGACTGGAGATTAATGGCCTAATCTGTTAGGTAAATTGATAGAAACTGAGATATGTTTAAGCTAGGAAATGGAGAAGGGCAATTTTTTTTTTTTGTTATCTGTTATGTTGCTTTCTTGTCACCATGGTAACTAGGTGTTTTGACAAATATATTTTTAATGAGATTAACTCATGATAAAGAAGAAAGTAATAGTGATAAAGAAAATGATAAGAGAAAGATTGTAGAATGAAAGAAGATGGGCTCTGTGGTATAGTGATATGGTGGAAACCTCACACCAGATTTTCAACGCTAAGAAGTTTGGAGAAAAGGAGGAAGGAGAATTTAAAGGAGAAGACAAAATTAGGGATATACAAAACTGTCTTTTGGGAAGCCAGTCATGGAATGTGGTTTGTACTGAAGAAGGGCCAGAAGATTAGGTACTGCAACCACAAATGTGCTAAACCACTGTAGGATTCTTAGGATAGATTGCAGTGCCACTCGACTCTCACGTAAGATTAGCATGCCATTCCAAATCCTGGAAGAGGCTTCTCGTAACATCTGACTGTTCTTCCTAATCACCCTCTCTGTGCCCTTTTCTTAATTGCAATTGCCAACACATTAGTGATGATTCTCATTGCTAATACTGAACCGTTGCCTTTTCTTCCAACGGATCTTTCTCAGGTAAAGATTATTATCTACTTCAATTCAACTTACTTGTGTCCACCAAATACATTTTTATGAAATACTGCTCTATCCCCGTCTCTTTTTTATTCAAATACTTTTAGTAAAGGCTCACATTGCCTACAATACCATGCTTCTATCTTGACGTTCAAGGTCACCTGAAGAGAGACCAACCCACTTTATCTCCTGTAGCTCTTCTGTATGAACCCTATTTTCTTTTCTTTTTTTTTTTAATTAAATTTAATTTAAAGTTCTGGGATACACGTGCAGGATGTGCAGGTTTGTTACATAGGTAAACGTATGCCATGGTGGTTTGCTGCACCTATCAACCCATCACCTAGGCATTAAGCCCCACGTGCAATAGCTATTTATCCTGACGCTCTCCTTCCCCCGGCCCCTCTGACAAGCCCCAGTGTGTGTTGTTCCCCTCCCTGTGTGCGTGTGTTCTCATTGTTCAGCTCCCACTTATAAGTGAGAACACGCGGTGTTTGGTTTTCTGATGAGCCCTATTTTCAACTAGCCTGTGTCCTGCCTGTCTTTAAAATGTGTCGTGTTCATCTCTGCCATTGCTTCTTTGCACATATGATTGCTCTTGTTTGGAAACCTCCTTGGTTCTCTAAGTCTTAAATCCTTTAAGGTCCAATTCAGTACCTCACCATCTTAATTGTGTTCTACCACTTATTTTCTGTTATATTTTTATTTAAGAGATCTTACATTACTTAGCATAGTTTTTTATAGTGTAGCAATGCTGAGAAGTTGATGCTAGTGCTTGAAGCATAGGCCTTTAGGAGAGATCAGGATGGCTTACCCCACTTTGTATTTCAAGTTGCTGTGGCACCAGGCCTTTGGGAACTCAGACAAGTCAGGTTAGAGAAATGAGTTGGGTTTTTATTTCACTCCTTTGTTTAATTTCCTTTCAAAGCCCTGGTGTCACCAAATTCTACGCAGCCTAGGCACTTGACAGAAAAAATGATTTTCCCTAGTTTTGAGGGGACTTATCCTAGATGCATTGAATGGATTCAGCTTCTGGGTGCATGCCCAGTGCCTTATACATAGAACAGTTAATTCTAGGGGATGTCCATGCTCCATTCTGTTCTGATCAGGACTCATTTATGTGTGCCAAGCCACTGCTGAGCTTGGCATGTGCTAATGGGCAAGAGAGGCCTGGCTTCTGTATACATATGACAAGCTCTGCTCCCTGCTGGGCGGGGCATATCCCTGGATGAGAGATCCTGGGTGAGAGAGCAGCAGAGAGAACAAAACAGTGGGAATGAGAGACTGCGAGTAAGCAGTTAGAACAGACATAAAAGGAGATATTAATAATAGAGGAAATTGATATCCATGTTGCCGGTGGAAACAGCCACGTAGAGCAGGGTTTTGATGTCCTTCACAGTACATGCATCTTTGTCTAGAATTTACCCAGGTTCTGGCATTACCTGAAGGTCACTGACTCCAACTCTATTCATTTATGGTGTGGCCTATGCTTTATCCCAGTGTTACTGGGAGATGTTAATTCTTTATTGAAAATGTCTATATTTTAGTTCTTCAGGGGCTACTTAACTCTTTAATTGCTTTTTGTTTATGCAAGTGAAACCCTGGGCTACATATCTGAAAATGTTTCACTTATCCTTGAATTATACCTCCCAAGCTTTAAGCTATAGCTTCTACAAATTTAGTAATGGTGTCTGCCCCGAATAACGAGGATCTATCTGTCCAGCCCTGTACCCATGTGTTGTGTGTCAGGCACATGGATTTTATTGTTTCTAAATGGCAAATTAATAGGATGTCAGAATTTGCATAGACTATGCAAAATCATCCATTCAGCAACTATTGAGCAGTATTCTCTGATATACTGAAAAAATAGGAGATCTTTGCCCCTACGGAACCTGCAGTTTAGCCAGGAGAGAAGACAATAGACATGAAGCATAATAAGTATAATGCTCCTAGTAAGTGTGTTAGGAAGTCATAAGTACATTGCAAAATAGAAAAAGTGGTAAGAGCATGAGTTGAAAATACATAATTATATGAGATTAATTATAGGTTAGTATTTTCCATTTGCTTTTTAGGTTACAGTACTTAAAGGAAACAGGCATTCAAATCCTTGTATCTGTCTGGATCCTACAGGAATAATTAGCCATTTAGTTCTCGCCATTTGGGAATTGGAGAGAAGGACAGGAATAAACCCCCAAATCTCAAGTTCAGGTCAAGATGTAGTGAGAGCAACCCCCTAAAGAAAGGATACACTTGAGTTCTTCCTTTCTGTTCTTAGGAACTTGGGAATTTCTCCTTAAAGATAGAAATGCATTTTGTTCTAATATTTGTCTTCAATGTAAAGCAATAATAATTTGAATTTTAGGTGGTTTGGTTGAATATCTTTGTATTTAATAGATTTAAATATGATGTTGGGAATATGTTATCTTAAACATGCCATTCTTTATTCTTAATTATAAACTAAAATTTTCAGGTATCAGTCAACATTTGAGAAGGCACTGGAGCAGAAGTTTCTTCTATCCAGCAACTGTAGTTTCTTCTTTTTTTTTTTTTTTTTGAGACGGAGTCTCCCTCTGTCTTCCAGGCTGGAGTGCAGTGGCGTGATCTCAGCTCACTTCAACCTCTGCCTCCCAGGGTCAAGCAATTCTCTGCCTCAGCCTCCTGAGTAGCAGGGATTACAGGTGCCTGCCACCACGCCTGGCTAATTTTTTGTATTTTTAGTAGAGACGGGGTTTCACCATCTTGGTCAGGCTGGTCTTGAACCCCTGACCTCGTGATGCACCCACCTCGGCCTCCCGAAGTTCTGGGATTACAGGTGTGAGCCACTGCGCCCGGCCCAACTATACTTTCATATCGTTTATTTTCCCTTTTCCTTCCAGTCACTTCTTTTCAGGATAATTAATGTTATTGAAATAAGGAAACATACCTTAAAATTAAAATCAAACCACATTGATTTTAATTTTAAGGTATGTTTTCTTATTTTGGCATAATCCTGAATTTTGGTGTTCTGTTTTTCATGTTTACACATAAACCTAAAATGTTTTCCCCTTTGGTATTTATTTTCTGTTACTAGATTGTCACTCTCTGAAGTTTGCTAATCTGACAGAAGCTGACCTAATAATGTAGTATGTAAAAATGTCTCTCTGCTTTCTGCCCCTGTAAATACAGCGTGCCATAAATGCCCGTTGTATGCTTCAGTCATTCTAGTACTTTTTGTTCTTTAATAGTATAATTGCCTCTTATATTTCTTCAGGTTATCATCTGGGCAGAGTGTTAGTTCATGAGGGAGCATAAGGCACATCTGTGAGCTCCAGAGCTCAGCAGGATTCACCCCTGGGCTTTGGCAGGGCATGTCAAGCTGGGGCTGGCACCTCATTATTGCCAGCTTTATTGTTGCCTGTTCTGCATCAGCTGCCAATGCTGCTGTGACACCACACACTATTTTTGGTCTTTTTAGCTAAACATTTTTTTTTTCAAATAATTAACTTAAGTACCTATTTCTACAAATGAAAAGACTATTTAATAGAGAAGTGGGAATGGAAAAGCAGATTTTAATGCTTTAAGATTTTAAAAACTTTTAAAATTAGTTGTGGTTTTTTTTTTTTTTTTGTAAAACTGTGTAGCTGTTTGAAAGCTAGTAGTATTTGAAAACCACAGTAATGAGTGTATTACTGAGAATACAATAGTACCAACTCCTAGAATATATCCTTTTTGCTGCTATTTTAAATCATCACCTTAAATGACAAAAGTATGTGAATATAATTCAAAACCAAATTCAAAACCTTTCCACTTCAAACTGGCTTCTGTTTTGATAATGCCAGGATTCTGATAATCTTAAAGGCAGGAAACCATGAATTTATTTTATTTTCTTGCTTATGTAGTATCCTTCACTCCCATTGAACATTCATGCCAGTTTTTCCATTTAGCACCTCTAAATATACATATTTATTTCATTTCCAAAGATCCCCTAGTTCAGGTCCTCTTTATGTCTGGTTTATTTTTATGTGGTAACAATTGGAGTTTTAATCAGTGTCTCTCCCTATTATTATTTCCTATTATACCTTCCCTTTTGTTTGGAAATAGGAATTATTTTTTTCAGGAAAAGACAAACGTAGCATATCTCTTACTGCAGAAGAGTTGAATTCTTGACTTTTGAATTTTATGTCAAATTCTAGGCATGAAGGGAGCTGTTCTGGAAGAATTAGAATCAGTTATTTCTGTCCTCAGAAAAGTAGAGCTGGGGTGGTGGCATGCAGATCCCCTGTGCCCAGTGTGGCTGGAGAATAGTAGAGATGGCTGTCTAGTTAGAGGGACCTGTGGCAACTTTGCAAATTTCCCATGGCAAGGATAACTTAGGGGGTGATGAGGAGATACCTGTATGCGCAGAGGGACATGGATGTAGCCAACAGAAAGCCAGACTTGACAGAAGGCTTGTGGCAGAGATGAGGAGGATGAGGGAAGGAGCTAAGGATCTGGGTAGACCTGCCTGTAGGAGAGCTACAGATGTTTGTGGATAAATGCTGATGACCTCCACCCATCCTTCCGTTCCTCTACCACACAAATCTAGCATTTTATAATCCTTTGGAATTTAGATGCGCCCATGAGGAAGGGGAAACCAGAAATTGAGATTACCCTGACTTGACTGAAATTTAATTTTCACCATTCAGCAGCATAGGAGTTTTAAAACAGAGATTAAGTTCAGTTGTACAGAAATAAACTCCCAATTGCTTGCACACCTGAGTTTTTGCTTTGCCCTAGTACCTGCTGCTCTAGTTCATTTGCAGTGAAGCCTCTCTAATCTTGCTTTTTTCACGGGGGAAGCTACCATGGCTGTTGGTAATACATGGCCTGGACATGTTGATTCTTCATACTCTGTGTCCGCTTCATTGTTCCCGCTGTTTTCCAACCTGAACCTGTCCTTTACGCAGCCCAGTCCCCTCATAGCCTAGTGTCTACTGGGAGACTTCTCAGCTTCCCGCCTAACTGCTCTTTCTTTGTGTATACTTTTCCCACTTACATTCAGACATCAGCTGTCTCCTTCCTCTTTTTTTGCCAGTCTACCTCTTTACCAGTTTTCTTGGTTCAGCCCTGACAGAGCTGTCATTTTATGACCTTTCTTTATTTTTATAGTCACTACAGTGTTGGATTATTATTATTTTTTTTTAATATTTACCACTTGGCACTTGCATAGTGCTTTTTGTTTCTTGGTTTTTGTTCTATGGCTGTTAGTGTTTTTTTTCTCCAACTCGATGATAAACTTCTTAGGAACATGGGCCATACCCTGTTTTTCTCTTGTGTTCTCTTGAATGCTAGCATATGGTGGGCATAGAGCAGATACTGAAAAATTACTCATTAATTAATGGGGTGGAAGCCATTGCTATTTACATTATGTGTATGAGATGAATTTTATCTTTATCTGTTTTATTCTTTATGTATTTCTATGTCTCTACCACACTAGCAGTTAAGTTAAAGAAGCAAGCAGTGGGTGGATGCACTGTTCCCGTCTCTGACAAGTACAACAAAGCTGACTTGCCTATTTTTAGAAACCTTGATGGTGTTAATTTTTCAAATGTCACTTAAAAATAGGTAGCTAAATAAGAACTCTGAGTGTTTTTAATGCAATGGTATACTTTTCTAAAGGGGCCTCTGGAATATGGGCATCACAGATTGAACATCTTTAGTTAACACTTGCTCAAAGTTATCGAAGAGATAAAGAGAGAGTTATTGCTCTGTCTTGTGTAATATTTTTTAATTGCTAAGTTATCTGTTGTTAATTAGGATCCCCTTTTTGACATAGCTTCAGAAGAATGTTTTGCCCTAAATTCTAGCTCAGTATTTCATTTATATGCTTGGATAAGTTTCCTTCCCTGTTCTGGACTTTATTTTCTCTGTCCTGTACTTTATTTTTTAATTCGATATTAAGGACCTTTTCACAGAAGAGTACTTCCCCATTGGGTTTTAGAGAAGCTAGATCTTCTTTTCTCATGTAATTTCTCTGGCTATTGTCTATAATTCCCTGGGGACCCAAAGCAGGCAAGAGACCTAGGAAAGAAGGAACAGAAACCTGAGAGGCTTCAGGCACACAGGAATGTCACTCTGTTCTCGTTCAGCACCTTCCCCTAGTCGTGCGTTGGTTTCCCCCAGATCCAGAAAAGAACATAAAACCCATTTTGCAGAAGCAGGCCATATGCCTCTCTTTAGGGATGACCCATAAAACATGTATTATTTTTCACATATAAAAATATATAATGCATCTGATGTTTTTAAAAATCTCAGATGGCACCTTACAAATAATTTGAGCTTTACAGTACCCTACTTGTAAGTCACCCTTATCTGAGGTGCTTTTTGGTTAAGATCTCAAAAATTCTCTCTCTCTCTCTCTTTCCTACTGGAGTGAACTGGAAACTACCCTGTGTCACATTAAAGTTATTGGCAAATGTGTCCTTATTGTGAGAATAAAGAAGAACATGCACTGACTTTGGGAGGAATCCCCACCTCATTCAGTGGCACTGCTTGCCAATGCATAGTAAAAAAATAAGATAGAAAAGCTCCTACAAAGAGGAAAACAATACAACTATATGTATTCACTTGCTTTCTCATTTGCTTATTTACTTGACATGTTTCAATAAGTGCAGAGAAGAAAAGGCACAGGGTACTATGCGAAAAATGGACAGGAAAGGGTGGTCCTTTATGAGAAGGGTTCTTTAAGAAAGTGATTTCTAAGCTGAGACCTACTGAATTTCTAAGTTGAATTCCTACTGACTAGTAGAAATTCCTACTGACAAGTCAGTAGGAATTTGAAGGCTAGACAACATGGCACAGCAATAAGGGGAGAATAGCAGGAGATGGAGGCAGCTCCATTAGAAATGCTTATGTTTAATTTTTAAAAGACGCGTCTTGGGCTCTCAATTGGCAAATAGCTGTGGAAAGTGAAATATTTTGTTTTGAAGAGTTAATGTAGTTGAAACAGCATAATCTTGTAAAGTTATATCTAAATCGTAATAGAGAATGTAAAGAAAGATTAGAGATTTAAAATTTAACGCAGATCATGCCATGTGGTCAGTGGCTTTTATAAACTTTTTTACTCAAATTATGACTGTTATATCTGGACATTTATTTAAAAGATTATATATATATCTCTCTCCATACATATGTACATATATATATGTATGGGTAGATAGTCTTTTGGTTTTTTTTGGCATTAATTCTTGAAGCTGAGTTTATTTAGCATCCCCATATGTTTAGGAACCTTTTATAGCTTATCTCACTTGAGAATATAACAATATATTTAAATTAGAGCCCTCCTTCAAAATTCTGAGTTTACTTTGGAAGGTGTATCTTTTTTTCTTTCTTCTCCTTTCCCTTTCTTAGCTTATCTTTTGGGTAGAATTACAGAAAGTGGTAGGAACAGTTGTCTCTTCTAAATGTGGTGCTGTGTTACCACCTCCTGTGCAGGCAGAGCCCTGTGCATTCCAAAGATGTCCTGGGAATGGAAACTAGACAAAGAGAGAGGAAGATTGGCTTGGCTAAGCTACGTGGACATTCAGTTTGTGAAAGGATAAACTAGATATAAAGAATAAGAAGTGACAAATGGTTTTTCACTTGACTCTCTTAAACGTAAATCCAAACCTAACCCTTATTAAAGTGATCTGGCTGCTTTTTATTTGGGTAAATATATAATCTTTGATATGCTGTCGTAATGTTGCCTTTGTGCTAACCCGAACCTGGCGATCCTTATAATTGTCACTGAAGATACATAATATGGAGGTGAAAGTTACCTTTTTAATTCTAGTCTGTAGTAAGCACATTGTTAAATGCTCGAAGGGAAATGCAAATCAGAAAGGCTAGATGTCTTTTGGTAAACTTACCATACTTTTCTGATATTTAGCTTATGTAGAATATAATTAAGATAAACCAAATAACCAAGCTTGTAAAGGTGCTGTCGTGTAGAAAAAAAGCAACATGGAGCCAGGGGCCTTTTAACACCTCAGTTCTGCCACAAAAGAGCCATGTGACTTTATACTGAAAACATATAAGCTTTCTGAGCTGTTTCTTCATCTATGAAATGGAGATAATGCCTATTTTATTAGGGGCATTTGTGAAGATCACAATACATGTGAAAGTGCTCCACACATTTGTATGGTCCCTAACCTTCAGATGAGTTTAATTAAGTAATTGTTGATCATACGTATATTATGTGCAGGGTTATGCTGGGGAAGACAATCCTAGCCCCTGCCTTTTTTATTCACTGACATGGGTTTTGATTACATTTGCATCACACTAGGTTCTTGGATTAACTACTATTGTAGTTTTGTTCACAACAATTCTTTTTACTCTTCTGTTTTTTTTTTTCTCATTTCTGTGGCCTTTTCTTACCTTTCCTTAATCTTGCCTGGTCTTTTCTGAACGCTATGAACTGCTCCATACCCAGAACTCATCCACCCAACTGCTGAATATAAAATAAGTTGTCCTTTCGTCATCTTTCTTTCATCCCTCTAAAATGACATTTTATTACTATGCAGTAAACATGTTTTAATAAATGCTTCCCTAATTCCAAACATAACATACATTTTGCAGGGATTTTAGAAGTGGTAGACAGGTAGAAAGAAGAAAATTAAAATTACCCTAATGCTTCGCACTGAGAGCTCACATCTGCTAAATTTTTAATGTATCTGTTCTGTCTCCTAAAAAATTATTTAGGAAATGTTTGGATTTTCAGTGCAGCTCACATATATTTGTTAGATTTAGAAGATCAGCACCACATTTATGATCTATGATAATTTGGAACTAGTTTTCCTCAAGAATTTTAATGACTTTTTTTTTTTTACCTCTATCTGGCATAAGATGACTGTGTTTACTAACATTGATTCATTTTCGAGCCAAAAAAAAGCAACAAAACAAATCAGGAGAGAGAAGAGCTCTTTTATTTATTAATTCCTGACACATTTTAGATGCTCATCACATAGTTAATTTTCTTTTCATTGCTTCTTACTTTTCCCTCCCTTTATTTTTTATACTCCTTATAGCTCACACATTTAGCTAAGGAGTGGCATCCCACTGGGTCTCTTTAGGGTGCCGTATGTAGCTCATGTTAGAATTTGAGTATGGTACCTTAGAAGACATGCTTTATCTAAATTGAAGGCTCCTGATCTGGGGGTTATTTATATTTTCTAAAATTATATGCTAAAGTATATTTTTATATGTTTATTTTTCTGGGAAGATAATCAGCCTATGAGTTTTATCAGATTTTTAAATGATTCTGTGTCCAGAAAAAACATTCAGGATCTGAATCTAAGATCTGCTTGTGGCCTAGCCCTTGAATTCTTGTCAACTCTGGGCAAGGTACATAACCTCTCGGCAAAGAGGAGTCACTTGTGCATAAAGTACGTGGAAGTTATACAAAATTTAAAGACAATTATGAAAATTGGGTTTAGTGGTTAGGAAAAAAGTCAAGGGACAGTATATTTCCAGTCTGAACCATATCAACTATTGTATTCTGAGGCTAACTATGAGCTATGGAATGCTGAAGACAAAATAAATACTGCTTTAAATTCTTTTATGTTAGATTTGGTAGACTATATGATAGATTTGGTAGACATTTCCTAATAGGAAATTCAAACATTAGAATGAGTTTTTTTAATATTCTCCTCATAAATTGGGTAAGATTTTTATTTGAATTAAGTACTTTAGAAGTGATCTTACTTGAATTTAAAACAATTTTCATTACCTGTGAAAATACTCCATACGCTCAGAGTCTAAGAAATCCTAATAGGTAGTTAAAAGTGTAAAATGTCTTCCCTTCTTCCTATCTGTATCTCCTCCCTTCTCCATGCTTTTTTCCTGCAAATAATTTGTGTATTTGCTGTAAAGTGTGTACTTACCTTAAGCTAGTGTTTTCAGACCCTCTTCTTAGCCTGTGACATACTGGTGGGAAGTCTTCTGTCCTGACCCCTTTTTTTCCCTCTTTAGCTCTGCCCATTCTTCATCCCATCCTCTGACTTGCACTCATTGTCTGCATGTTGGTTAACTGTCTATGGAACGCTATGATTAGTACACATATACAGATTTAACCCACCCAACTTTCTTGATTTCTTTTTCACTTAGTTGCTCTTTTATTAAAAACTCTTTGAAACAAATATACAAACCCATAATGTAATGTATACCTGAATACCAGTTTCCCCAAGGTAATCCAATGTATAGGATGCTGTAGGTGAGTCAAAAGGACATAACTGTGAAAGAACTCAGGTGAAGTGAGCAGATCCTTTAGACTTTGGGGGTGGGGATGGGTAGATGTAATGATTTTAGAAAGTAAGGTATAGAAGGTTGAATTAAATGGTCTCTCAAGGATCTTTCTGGCTGTCATATTCTGAGACCTAAAAAACATTGCTTAGACAGAGATCACTAAGAACAAAAGGCTTCTCTTCTTCATAATGGAGCTCGTTGTGATTCTCACTCAGGAAGCTTGGCAGAGGGGCCCATCATAAGACTGTCACCAGTCAATTAAAGTCAATGTCAATTAGAGAATATTAATTAAAATTGTAGCCTCCCTAAGGAAAAAAACATTGATTCTCTGTCTCTCTATATAGATTAGAAACATTGACTCTTTATTTCTATATATAGATAAATAGAAATATAATTCTTTTCCCAACCAAAAGACAATAACTAAGTATTTCTGAATACATCTAACAATAGGAATCTAGTGCTTTTAGGTTCTCTGACTTCTTTTTAGCACTTCAGTACTACTAAACAGAACTTTTTCTTTTTTAATTCTTGTTTCATAGTTTTCCTGGCCCAGAATCCTATCTCCATGAGTCTCTTAGCTATCTATGAACATAATTATCCCCTAGGGCTATAGCACCTCAACCCTCATCAGAATAAAGATATCACATGATCAAAATGAATTGATGTAAATAAAAAGTATTATTTCTGCCCTCAGTGCTTCTGATTATTGCATGTTTATCATGTAATTGCTGACTTCTGCATTGATTTTAGTAATCATGATTTCACATCCTATTGTCAGAGAGAGACAATCCATTGAAGTCCAGAATATCAGAGGTAGAATGGACCTTGAAGAACATATACTGCAGTGGTCCTCAAATTTTAGCATGCCTAAGAATTACCTGGGTGCTTAGGATACATAGTGTTGAGTTTTACCTCTGAGATTCTGATTTGAGTATCTGAAGTAGGGTCCTTGAATCAGCATTTTAAGCGGGTATGACAGATAATCCTGATGCCTGTGGTTCAGGGACCACATTCTATAGTTCACCAGAGCCCAGAGATTTCCACTATGGCTCACCTAGAGTGGGCAGTGTGGGCTTCTAATTGTCCAATCATCTGTGTCAGCAAAGTGGCACTGCTCTTTGGCAATTGCTTTTGTAAAGACTACCAGAGACCTCCTGGTAGCCAAATCTAGTGTTATTGGCTTGCAGGCTTCATGATAAACTGACTTACACATACAAATTGATGTTTATAGCTTTTTATACCTGTAATTACTGTTTTCCTCCTTATTTCTCCCTTGTCTAGGTGCTTTTCTTGCCCTTCCAGTTATTCCTTCTTATTCTCATTCTCTAGTTCTGCTTCCTTTGCCTACCACTCATTTGTAGGTATGCCCACAGAATTCTAGCCTTTATTTTTTGTCTTTTACTTGGATGATCTCTTGTTCAGTTTCACTGCCTTGATGGCCGACTTTTTTGTGATTTCCAGATCTTGCTCTTTACCTTTATTTATGGCTACATACTGGTCGTTTTCACCTGTCTGTCCCTCAGAACCATCAAACTCAGTGTCTAAAATTGAACCCAAAGTCATTTTCCCCCAAATACTTCTTCCACCTGTATTTTTCCATTTTATTAAATGGTCCCACCAGTGACCTCTCCAGAGTGCTTGACAACCAGAGTAGATTATTTTTTAAGACTCACCTTTCCTATATGACAAAATTATTTTCACTAATAATAATGAAATGAAACAAATAATGGCAGAAAATTTTTTTATTGAAATCTGTATGCATATAATCATATCAGCAACAAAGTATTATAGTACAAAAAGGAAAACTTATAAATTATAGTCATGTAATTACAATAATATAATAATTGACAAAAGAAAGGGGAGAACTTGTGAAGAAACTTCCAATAGAGTGAACTCTACAAATTTCAGAAAATAATTTGCAGGTAGAAGAACAAAATGGAAATATCTCAAATTGTGTTTCTTTCTTTCATTGATTATTTAGAATCTAACCTTTAAGCACAGGAATATGTAGTTGGAGACATATATGGGTCAGAGACAGAAACTACACCTGAAATGAGCTCCAAGTCTTTCCAACAAACATGTATCAGAGTCCAGGCCATATAATTACCTATCTGTAAATCACATATAATTAGTGTTCCTTCTGAAATAACTTTCATGGGGCATACCACATTTATTAAAGTATAAGAAATGAGAATGTGTTGGTTCAACATTTACACATATATTACGTAGCTATTGCTAAAACTTAACAGTAACCATGGCAATTATTGGGCACATAGACCAACACATTTTAACAGGGAGTAATTTATTAATTACATTGTTTAAAATTGCTATTTCATAGTGACAACAAGAAGCAAACTGACTTTTAGTGAGCTATACTATTATTTTTAAGTTGATTGCAAACAGTGCACCCTATTATTGTCTGAACTCACTCCCATACCCTTAGTATCCACTGGATCTTGCCACTGGATCCTGCCATTTATACACTCACCTTAGGCCAAGAACTGTAGGATCATTAAAAAATTCCTTTTCTCCTATGTTTTTAGAGTTTATTTTTCTATGCAATTTCTAACTTATTCACTGTGTGGTTAATTAATTTATTTTGAGACTTTTCTTTTTGTTAATGTGAACATTTTAAACAAATTTTCCTTTACCACTGTAAAAAATAGCTTTTTTGAGGTATAATTTTTATATAGGAAAATTGCCCCTTTGTGTATTATACAGTGCCCTGAGCTTTAAGGAATAAGTATGGTGGGGATGTATGAAAGAGCCTGTGAACTTGCAGAAGCCTAGTTTTGGAGCAGAGCAGGCTCTATGCAGGGACTTTGTTAGCAGAGTCAACTGTCTACGACCACAGTGCAGGTGCCCGCAAGTTTCTTCAAAGAAGCCTAGGACCAGCCACATCTCAGCAGGAACTGGCCCCAGGAAGAGGGTCACTTTGTAGCTGACAACAGCAATGATGCCTAGGGACATCAGCTGGACCAAAGCCCTCCCCCTCACCAGAAGGCTCTTGTGAGCTTCTTTACAGATTGTGTCTTTTAATCTTCCTGGATGGGAGTGGAGCTCTAAGAGACTGTCTTGAAGCCCATGAGTCATCCAAAGGGGATCATTTAAACCAGCTGTTTTGGCAGGTCAGATTTCAAATAAATGAATGTGTAAACCAAAGGATTGTCTAAGCTGGAAAAGCTTGAAATATTGCTGATTAGCAAGTCTGTTTTTCCACTACCCACTAGGATGGGGTTCCCAAGGATGATTAAATCAACTATATAAATGAAAGAAGCTGCATTTTCTTTATACAGTTGAATGTTTCAAAAGTAAATTTGTAATATGTTACCACAAAAATTAACCCCTGCCAAAAAATAGATTTGTAGCCTTACTATGTGATTATAAAAGTAATACAATAAATGCATGGGAAAAGATTAGGTGTATATATACACCAACAGTCTTCATCTCTGAGTAGTGATATTATAAGTGATTTTTATTTTATTTTTTTGTTTTTTTCCCCTTAAATTGTCTGAAATAAATTGTATATGTTGTAGCTAGGAGGAATAAATACTATTAAGAATAATCAACCGGCAAAATAGTAATTTTTTATTAGCTATATTTGCATTATTAATACCTGTATAGGATACATTTTATACATACGTATATGATAAAATACATTTTATGGAATTTTATATCTTGCATTTTCATCACCTAATACACAATCAGTTTCCCTTTTCCCTAAGTATTTTTCAAAAGCAGTTAGAAAAATAGCCGTATAATAGTTTTTTGATGAACAATTTCTCTGTTGCTGGACATCTAGGTTATTTTTAAAATTTCACCATCTTAAGTAATGCCATGCTACACACATTTCTTTGTAAATCTTGGCATATTTGATTTTTTTCTTGGTATATATTCTTTGAAATGGAATTACTGGGCTAGATAATAGGAACATTTTCAAAGTTCTAGATATTAAACAGTTTTAATTTCAGTGATCCTTTGAGAGCCTTAACTTTAAGGACTGAGCCACATTATTACCTGGGTGTATAACCTTTTTGTTCGACACATTTGTTATTTCTTTTTTTTTTTTTTTTGAGACGGAGTCTCGCTGTGTCACCCAGGCTGTAGTGCAGTGGCGCGATCTCCGCTCACTGCAAGCTCCGCCTCCCAGCTTCACGCCATTCTCCTGCCTCAGCCTCCCGAGTAGCTGGGGCTACAGGCGCCCGCCACCACGCCCAGCTAATTTTTTTTTATTTTTAGAGGCGGGGTTTCACCATTTTAGCCAGGATGGTCTCGATCTCCTGACCTCGTGATCTGCCCGCCTTGGCCTCCCAAAGTGCTGGATTACAGGTGTGAGCTACTGCGCCCGGCCCACATTTGTTGTTTCTTACCAACAACAGCAGCAGCAGTAATTAAACACACATGGGTACACATACACAGCTATTCTCTCTAATCAAGACTTCCTCAGGCCATGCTCCCCTAAAAATTTAGGATACCTATTGTCTGTTTTCTTTGCGGAAAACCACTAACTATTCATAGTAGTTGCTCTCTTTCTGTGAATTCAACAGTGACAACTGGCTAAGAATGGCTTTGGTAGTCCTTTGTTTGGTTGGGTCACGTTATCCATGTATGTTATTACTCACCTATTATTCCATCATGAATAACCCTTGACATAACTCTGTAAGGCATTTATTGGAGTTTCGTTTGTCTAGAGTATGGTACCACTTCCTTGCTGTTTATTCTTCTCCCTGTTTTTCCATATCTCACTACTCAAACTGTCCACAGTCTTTCCCTTTTGAGCCAAGCCATGTCTATCTCTTCCTTTTCTGACATCCAGTAGCATATGTAATCTCAATCAGGAATGTTACTTAGAGGCTTGTATCTTGTCTAAGCGGAGACTTGTGGTCCACAATTCGTGGCAGGGAGCATCATAATAGACTCTCTGTCTAAAGAAAACTCTTCTACACACATTGCAGAATGGGTTTTCTATTTGTACTCCTTACCAAATCCGTATGGCACCTCTAAAGTGCAGCTTTAACATCTAATATGATGTATCCAACATTATTTACCAGCAAAACAGCCTTCTCTCCCCTACACGTATTTTGTAGGTGCCTCTCCAGTCCATAGAATTCAGCAAAAGTAGAATTTCTGCCAGAAGGAAATAGGGGGAGTCTGCACTTGGAATTTATGAAATGAAATGATGACTTCTATTAATGTTGAGAATCTCATTTGCTGCTTTCGTATTCTCCACGGTTCCTAACTCAATTCTAAGGGCAAAACTCACCCTTAATAAATAGCTGTTCTCTGTTTGTCTATACTTCTGTTTCATCGTGTTATTATAATAATGTGTTTGGTGATAATTAAGTGTTGAAGAACATCTATTATAAAACACACTTATTAATCCTTAATGTCACAGACTGACCTTGTCATTATATCAGCTTTTTACTCACTGCAAGTAAATCTAGCATTCTTCATTTTTGAATTCATTCTAGTGGTGGAAACAATCATAACTATAAAATGTTTATATTTCTTGAATTTATTATACTGAATGTGCATGCATGCTTTGTAATAATTTTTTTATCTTGCTGCTTATAACATTTTCTTGTTTTTTTTCCACTGACTAGGGAAAGTTGGAGACTAATGAAATGCATGGCTATAAGATTCCTGGCCATAGTCCTCATATAAGCATCTCTGAATACAGCGTGATAAGGAAAGGGAAAAATTAACAAATTTAGTTACAAAATATTCTATGTTCCCTGTCCTTTTCACTTTAAAGCATAAATGGTGGTCAGAATAATGGTAATAACAATGGTTTCTGGATTCTAGTTTATTGCCAACATTTGTCAACTTTCACGTATTTCTTTCTTCTTTTATGGAAGGACAGTAATGATGTTCATCATTGGCAAGGCTAATTGTGAAATTTACTTAACCTTTCTTTTAGTAGACTTTGAATTTTTTCCTACCTCCTCTGAAATACTATACAGAAATTTGGGGAAGTATCTGTAATTCTGAGAAACAGAAGAAAAAAGGTGATTTTCAAGTGATTCTAGAATAGGCACTGTTAAGTTTAATATTTCTTTTCCTTCTGAACTTCCACTTTTGTATTTTAGCACCTTTGATTTTATGAGGAGGGCTTTTCAGCTATTGTAAAACTAGCTTATTTTGCTAATGTCTTCCTAGTCAAATTGGAAACATGTAATAGGCTTAGTAGCCCAGAGAAGGTAAGAAAGGTAGAAGTTTGTGGGTTGATGTCCTTTTTGGAGGCAAAGAAAGGAATGCTAGTTATTTTATCCTTGGTCAAGTTGGTAACAAAACCAGGCGTTCCTTTGTTTAGCCTATAGACAGAGCACTTTCTGCTTAAGCCTCTGCTGGCAGTTGACTGCTCTTTCAAAATAGGAATTACTTTCTACTTTACCTCAAAACAGAGGTAAAGTGGAGACTAGTAATTGCATTGAAAAAATTATGTTTAAAATATGTTGCTTGTGAAATAAATAGTGATTGGAGAAAATAAGCTAGCCTACAAGGAATGGCGAGTGTGATGAGTAAGAGCATGCATGCACTCTGGGAGCAGACTTCTTATATTCAAAATTTGATTCTGATAAGAGAATACTATTAACAACTCTATGTCGACACATTTGTTAGGTGAAATGGACCAATTCCTTAAAAGACACAATTTGCCAGAACTCACATGAGAGGAAATAATTTAAACAAGCCTATGTCTGTTAAAGAAATTGAATTAATAATTAACTCTGTTTAATTTTATGTGTAAACTTGAGTGGGCTGTGGGTACCTAGATTAAACATTTTTTTCTGAGTGTGTCTGTGGGGTCTTTCTAGCTGAGATTAGCATTTGAGTAGTTGGACTAAGTAAAGTAGATTGCCCTCCCCAGTGTGAGTAGACATCGTCTAGTCAGTTGAGAGCCTGAATAGAACAAAAAATGAAAGAAGGAGGAATTCACCTTTTTTTCTTGCCTTACTGTCTGAGTTGACAAGTCTCATCTCATCTTCTGCCCTTGGACAAGGATTTGCATAGTCAGGTCCACTGCTTCTTAGACCCTCAGATTTGGACTGAGTTACACCCAGGCTTTCCTGGGACTCCTGCTTGTAGATGGAAAATCATGGGACTTCTCAGCCTCTCCAATCTAGTGAGCCAATTCCTCTTAATAAACCACCCCCTGCCCCACAACACACTCACAGAGGCATACCTTGTTTTATTGTGCTTCAGTGTATTATGCTTCACAGATATTACATTTTTCACACATTGAAGGTTTAAGGCAACCCTGCATCTAGTGAGTCTATCAGCACTGTTTTCCCAACAACATATGCTCACTTTGTGTTTCTTTGTCACACTTTGGTAATTTTCACAATATCTCAAACTTTCTCATTATTCTCTGTCTATTATGATGATCTGTGGTCAGTGATCTCTTTTTTCTTAACTCTGCAGCTTTGTAGCAATTAGCAATCTTTGATATTACTGTTGTAATTGTTTCGGGGTGCCATAAACAGCCATATAAGATGGCAAACTTAGCAAATGCTGTGTGTGTTCCGACTGCTCCACTGATCAGCTGTTTGCCTGTCTTTCTCCCCTCTGTCCTGCCTGTTCCCTGAGACAAAACAATATTGAAATTAGGCCAGTTGATAACCCTGTAATAGCCTCAAAGTATTCAAGTGAAAGGGAAGAGCTACACATCTCTTGCTTTAAATCAAAAGCTAGACATGATTAAGCTTAGTGAGGAAGGCATGTTGAAAGCCTAGATAGGCCAAAAGCTAAGCTTCTTGGTGTTAAACACTCAAGTTGTGAATGAAAAGGAAAAGTTTTTGAAGGAGATTAGAAGTGATACTCCAGTGAACACACAACTTATAAGAGAGTGAAACAGCCTTATGGCTGATATGGAGAAAGTTTTGATGGTCTGGATAAAAGATAAAACCGGCCACAACATTTCTGTAAGCCAAAACCTAATCTAGAGCAGTGCCCTAATTTTTTTCAATTCTGTGAAGACAGAGAGGCAAGGAAGGCACAGAAAAATGTTTGAAGCTAGCAGAGGTTGGTTCATGAGGTTTCAGGAAGGAAGTTGTCTTCATAACATGAAAGTACAAGATAAAGCAGCAAGTGCTGATTTAGAAGCTGCAGCAAGTTATGCAGAAGTTCTAGCTAAGATCATTGATGAAGGTACATATACTAAACAACAGATTTTCAATGGAGATGAAAAACAGCCTTCTGTTTGAAGAAAATGCCATCTAGGACTTTCATAGCTAGAGAGAAGTCAATGACTGGATCCAAAGGTTCAAAGGACAGGCTGACTCTCCTGTTAGGAGCTAATGCAGCTGGTGACTTTAAGTGGAAACCAGCACCCATTTACCATCCTGAAAATCCTTGAGCCCTTAAGAATTACACTAAAGCTCCTCTACCTGTGCTTTGTAAATGGAATAACAAAGCCTGGGTGATAGCACATCTGTTTATAGCAGGGTTTACTGAAAATTTTAAGCCACCTGTCGAGACCTACTGCTTGGAAAAAAAAAGATTCTTTTCGAAATATTAATGCTCATTGACAATGCATTTGGCCAGCCAAGAGTGCTGATGGAGCTGTACAAGGAGATTAATGTTGTTTTCATGACAGCTAATGAAACTGGATCCTCATCTCTCACCTTATAGAAAAATCAACTCAAGATTGTTCAAAGACTTTAATACCTGAAACCATAAAAATTATAGATGATAACCCTCACAGCTTAGCTCCCACCTGTGAGTAAGAACACATGATATTTGGTTTTCCATTACTGAGTTACTTCACTTAGAATAATGGTCTCCGGTTCCATCTGGGTTGCTGTGAATGCTGTTATTTCATTCCTTTATATGGCTGAGTAGTATTCCATGGTGTGTGTGTGTATGTGTGTGTGTGTGTGTGTGTGTGTGTGTGTGTGTATGTACATATACATACATACATACCACAATTTCTTTATCCACTCATTGATTGATGGGCATTTGGGCTGGTTCCATACTTTTGCAATTGCAAATTGTGCTGCTATAAACATGCATGTGAAAGTATCTTTTTCATATAATGACATTTTTTCCTCTGGGTAGATACCCAGTAGTGGGATTGCTGGATCAAATGGTAGTTCTACTTTTACTAGTAGTTCTTTAGGGAATCTCCACACTGTTTTCCATAGTGGTTGTACTAGTTTACATTCCCAGCAGGAGTGTAAAATTGTTCCCTTTCTACCTCATCCATGCCAATATCTATTTTTTTTATTATGGCCATTCTTGCAGGAGTAAGGTGGTATCGCATTGTGGTTTTGAAGTGATTTCACCATTTGATAGCATTTACCCACATTTATTCATTCTGTGGTCTATCAATCAAGGAATAACTTCAACTATCAAGTCTTCCTATTTAAGAAATACATTTCATAAGTATTGAAGGAAATTAAAAATGCTACTCCAGTGAACACACAACTTATCCTTTTCATTCACAATTTGGCTGTTTGATGCATTTTGTCACTGCCATAGAGAGTGATTCCTCTGATGGATCAGGGCAAAGTCCACTGAAAATCTTCTGGAAAGGATTTACAATTCCAGATGCCATTAAGAACATTTTTGTCATAGGAGGAAGTCAAAATATTAGCATTAACAGAAATTTGTAAGAAGTTGATTCCAACCCTTGTGCATGACCTTGAGGGGTTCAAGGAAGTCACTGCAGATGTGTTGGAAATAGCAAAATAACTAGACTTGGAAATTTATATGGAACCCCCCAAAAAAGCCTTCATAGCCAAACAAGGCTAAGTAAAAAGAACAAATCTGGAGGCTTCACATTACTTGACTTCAAACTACACTATAAGGCCATAGTCACCAAAACAGCATGGTCCTGGCATAAAAATAGGCACATGGACCAATGAAACAGAATAGAGAACCCAGAAATAAAGCCAAATACTTACAACCACCTGATCTTCAACAAAGCAAAGAAAAAGATAAAGTAAGTGGGGAAAGGACACCCTATTTAACAAAGGTGCTGGGATAATTGGCAAGGTACATGTAATAGAAGAATGAAATGGAATCATCTCTCACCTTATACAAAAATCAACTCAAGATGTATCAAGTTCTTAAATCTAAGACCTGAAACCATAAAAATTCTAGAAGATAACATTGGAATAACCTTTCTAGACGTTGGCTTAGGGAAGGACCTCATGACCAAGAACCCAAAAGCAACTGCAACAAAAACAATGATAAATAGATGGGACTTAATTAAACTAAAAAGCTTCTGCACAGCAAAAGAAACCATCAGCGGAGTAAACTGACAACCCACAGAGTGGGAAAAAATCTTCACAGTCTGTACATCTGACAAAGGACTAATATCCAGAATCTGCAAGGAACTCAAACAAATTAGCAAGAAAAAAACAAACTATCCAACCAAAAAGTGGGCTAAGGCCATGGGACAATTTGCCAAAGAAGACATACAAGTGGCCAACACACATATGAAAAAATGCTCAACATCACTAATGATTGGGGAAATACAAATCAATACCACAATGCGATACCATGTTACTTCTGCAAGAATGGCCATAATAAAAAAAATCAAAAAATAATAGATGTTGGCATGGATGAGGTAGAAAGGGAACAATTTTACACCTCTGGTGGGAATGTAAACTAGTACAACCACTATGGAAAACAGTGTGGAGATTCCTTAAATAACTATTAATAAAAGTAGAACTACCATTTGATCCAGCAATCCTACTGCTGGGTCTCTACCCAGAGGAAAAGAAGTCATTATACAAAAAGATACTTTCACATGTGTGTTTATAGCAGCACAATTTGTAATTGCAAATATATGGAACCAGCCCAAATGTCCATCAATCAACGAGTGGATAAAGAAATTGTGGTATATATTCATGTGTACCATGAAATAATAGCCATAAAAAGCGTTGAAATCATGGTATTTACAGCAACCTGGATGGAGCTGGAGACCATTATTCTGAGTGAAGTAACTCAGGAATAGAAAAACATCATGTGTTCTCACTCACAGGCGGGAGCTAAGCTGTGAGGGTTCAAAGGTATAAAAATAATACAATGGACTTTGGGAAAGTGGGGAAAGGTTGGAAGGGGGATGCGGGATAAAAGACTACATACTGGATACAGTGTATACTGCTCAGGTGATGGGTGCACCAAAATCTCACAAATCACCACTAAAGCACTTATCCATGTAACCAAACACCACCTGTTCCCCAAAAACCTATGGAAATAAAAAAAAGTTAAAAAATAATTTTAAGATCTCAGGAAAAATAACAACATAAAAACAGGAGTTTTCCAAATAAAGTGATTTCACTATTTGATCAGTGCATTCAAAACTTTATTAATATAATTCCTTTAAGTGCTTGTGTCTTATGGGTCATATTTCAGTTTTAAGATCTAATTTTTACTTCTCATTTTTGTGTATCTACAAGTTTTCTGAAAAAATCATGGGAAATTCCAGTAATATTTATACCCTAGTTTGACAAATGCTCAATCATCTTTATCTTAGAAGCTTATTCTATCTTAAAAAAATGGAGCCTGAAGATGTGATTGAATTGTTGCAATCTCATGATAAAACTTTAACAGATAAGAAGTTGCTTCTTCTGGATGAGCAAAGAAAATGGTTTCTTGAGATGGAATCTACTCCTGGTGAAGATGTGAACAATGTTGAACTGACAACAAAGGATTTAGAATATCATATCAACTTAGATGATAATAGCAGGATTTGAGAGGATTGACTCCAATTTTGAAAGAGTTTCTGCTGTAGGTAAATGCTATCAAACAGCATTGCCTGCTACAGAGAAATCTTTCATGAAAGGAGTGTCAAAGTAGCAAACTTCACTGTTGCCATATTACCACAGCCACACAAGCTGTCAGTAACCATTAACCTGATCATTCAGCAGCCATCAACATTGAGGCAAGACCTTCTATTAGCAAAAAGATGATGACTCACTGAAGGCTCAGATGATCGTTAGCATTTTTAGCCATGAAGTGTTTTTTACTTTAAGATATGTACTGTTTTTATATAATGCTACTGCATACTTAATAGACTACAGTATAGTGTAAATACAACTTATATGCACTGGGAAACCAAAAAATATGTATGACTTGCTTTATTGAGATTTTTACCTTATTTTGGTGGTCTGGAAGCAAATCTCTAATATCTCTGAGGTATGTCTGTATGTATACAGTCAGTCCTCCATATTTGTGGGTTATGCAGCCATGGATTCAACCAACCACAGATTGAAAATATTTTGGGAAAAAATTTTAAAAAAACACAATGATAAAACATACAAATAGAAACAATACTATATTTACATAGCATTTACGTTGTGTTAGGTATTGTATGTAATCTAGAGATGATTTAAGGTATTTGAGAGAATATTTGTAGGTTACATGCAAATGCTGTACCATCTTATATAAGAGACTTAAGCATTTGGGGATTTTGGTGTCTGGGGGGTGTCCTGGAACCAATCCCAGTCGATACTGATGGGTTGAACTAATATGGGTGAAGAACTTAGAATGGTTCCTAACACATAGTAAATAACCAATAAAGGGATAGATATTATTATTAGTCTATTATTATTTTTAAAAGAAATATCACTTGAAGCTTTCTTGAAGTGATGTTTTGTGAAAAAGAATCTGAAAAATAATATTACCACATTTTGTAGGATAGAAAAATCAAATGCTTATGTGTGTGTGTAGTTGTATCTGTGTGATGGAGAATTAGAAAATGTTAAGATACAGTGGCCAACTGGGGAGTACCCTGTCTATAAGTTTCAATTTAGATTAAAAGCCAAAATACTATGATCACCAAACCATACTCATTTGTCAGCCAGCTTTGGTCTATGAATCACCAGTTGCAGTCCCTGATATAAGGTATACATGCATCAAGCATAGCTTAGTTCTATAAAAAGACTGAGTATTTAAAGCTGTGCTATCTGTCATGCTAGCCATTAGCCCCATGTGGACATCTAAATTAAAATTCAGTTCCTCAGTCACATTAGGTACAATTCAGATGCTGAATAGCCACATGTGGCTGCTACTATGTTGGGTGGTGCAGATACAGGACATTTTCATCATTACAGAAAGTTCTATTGGATAGAGCTGACCTAATGGCTTGTAAATATATTCATTCATTACTGTCTACCAACTTACCCATTCCTTGGTGAGAAATCACCAAGCCAGAGCCAGCAGACCTGTAATACACAGTACTGTAAGACTGGTCTTATGCTACTTAGCTGTTAATCTGCTCCCAAGCAGCAGCTTACAAGTTTGTTTTTGAGGTTCCCCCAACCCCATCAAAGCTCTTGGTTTGGTGACTGTAGGCCTCTGGCATTAGTTGATTGTCCAGGTTGAGGAGAAAATTCCATAGGGGAACAGAGTAATTCATTTTCCCACATGACCTTCTGTCTTGACTTCTAACACCATACTTTTAGTTTTGCCTATTATTAACTTGATATAAATGGAATCATTTATACATTATTATAATGTATTATTATAATGTATCTATTATATAGATACATTATTAATAGCTTTCCAGGCAAGATGGGGAAAATTGAGTTGGGGTATATATATGTTTGCGTGTGTGTATTTTTTTCACCCACTAGGAGAAATACATCAGTGAGAAACCTTAACCTTGAATATTCTCTATAAAATATATAAAAGGCATATTACCTTAGGAATTTTTTACTGTGTCATAATACTGTTGTATCTCGTCGTGGCAATCAACATTTGCTATCACTAGAATAATGCTTTATTGTTTATGATAGGAAATAACAAAATTTTAACCTTAATGGTGATTTGAAGAATTTTTACTCTGTTAGAACTTAACCGGAGAAAGCTTGAGCTGGGAGGAGGTGATATAACGGATCAGATCCCTTAGGGCTATTCAGGTTAGTGGATAGGATTGTTTCTCTTTTGCCATTCATGATGGAGCCTGCATGTTACTCCTTAAACAGAGAAAGTATAGAGTGAGTGTGTATGTGCTGTGGTTTCTTTAGAAAGAGTGGTAGCATCAAGTATTATATGGTTAATGGGAAGTAAAAATTTATACTTCCATTCCTGACTCAATAAATATTAGGGATAATTCTTTATATTTTCCCTCTTTATTGAGGGTTTGCATTGGTAATTGTTCCTTCCCCTCTCCAGCAGAACCTAATTTATTCTAGGCCTTGGGCTTGAGGACTAAGGCCAATTTTCATTGGTAAATTAATTTCAAACATTACCCTCCCATTAGAGTAAATTCATCACTTTTCCCTAAGGGAAGGTATGCAGAGGCTTTTTGATCTACCTGGAACAGCTGTTTGCTTAATCCTTTCTCCTGGGGCTGTGTGTTACAGTAGAAAGAAAGTGAACATCATGAGACTTGAATTTTAGTCTTGGCTTTGATAAATTTTTTGGATTACTTTATGCAAGCTTTGGATTACTTTATTACTCCGTTCCTTATTTTGTGTGTAAAATGAAGGTAACAGCAGCAATGCCCACCTAATTTGCAAGAATGTTGAGAATAATACATGCAAAAGTGAAACTGCTTAGAGCCCTCAAAGGAAAGATAACAGATCTCAGGTTGAGGTTTCATCACATTTCAGCTATGCATGCTTCATTGTTCAAGCCTCTTAGATGTTAACAACTATGGAGTGTTTAGATTTCAGGAGAATCTTATTCTTGAAGTGGTGTTTGTGTGGTTTTTGTGTCTGTATATGTTCATGTGTTGTATTTCTTTTCAATAATGTGAGTGGTCAGACTACCTATAGGGTTTTTTAAGCTTCTGGGCAACTCTGAGGCAGAGTATAACTTTTTTTTTTTTTTTTTTTTCCTCAGGTGGCTAAAGCAATCCTAGTGAGACAATGGCATGAGTAATAGTAACAGAGGAGTTAAGCAGTTGTGATTTTCTGCTCCAATAATAGAATGGTAAAAATCTTTGTTCTTTGTTTTGGTTTCTTGGGACAGATGGTCTTGGTGGCTGTTGACATTTTCTGTGGACTCTCTGGTGCCTCTTGTGCCCTTTGTCCTCTATGCTACCCTGGTTGAACCAGGGCCGAAGAGTATCCATTTTCCTATCAGTTATTTTATGAAGTTTATCAGGATGTCTTTGCCTTCGTTATCATTTTATATAAAAAAATTGTGCCTTTAAATGTAATGTTTGCTTGCTTTTTTTTTTTTTTTTTGAGACGGAGTCTCGCTCTGTCGCCCAGGCTGGAGGGCAGTGGCGCGATCTCGGCTCACTGCAAGCTCCGCCTCCTGGGTTCACGCCATTCTCCTGCCTGAGCCTCCCGAGTAGCTGGGACTACAGGCGCCCACCACCATGCCCGGCTATTTTTTTTTATTTTTTATTTTTAGTAGAAACGGGGTCTCACCGTTTTAGCCAGGATGGTCTCTATCTCCTGACCTCGTGATCTGCCTGCCTTGGCCTCCCAAAGTGCTGGGATTACAGGCGTGAGCCATCACGCCCGGCCTAATGTTTGCTTTTTAAGGTTCTTACAATTTTCTCGTGAGGAACCAGGGATAAATTCCCTGCGTTTGAGCCATAGAACAGGACAACAAATGGCTGTATTTACTATGACATCCAACACTAATCCTCCTCATTGACTATTACCACCCTGTTTACCAGACCCAAACTTTAGCATGTAGACCTTTTCCCCACTTAACTTGAGTTTCTGGTCAAGTTAAGGATTCTGTAATCTCCCATTTTGTGGGAACTTCATTTCTTGTGTTTTGGGGCTGAGCATGCTGCTTTCGTATCCACTTCTTTCAGAAGTCTCAAGTTTTCATGTAGACACAAGTCCCTGAGACCTGCCGTGCCCCAGCAGATTTCCTGCAGATAAGTACTCCTCTGCCTTTTCCTCCCACAACCGTTGAATTCTTATAGTAATTTCTGAGCGCAACAGTGGCAATATCTTATTTTCAATACAAAATACATTTATTATCTGATATGTCCAAGAATCTGTGTTGCAAGAAAGACACAGTGCGTTTCAGCTCTTTGGTAACATTCCTTACATTTTACATTTTGCCATTTGCAAAGCACTTTCACAGCATGTTTCTGTGTATATATTTAACATGTGTGTATATATACACATACACGGGATAGAATTGCTGGTTCATAGAATTTGCGTATGTTTAGAAAATTGCCAAACCAGTCAACAATAGAATGGATGATTAAGTTATGGTGTATTCCTGAATCCAAGTATACTGCATAGTAATAGAAATAAATGAACTATAGCTATATTTAATAATCTGTATAAACCTTACCAACAAAAGTTGGAGCAGAAGAAGCCAAACACACACAAAATATACAGTATCATTCTATTTATATCAAGTTAACAATAGGCAAAACTAAAAGTGTGGTGTTAGAAGTCAAGATAGAAGTTACCTTGAATGGGGGAGGGTAGTGACTAAAAAGGGGCACAAAGAAGGCTTGTTTAGGAATCTGGTAATGTTCTGTTTCTGGTTTTACACCATGTGCTGGTTACAAAGGTGTGTTCTTTATCAGAAATCATTGAGAAGTATGCTTGAGGTGTGTGTTTTTTATGTCCACATACTTCAAAACGCTCACATGAAAATGTGAATTTATAGCCAGCTTTATCTTATTTATAACAAGTATTGGATTTATTTACTGTTGTAAATAAATTCTTTCTTATTTATCCATCAATTTAAAGAACATTTATTTAGTTTTACTTCTGGATTATAACAAAATCATTTCTTGTTGTCAGTCTTACTTACATAATCCACACCTCAACAGCCACTTTCTTCATGAAACTTTATAATTACTGCTCTTTTGTTGATATCTAACCTGGATAACTGATTTCATCCCTAAATCCTCAGATTGTGCACGTATATGTTTGTTGGATGCTTCTATGTTTGTTAATTAGTTGCAAGCCATTTTGCACCTAGTCATATCGTTGTCACAAAACCACAGACAACTTTGAAGAGTAATGAATTTTCTGAAGGATTAAATTGGAATGTTGTGAGGCTCCCTCTCTAGTTCTTAGGGGGCTGGAGGATAGGCGTTGGGTTCAGTATATCAGAGGGTATGCACTGTGCGAAGGAAAGTTGTAGTTGATGTCGAGGACTGCTGCTGCTTCTGGTCTCAACTGGAAGTTGTTTTAGGAGGAGAGAAAAGAGAATAATTTTAAAAATTATTTGGAAGGAAATTACTAATATTGTTTAAGCAGTTGTAGTACCTTAAATTCTTAACAATTTTCTCAACCCTTTAGCTAAGAAGTTGGTGGAAGCAACTCCTGACCTCATGATCCGCCCGCCTTGGCCTCCCAAAGTGCTGGGATTACAGGCGTGAGCCACTGCGCCCGGCCATGTGCATTTGTTAAGCAGTTAAAAACGTTAAGCCAAAATAAAGAAACAGTGATAGCAGAGTAGGGAGCGTTGTGCCCAAAGAGTGACTGTACTCTTATTGTTTTACCTTGTCATAAAAATGCTTGTTAGTGGTGACCCTTTCTAGATTTTCTGGTTTTAAACTCAGGAGAATGACTAATGGGGTAAGAAGTGCTTTTCACCAGCAGTATGACATACATTGGACACAAAGTCATAATCCTATAACATGACTACTATGTCAGTCTTATTCAGGAATAGTAAGGGAGGTGAAAGCCCATTCTTCAGGACTAAGCATTGAGAAATCTGTTTGTTGGGCCTCAAAAGATTTCTTTCTTTCCTCCTCTTCTTCTTCTTTTTTTTTTTTAAGTAAAATAGGCTCATTTTAGAGATTAAATCTGTTGTAAAGTGCTATAAATAGGTTGCAAGTATAAGTGCTATAGAAAAATTACAATAATACTATGCTAGCCTAGTGTTTTAGTGGTTAGTCTTCCATAGCAATATGAAATTTCGGGGGGAAGTTGTGTGATTTTTTTAAAAAAACATTACTGAATTCATTTTTCCGGATTTATATATATATATATGTTTGTGTGTGTGTGTGTGTGTGTGCGTGTGTGTGTGTAGCCAATGGTTAATAATGTACGTATATTTTTTGTCTTCCCATCTGTTTCTTGCTACTGCAGTTCTGTGGTTGCTATGGAGAAGGTTATGATAAGGAAAAGCACAATAAGGTTAAAAGTTCTTCTCTGTATCTGGGACAGAAATAACAGTCTCCTACCACACCATCCTTTTTTACGCCCTCTGCCCTCATGTGATGATCTTCAATACTGCAGTGCCTGTTGCTGACGGGAAGATGGTTTGATGCTATATTTAAAAAAATTACACAGAGGAGCTAATTCTCTTCTTTTTTGCTTCTTTTAAGGTTGATGACTTTCATCATTTTAATCTAGGCACAGAACAGAAGGAGACAATAAGCATATTAGGATGAATTGTCAACCCAGGACATTTCTGGTTTGTGTGGGTGGTTTTTTCCTTTAATTTCATTTGTGTGTTTAAAATTTTATTTATTTTTTATTTGCTGATATGAGGTAAGAAAAGCTTAGAGAAAGGACCTGATGTGGAACAGTTGGGATTTAGTTAATCTGCTTAGAAATAACACTAATCTCTAGATCAGATGCTGTCAACAATACAGTGCCTTCTATCCCCATTATCTTCCTCTATTCTTTCCTTGCTTATTCTTCCGGCACTCTGTGGTTTCATTTAGTCTTATCTTTTCATTTCCTACCAATTTTTGTTTTTTAACATTTCTTTCCTACTTCTCATTTACATTTCATTTTTGAATTTCACCACGGCTTCATCATGGGAAGTTTTTTGACTACTCTGAGGTGACAGGGTGGAAAGCATAGATATGTAATAACTCATGCCAAAATAAGCTTCTTCCTAATATATGCTTAAGAGTAACTTTGTATTACTTTTAATAATCACAGTTGTAGGTCTCTGTCAAAATAAGAGTATGACCACAATTTTCTTGAGAAGTTTGATGCTACTGGGACGATTATATGACTAGGTGAATACATGCTATTTTCTTTCCTCTGTTTTCTGGTTTTTTTTCCCTGCTTATTTGTATGTTAGGTTATTTTTTGAGATCAAATTCAATTGCTATTTATTAAAAACCTCCTTTGTGCAAGGCATTTAATGTATTTTTCTTCAAAGTGATTTTGTGAGGCAGATATTTTTATGCCTTTTCTTAAAGATGTCAAAAAACTAAAGCCAACAAGTTAAAATAATGTGCCCCAGGCTACACAATTAGTCAGTAGCTGTACCTGGATTCTATGTCCTGTGCTCTTTTCAGCATTCCTCAGAGGCTTTAAGTAGGAGTTAGGAAAGGCTCTGGAGTCACACTAGACATTGTTTTGAATCCCAGTTCCATCTCTGGGTCTCAGTTTCCTCATCTGTAAAATACGATTAATAATCATATCACCTCCAAGTCTTGTTTGTTACTAAGCTTTATATAAACCGCCTAAAACAATACTTGGCACATAAGTTCTTGATGAATAGCATCAAGTACATTGAACATCAAATATATTGAACATTTACTGTATTATGGTCTCTGTGTGCTGAGACCCGAGCATATAGGTTCTACTTAGAATCAAATTGAGAAAGGCCTCTATTAAGAGAATTTAAAGTGTCGTGACTATATCAAGGAAGTACAGGGTGTCATGAGGGCATTTAAAAAGGAAGGGTAGTCTGTTCTGGAGGTCAGCAGAATTTTGAAATCTGAAGGATGGGTAGAAATGAGAGGGATCGTGTGTGTGTGTGTGTGTGTGTGTGTGTGTGTGTGTGTGTGTGTGTGTGTATTTCAAGCTAAGGCAATAGACCACATAAATCTTAGATGGGAGAGTGCAGTGTGTTGCTGAACCTGAGAAAAGCCCACTGTGGAAGAAAGTACTGTAAGACTGGCTGGAAGAACAGGCAAAGGTCAGATTAAGCAGAGCCTTGAAGGTCATAGAAAGTAAACCTAGATACATTGTATTAGAACCTAATGATGATGCCATATTACCTCTATCTCTATTCCTAGACTTCAAGAGAACTTCTAAAAGGATAACCAAACTCTTTACTTCCACATTTAAAATATTTGTATGTTAAAAACTGAAGAATGCTTTAAACTAGTTAGAAGTTAAATTAGTACTAACACAAACATATCTAAAAATCAAGAAAAATTTTAAAAATAGTGTTTAATTTGGAAAGAAGCAGTGTTACTGGTGAACAAGAATAAAATATTTCAGTTGAGCCATTTTTAAAAAGAATTTAATTGGTTTCAGAATGTAACATCCTTCCTGATGGTTTCAGATGGCTTTATTTGTTCATAAATAACTCTACTTGTTGATTTAGCCACTTTTGTCATATGAATGCTTCATTAAACAAATGGAGCTTGCTCATTATAGCCAAGTAGAGCTATATTCAACCAAGTGGTGAAGTTGAGAGTACATGGTTGTATTTAACAGCAAAGGCCCTTTATCTGGCCTCTTGCCATCTGGAAACTCTAGATAGCATTTCCCAATATAAATCTCAATGTAGTAACCAGACTGATAAGGACATGCAACTATAGCATCACAATGTCAGAGAGTGTTCTGTATACAGGAAAGAAAAATACATTCTTCTCACCCTATTCATTATCCAAGTTAAAAGCCTAGATTTTCAGAAGTCCTTTAGAAAGCTAAGCAGCAAGAAATTTTATTTTCTCTGAAAAAGGCCAGTCACATGGAAGTTCAGATTTGGCTAGAGGGTTATCATTGTAATAAAAGACAATCCTGAAATAGCGAAAAAATAGCCCCTAGATTCTGTCAGTTTTCTCTGCCCATTCCCTGCCTTGTCTTTAAACTATGATTTCTGAAATTTTTGAAAGCACAGAGATCTTTTTTAAAGTCCTTATATAATGCTTAGGGCATTAAGATTTATTTTTAAACTTTACTCATCATTTCTAGGCTCCACAAAGTTTTGTAAGAAATGTCTATCTGTTTTTTAAAATGTCAAGTTGAATTCAAATCTGAGACCCCTTTTTAAAAAAATCATTGTGATAATTATCAATTATTGAGGCTCCCCTCTATATGCTGCAGTCTGTCTTACAGAGCCACAATGCTGGGAGGACCCCTCTGGTCTTCTGTGGAGTAACTGCTTTTTGTTCGAGCCCCTTGTTCAAGCCCGCAGGATCCTTTGTGTTGCTCTGCAGCTTCTGTGCCTTGTAGGACACATGGAATGTTGTGATGACCAGAGCTCCAGTCTCCAGGACAGCCATACTCTTTGAGGCACCATTATTTCCTTTGTCCTCTGAGCAAAGGAGAGCATGCATCTCCTCTTGTCAAGGAACTTGGCCAACTTCCATTCCCCTCCCAGTAGTATTTTTTCTCCTTTATCAGGCTCAAAGGCAGCCCCTCCTACCTCCTCTGCCCCACTGTAGCTTCCTCAGTGAGCATAGGCTTCACAAGAGACAGGAAGCCTGTTGGTCTTCAGTAGTTTCATCTTTTCACCCTGCAAAGCCGACAAGATAAAGGAATACACAGACAACTTGACAAAGATAGGCTTAGAAGAGGTAGGAGAGAAGAAGGAGAAAGACATAATTGTTATTGTTTTCATTTGTTGCTTGCTGTAGTCAGCATAGTCGTATTCATGGCTGACAAATCATATTTTGAATAGTATTTCTATTTGGAGGAATTCCCACATTATGAGTCTACCTCCCCAGTGTTAGAAATGAGAACTTAAATTTCTGGCCTCTTGTGTAGCTTGGACTTCGGCCCTTCAGTCAGATTCACATAGAGAGTCTCTGGCCCTGACTTGAAAGAAGAAACTTGAAAGAAGAAACGTGACAGAACAAGTTCTATGTTGAGCTTCTATTGCTAGCACAGATAGCAGCATAAGAGTATGGCTTTGCAGGATGGTAGTGTTGTAGGGTTAAGTGCCTGATATAGCACTGGGACATCATTCGTAGTTGCAGTAAAGTTTTGGCATTTGGGGTTTGGTGACAGGGACAGTTGCAGCAATTTTCTTAAGCCAGTTTTACAGTATAGTTATGGATGTTTTCCTGGAAGATTAGCCCTTAATTTGTTTTTCAAGCCATTTCCATGATTCTGTGAGCTTCCCAACATACCTTTTTCTAAAAAAACATTTTTTTAAAGTATAACTTACATACAATAAAATCCCTCTGTCTAGGTATATAGTTTGCTATGTTTTGACAAATGTCTCGTCTTGTGTTCACTACCATAACCGTGATGTACACTATTTCTGTAACTCCAAGGACTTCCCTTATGCCCTATGTAGTATTCTCTGCCAAACTTTAACCCTCAGTCCCAGCTCCAGCATCTGGCAACTGCTGCTTTGTTTTCTGCCTGTATAGTTTTGCTTTCTCCGTAGATTTTTTTTTAATGGATACATGCAGTATATAGCCATTTGTTTCTGGATTATTTCACTTAGCACAATAGCTTTAACATTTAGTCATTTTGCATATATCAGAAGTTTGAGGTTTTTTTTGTTCATAAGTAATATTTCATTAAATGGCTGTGTCACAATTGTTTTATCCATTTGCAAGTTGATGGGCATTTGAGTTGTGTCTGGTATTTTGGCTATTACAAATAAAGATGCAGTGAACATTTGCATATAGGTTTTTCTGTAGATCTGTATCTTTACTTGTCTTGCATAAATATCTAGAATTGGAATTGCTAGATTGTATAGTTAAGTGTACATTTAATTCTGTAATAAAATATGAAAATGTTTCCAAATGACTGTACTACATTTCATTTCCTTCAGAAATGTATGAGAGTTAGTTGTTCTACATTCTCGTCAACACTTAGCATTGTCGTGTTAATATAATATATTCTAGTTGATGTTTTGTATTATCTCAATGTGGTTTTAAGTTCCCTGTTGACTAATGAAGTGGAGCATCGTTTCAGGATGTTATTACTCATTTGTATACTTTCTATGCATAGTGAAGTGTCTGTTCAAATCTTTTGTGCATTTAAAAAATTGGACTGTTTGTTTTGTTGAATTTTAAGAGTTTTTAGATATTATAAATACAAGAACTTGTGTTTTGAAAATATTTTTTCCCAACCTATGGCTTGTATTTTTATTTTCTTAATAGTGTCTTTTGAAGACAAGAAACTTACCTTGTTTTATTATTGTTTTATTATCAAAACAATAATTTTGATGAGGTCTTACCCATTTTTAAGTGGTTAATGCATTTTGTATCCTATTCCAGAAGGCTTTTTCTAACCCAGAGTCATAGAGAATTTCTCCTGTGTTTTCTTCCAGAAGTTTTATAGTTTTATTGATATGTTTAAATTTTTTATCTATTTTGAGTTAATTTTTATATAAAGTATTAAATAAGGGTAGAGGTGTTTTTTTTTTTTTTTTTGGCATATGGAGATTATTTTTTCCCCCAGTGCAGTTTTTCAAAAAGAGTAAACTTTTCCCCCTGAATGGCTTTGACAACTTTGTTGGAAATCAATTGCCCATTTATGTATGAATCAATTTTTGGACTCTCTATATGTCCTTATTCCAATGCTACTTTATCTATATTACTTTATAACTTACTTTTTTTCTTGAAAATTATTCTATTCTAATATTCACTTTTGTACATACATTTCAGGAGCAATTTGTCTATACAAAACAGCTCACTGAAAATTTGATTTGGGTTCTATTAAATCTAAAGATAAATTTGGGTTGACTTGACCTCCTAACAGTATTGAGTCTTTTGACTAATGGTCACAGTTTGTCTCTCCAGGCAGTAAAGTCTTTAAATTTCTCTCAGGAAAATTTTGTAATTTTCATTGCACAGATCTTACAGATATTTTCTGAAGGTTATCCCTAAGTATTTCATGTTTTGGATGCTATTATAAGTGGTATCATTTTAAAATTTTAATTTCCAAATATTCATTGCTACTGTATAGAAAAATCGTTGCTATTTGTATATTAGCCTTGATTTCTGAAACCTTGCTAAACTCATTTATTAGAATTAGTTGGTTTTTTGTAGACTTGTAAGAATTTTTAATGTAGATGTGTTATCTGCAAATAAATACAGTTTTACTTTGAAATTTTCAATCTATATGTCTTTTAATTCTTATTCTTGCCTTATTGCAGTGACTACAATCTGCATGTTAAATAGAAGTGGCAAGAGCAGACATCTCTCCTTGTTCCTTACTGTAGGAGGAAAATCTTTTACCATTAAATTTGTTAGCTGTTTGAATTATTGGTACTGATAATATCTCTTTGTTCTTCTTTTAATGTCTGTAGGATCTGTAATTATGTCTCTTCTTTCATATCTGAATTGATAATTTGTGACTTTTCTCTTTATTCTTTGTCAGTCTGGTTAGAGATTTATAAATTTTATTGACCTCAGATAACTAAATTTTGATTTTATTGATTTACCCTGTTGTTTTTCTGTCTTTATTGAATTCTACTCTGTCTTGATACTTTGCTTCTGTATGCCTGCATTTGATTTAATTTAAATTAATTTTTAAAAAGTTTCTTAAGGTGGAAACTTAGGTCATTGATTATAAACCTTTCTTCTTTTCTAATATGCACATTTAGATGCTGCTGTTACTTTTCTCTAAGTAATGCTTTGGTTGCTTCCCCATAAATTTTGATAAGTTGTGTTTTCATACTCACATAATTAAAAATATTTTCTAATCTTCCTTGTGATTTCTTCTTTGACCTGTGAATTATTTAGAAGTGATTTTTTTTTTTTTGAGACGGAGTCTTGCTCTGTCACCCAGGCTAGAGTGCAGTGGCACGATCTTGGCTCACTGCAACCTTTGCCTCCTGGGTTCAAGCAATTCTCCTACCTCAGCCTCCCAAGTAGCTGGGACTACAGGCATATGCCACCATACCCGGCTAATTTTTATATTTTTAGTAGAGATGGGGTTTCGCCATGTTGGCCAGGCTGGTCTTGAACTCCTGACCTCAGGTGATCCACCTGCCTTGGCGTCCCAAAGTGCTGGGATTACAGGCTTGAGCCACCACACCTGGCCCGAAGTGATTTAAAAAAAAAAATACATGATGGTTTTCTAGATTTCTTCCTATTGAGTTTAGTTTAACTCATGTTCTTTGTATAACTTTAATTATTTAAAAATTTCTGAAGTTCATTTTATAGTCCAGAATATGTTCTGCCTTATTGGATGTTCCATGTCTACTTTAAAATAATATATATTCTATGGTGTTAGGTAGAACATCCTAAAGTTTTCATTTATGTTAAGTTCATTGTTCAGGTCTTCTGTGTTTTTACTGTTTTTGTCTGTTCTATAAGTTAATGATTGAGACGTGTTGCAGTCACCAACCATAATTGCAGGTTTTTCACTTTTTCTCCTTTTAATTCTGTCAGTGTTTCCTTCTTGTACTTTGAAGCTCTGTTGTGAGGTGCATACACAGGACTGTTAGGTTCTTGATGAGTCAGCACGCCGTTTTATCATTATGTAATATCCCTCTCTATGCCTGTTTTAGTTATTTGACTCTTCTTTCTTCACATGCTACTGCTTTCCCAAACTCTTTGCTTTCCCAAACTATATTATCTTATAAGTTACCTCATAATTAGGTGTCCAGCCTCTCCTTGGTGAAATGCTGATTTCTGGTACAATCACTTGTAGCCAGGATGTAAATAAGATCCTATGTCATAAACCATAGTGACTCATGTTCAAGGAATTGCTTCTTTCTCCTTTCTCTGAAGTCAGTTTTGAGTGTGGTAGCAATCATAGTAGCATGTCCATCATAACACTGCAAAGCCTGGTTCTGCTTTTGTGCCTTGGTTCTTTATGGCTAATTATAATCACATTACTTGCTTAGTTTTAAATAAGGGGTTGCAAACATAAATGCCCACAGGAGTCAGACAGGTAACATGATGGAGTAAAGTGGGTTATATCGTGGAATAACAGGAAGTGGGTGGGGATCCTGGCAGTGTGGAAAGCTCCTGCTTTGTCTAAAGGGGCAGCACTAATCAATGGCCATGCGAAATGCAGGCCTGGTGTTACTAAATGCCCCCCAAAAGGGGATTCCTAAATGGAGTAGAATACGTAAGCTGATAGCCAGATATGAAGTCAGGAGGAAGTGATAATAGGAAACTTGCTGAAGAGAATTCTGATAAAGTTCACACCAAGTTTTTGGAGATACTGCTGAGTTAATGCTACCCACGTAATATATATGCCATGACATGTAGGAATCAAGTAAGCATGTATACACACACATATGTATATACACATATGCATATGTACACACACACACACACACACATTTTATATATATATATATGAGAGAGAGAGAGAGATATCTTTTGGAAAGTGACAAAGAGGAGTGATAATCTAAAGAGTGTGCATTAGTTCAGTATAAGGCATGCTCTTTGCCCTTGGGATGGTCTCTGAGCAATGTTTGTGGTTGAAGGGGAGAAGTCAATGAGAAAGCACTGAAATTATATCTAAAGGGAAACTGTAGTACCATAGAAATAGAATACAATTACATATTACAGCCAGACTATTACATGTTACATAGACTGTGTAATGAATGTTTAATGCTTCAGCCAGAAAATGAAGATATATAATTTTATGGTAGCTTGCCGTTGTACACCAACCATAAAATATATTGTGATATGGCATAAAATGAAGTAGAAGCTTGGCAGTGATCCTGTAAATTGATTAATGTAGATGACCAATATGTAATAGAGCCATCTATATTGATAAATTAGTCAGCTATTACTCTTCATTTCACTTAGCACTGAGTAGATGGCCAAAATATAATTGAATTTCAGCTAACACAAACTTTTTTTTTTAGTTGAGATGGCAGTTTGTAAAAAGATTATATGGTAAGTATAAAGGTAGATTATTTCATCTAATTAAAATTTGGTTAAAATATGAAGGGAGAATGATTTGTTTAAAAAACTACTACAACACTAGAGAATTGTGGTATTCCTTAGTTTCCTTCAGAAAACAAGGAGGATAGTGTACAATTTTTATTTTTTGAACTCATGTCAGTCTGATAAACTATAAAACTTAATTTGATAGGTTATATAAATTTGTATTACATGTATTTATGTGAGAAATACTTGTGAGATCATATGGGATGATATAAACTAATAAGCATTTTGTGACCACTGATATTGACATTTTAGGCAGAAGGATAACATAGGCCTCCCAAAGTGCCATAAAGGTCTTTTTGATGCTTTGCTGATTATATTCCCAGAGGGAAGTGTTCTGGCAGTTGGGCTAATCCTGAAACATGAGCACTTGCTTCATAGTCATCAGAGAACACTGTTGTGAAATCTCCATTGGATTGCTTGGGCCAGTCCCCATTGTGAACATCCAACGTTCAATCTCTGATGAGTTTGCAGGGGGGATTTCATGTCATTTGACTCTAGTAGTAGGCAGATCACAGTAAAATGTCCATTGTCTGTTCTCTTGGCTGTGTAGTGTGGATGGTACCTCCTAGGATTTTTAAAGATTCTTTGTTGCCAGCTTCATTTCCCCTAACATGTACCAAGAGGTTTGAAATAATGTGAATGCCTTTCTGCTTTAAATCTTGGGAAACAGGAGTCTAAAGAAAGATTATAGACAACTGTATTTATGACTTTAACTCCTCAGAGGAAATATGACCATGCACTTTATATCCTTTTTATGTAATTGCTGAGAGTCATTCAGAATTCATGGAGTTGACTGAAGTGAAAGTACAAAGAAAAGATTCAAGTGCAAAATGCTGTCACTTTGGCTCTTAAATTATGCATTTTACATGTAAATATTGCAAATTGTAAGATGTTTTAAATTTTTTTTTTTTTTTTTGAGATGAAATCTCACTTTGTCGCCCAGGTTGGATTGCAGTAGTGCAATCTTGGCTCACTGCAACTTCTACCTCCCAGGTTAAAGCGACTCTCCTGCCTCAGCCTCCCAAGTAGCTGGGACTACAGGCACCTGCCACCACGCCTGGCTAATTTTTGTATTTTTGGTAGAGATGGAGTTTCACCATGTTGGCCAGGCTGGTCTCGAACTCCCGACCTCAAGTGATCTGCCTGCCTCAGCCTCCCAAAGTGCTGGGATTACAAGTGTGAGCCACTGCACCCAGCCTAAGTGGATTTTTAACCTAATATTTAGCATTCAAGTTTAAATTCTTGCCTAGAATTTCAAACATGGAAATATCCTTTAAGAGGAAATAGAGTTTTTGGTTTTTTTAATAGGATAGAAAAAATTTTAGCATCAAAAATGCAAAAAAACACCCATTTCCCTCCTTCTTACTCTAAGAAACTTTTTATTACTCTAAGAAACTTTTTATTACACATAGTTCTATCAATATACTAAAGAGGAACCATGAGACACATTCACAGAGTAACTTAATTTCGTCTTCTGCATACCTTTAAATTCATTCATGAGTCAGTTCTTTCCCTAGATGAGAACTAAAGCAGGTTATACAACTTTTCTGATCACTTTGAATTTAAAAAATGAAACAGAATAAGAAAATCTTAATTTATATACAGAATTATAAGTATGACTCCCTGATGGCCAGTGAGATACCCTCTAGGAGTCTAGATATCCGGCTTCAACTTTCCTCTACTGAGGTCCCATCAGCGAGCCCTCTTGTTAGGCCTAAGAAGACCCTGCACCAGCTTTCATGTGTGTTCACCTCCAAGGTGGGAATAGAGCGAGTGAGTCTTTTAGTGTACCGCAGCCCTAATTTAAAAGTTCTCTCCACAAAGCCTCTTTACAGACTTTCACCCCTGACTCATTTATTCCCTTTGTGTAGTCCTCAAAGTTATATAACCAATTTTCAGCCATCTTCCTTGTGCAAATTCTTCAGGGCAGTTTGTCTTAAAAGTCTCTTTTGGCATCTGATATATATATGTACACACACACATATACATACGTATATGTATATACGTATGTATATGTGTGTGTGTATGTGTGTGTGTGTGTGTGTGTATATATCTCAGGGTGTATATACATGTATATATATATATATCTCAGGGTGTATATACATATATATATATATATATGTATATACACCCTGATATTTCCTCAGGGTGTGTGTATATATTTATATATATATACATATATATATGTATATACACCCTGATATTTCATGTGGAAATTGAAGTAATTGGATTAGATCAATTTAGCAACATGTATGTATTGAGTTCCCATGGTGTGCTTTCTTAGACCATACAGTATACTAATGAGGATTTGTTATATAATCGCAAGGTATGATTAAAAGCTTGGTGGTGTTCTGACACTACTTTGTGAGACTCTGACCTAGACTGAGAGGTCAGGGCTTTTCTTGTGAGAAGGTATCACTTGAGCTATTGTAAATGATGAGTAGGTTACTAAGTAAAGAAGCTGGGGTTTATGAGTAGGTTACTAAGTAAAGAAGTTGAGGTTTGGAACAAAGCAAACCAGACAGAGGAAAGACAGAAAACAGAGCAAAGACTCAGATTCCAGGAGTCAAGAGAAATTTAGTTGGTAAAATGTGCCAGATTTGATCATGGATTGGGTTTGGGAGATGATGACAGAGTTGACTTGAAGGTCTCTAAATGTCTGGCTTGCCCAGCTTGGCCCTGTTCGAGCCATTCACAACCATAGGGAACATCAGGAAGGAGCCAGAGTATATTTGGGAGGTGGGCATGCAAAGGAATAGTTTGATCTTGGACAAGCACACTTTTGAGGTGCCTTTGAGGTAGCCACATGGTGAAGTCTAGGAGGCAATTGGATATAAGAGGAGAGGTTTTGAGTAGAGATATAAATTTGAAAGCCATTAGCATTTATATGAGAATTGAATTCATGATGGTAAGTGAAATTCTGTAGGGAGATAGTTTAGAATAAGGCATCAAGGCAGTACTTTCAGAAATACCAACATTCAGTATCCATGTGGAAAAGGGTAAAACAGCAAGAGGAAGTGAGAAGTGTCCAGAGAGTTGGGAGGAAAACCAGAAGTGAATTATATTAACATCACTGAAGCTAAGGGAAAGGTGTGTTTTAAGGAAGAGGGAAGGGTCATCTCTGTCAGATGTTTACCAGAGTCCAAGAATGATTACAAGTGTCATACAGCCACAAGGAGGTATCTGGGAAGCCTAGGGAAAATTGTTTTTAAGAAATGATTGGGGCAGAAGTAGATTGAAGACTATGGAGCAGGAATAGATTCTGTGGAGAGACTATAGAGAGTGCTTTCAAAAAGATTAACGTGAAGTATCAGAGAGCTAGGGCCTCCCTGGTGAGGACTGTGGGGTGTAGGGAAGTAGGAATTTTGTTTTCAGTTTAAATACTTGAGGATGTTTAAATGCTATCAGGAAGTCTCCAGTGCAGAGAAAGGGGTTGAAGTTATGGGAGGGGGAAGTCTATGATAAGGTCACTAAGGGGGCCAAGCAGATGGTATTTGAAGCTCACGTACAGGGTTGGTCCTAGATAAACTCCTCTAAACTGACAGGAGAGAGGGAGATGAGGGTGAGGCGGACTGAAACTGATTCGCAGATTGAGAAGCAGGAAGTAGAAGGAGTTTCTAACTCCTTTACGTAAAAGTCCATTCTAGTTTTAAAGTTTGTCATCATATAATATTGTAGTGATAATAATAACAGCAAACACATATGGAATGATTTCTGTGTGTTGAGTTATGTGTAGTAGTAAGTGTGTGTTCCTTATAGACTAACCGCCTGGGTTTGAAGCCAGACCTTACCACTTCCTAGCTTTGCGACTGTGCGACCTTGAGCTGTATTTTTAATTCTCTGTTTTTCTATTCTTCTGTAAAATGAAAATAATGTCAGTAAGTACCTTATAGGATTAAATGAGTTTGTGTATACATATGTGTGTGTGTGTGTATATATATATATATATATAAAAAATACATGTTATATGTAGAGAGAGCTTAATGTGGACTTGGTGTAGTCAGTGTGACCTAAATATTAGCTAGCAATAGTAGTGGTGGTGGTAGTCATCCTCAGCGTCTGGTACTGCCCTCATCATACCCCTTGTATGATGTGATGATAATATTTAGCTCTGTTTTACAGATGAAGCAACAGACTCAGAGATTAAGTTACTTGTTTGGGGACATGCAGCTAAATAGATGAAAGTACCACATTTTAAACCCGATTTGTACAGTTTCAAACCTACACCTTTGCAAGTTCTGAAAGCAGCTCATCTAGAATATTTCTTCTTCAGATATTTCAGAATGTGAGATTTTAGGATTGACCTTATGTAAAAACATGAAGTAAGTGAAGTTGGCCTTTCACAACTTCTGCTGCCCCAGAGGCTTGCTCTGTGCCAACCGTCCTGTTGCCTTCCTGGCTTCCAGCCCTGTCCCACACAGCTCCTTGTCCTCTGCTCACCCTGTTGCGGTTGCTTTCTCTTTCTCTTTCATTCTTAGTTCATATTGGTCATTTTAAAAAATTTGTATCAAAGATTGTTTGAGTTAAGCTTGAAATTAGTGAATTGCTGGTGGAGGGTACTTACAATCCCGTGTAGTTTAAGTTGGCATTATATTTCCTTTACCTCTTCCTTGAAGTATTGTCTCAAGAAGGCAGTGATGGAGGTTCGGCACCAGTTTGGCTTCCACACTTATTCTTAAAAACATCTCTATCAGCATTTATTTTAAATTTATCATATCACTATAACAAATACATTCTCTAACCCATTTCTACCTTATGAGGTAGCTCATTCTGTTCATTGCCTGCTCCATGATCAAGTAACCTTCCCTTTCTGTCACTAATTGTTGAGGTTCTTTCAACTTCTTTTTTAAAATTTAGAGACTTCCCCTAATGTTATTTATCTTAGAAACTTTTCCTGATGTCATCAAATGCTTTATGTTCTATCACAGACAGTTTATGAAACATTTTATTCTGCAAATTTAACTCCTGAGAACATCATCAGACTATACGTGAAGAACATGACGTTCTGTACAGGGAAGGTGTTATGCATGTTTATTTTTTAAACTAATTGTAATCATAACAGTATGTTATTCTGTTACTTTTTTGAGAGAATTGAGATACTATCACTTCAAAGTAAAACAGTTTGAGATACTGTCATAGACTGAATGTATTTTTCATGATCTAAAATAACTTCTTTGTAGGGTCTCCATGGCCTATTTTGATCTACTGTTATTTCCATACTGTTTCATCATCCCAGGGAGGAGCCTTTGCAGAAGAGAAAACAGTTATTTTGACTTCCCATGAGTTGGCTCTGGTGAATCAGTTTTCTTTTTTAGAATTTTAAGTGTTGTTGACATATAATTTATATTCCATAAAATTACTCCTTTGAAGTATAAAATTCAGTGACTTTTGGCCAGGTGCGGTGGCTCACGCCTGTAATCCCACCACTTTGGGAGGCCAAGGTGGCCAGATCACGAGGTCAGGAGATCGAGATCACCCTGGCTAACACGGTGAAACCCCGTCTCTACTAAAAATACAAAAAAATTAGCTGGGCATGGTGGCGGGCGCCTGTAGTCCCATCTACTTGGGAGGCTGAGGCAGGAGAATGGCATGAACCTGGGAGGCAGAGCTTGCAGTGAGCCAAGATTGTGCCACTGCACTCCAGCCTGGCAACAGAGCGAGACTGTCTCAAAAAAAAAAAAAAAATCAGTGACTTTTAAGCTTGCAGAGTTGTACAACCATCACAGGAACCTAGTTTTCCATCACTAAAAAGTCCCAGTAAGTCTATTTACAAGTCCCTATGCCTGTGTATCCCCGGGTGGTACTAATCTATTTTCTGTCTCTATAGATTTGCCTTTTCTAGACATTTTATATGTGTGGAATGCAGTGTTTTGCATCTGGCTTCTTTGAGAAATATGTTTTGGGAGGCTCGTGCATGTTGTAAGATGTATCAGTACTTTGATGGTTTTTGTTTCTGAACAGTATTCTGTTGTATGGATAGATCACATTTTGTTTGTCCATTCACCAGTTGATGGATATTTGTATTATTTCCTTTTCAGGACATGATATAAATAATGCTGTTATGAACATTCATGGACAAGTCGTTGTGTGGACATACATTTTCATTTTACTTGAGTAGATTCCTAGTAAACGAAATTGCTGACTACTTGTATGTTACGATGATTTAGGTTTATGAACATTTTCTGTTGATTTTTATTTAGGTCTGTGATCATTTTCTGTTGATTTTATATTCAGAATATTTAATTTTTGGCATATTACTATCAAATTATCCCAGCACCATTTGTTGAAAAGACTATTTTTGCCCCATGTAGTTGTCTTGTACCTTTATTGAGAAGCATTTGACCATAAATATAAAGATTTATTTCAGTACTCTCAACCCTGTGACATTTATCTATATGTCTATCCTTAAAAAGCTAGTACCATACTGTCCTACTACAGCTATATAGCAAGTTTTAAAATTGGGTAGTGTGAATTCTTCATCTTTGTTCTTATTTTTCAGTATTCTTTTGGCTATTCTAGTTCTTTGTCTTTCTATATTTTTTAGAATTTGTCAACATTTGCAAAAAGACTACTGGGATTTTGACTGGGCTAGCTCTGAATCTATAGATCAATTTAGGGACAATTGGCATCTTAAGATTGACTCTCCCAGTTCATGAACGTTACATATCTCTGCATTTATTTAGTCTTACTGATTTCTTTTATTAGCATTGTATACTCTTCTTGTATGGGTGCTGTACATATTTTGTTAGATTTATGTGATTTGTTAGATTTATATGTAAGCATTTAATTTTGCAGTGTGCTTATGTAACAACACTTTGAAAATTCAGTTTATTTTTAATCTTTCATCAAACCCCATCAGTTGAATTCATCTGTGTCGTATTTGAATCTGGCCACATATCAGATAGCATCTTCCAAAAGATAGTAAAGAGCTTCTAATATTTTTCTATTGTAGTTTTCAGGAGGTAAAGGGATGAACCATTTTTATTATTTTGACTCAGTGACTGGTCAGCAGTTGTTAAGACTATCATGTCAGTCTGTTCACATAATCAATAATAATGTGATAACATAAAACACGCAAACCTTCCTGAAGGAGTTTGGACTGTTGGGAAAGGGCGAGCATATAACCTCCCTGTTCCTTCTTCTGTAGGTGTTGCAGCATCCCTGGAAGTGTCAGAGAGCCCTGGGAGTATCCAGGTGGCCCGGGGTCAGCCAGCAGTCCTGCCCTGCACTTTCACTACCAGCGCTGCCCTCATTAACCTCAATGTCATTTGGATGGTCACTCCTCTCTCCAATGCCAACCAACCTGAACAGGTATTTCTGTTGCATCCTGTGCTACCTCTAAAAGGTTAATCTTTTCAGAGGAGGTTGGTAGGGAAGCATCATGAGTACATCTTTGGTTTCGAGAATAAGGTGGCATTGTCAATGTGCGTGTACTCTTTTAAGGCCTACTCCTCTGCCCTATCAGTCACTTATCAGAAGAGGCTATCCTCTTTTTAAAAAGGTAACAGATGTTAAGAATATCCTTCTGAGAGGTTTATGTAGGAACCTGTAATTTTATCAACAACATTGCTAATAGGCAATTTTGACCAGAAGGGACTGGCACCATCACAGATTGTTGAGAGCATACTTTTAAAAGATAGTGATAATAGTAAGGAAGTAACATTAGGTTGTAGTACTTGATTTTTTTTAAGTTAATTTCACTAGTATTTTAAAGTAAAACATGACTAGCCATGTTAGTGAGCTCAAAGAGTCTCATATAAATTATTAATAGAATGTGTACGTGAAAGAATGTACATGAAAATGGAAGCTACTCCCCAGTAAGCTGTATCAATTACAGGAAAAAGACACATAATTTGTAGAACTCACTGCAGAAAATAATGCTCAGGAAGTTAATGAATTGTGATAATGATTACACCTTTATTTACAATGTTAATGGAGCTTTTCTCCTTCAGTAAGATTATTATTACCTCAAAATATTTGATAAGCTAAATTTTCTGATATGAAATTAAATAGAAGCTTCTTTTGTTTCTTCATAGAATTTTTGTAGTTAGACTCCGCCTTCAAGATCATTTTGTTCAACCTTATTATTTTAGGAATCAAGGATGGAGTTTAAGTAAAGAGCTTGAGTAGAGTTACTAAACACATTTACAGGTAGAGCTTGAATAGAACTGAGTCCCTCACTCGCAGCCCAAAGGGCTTTTTGTTATGTCATTCTAAGTCTTCCATGAAGACTTAACTTTGATAGTAGAGGCTGACATAAGAACAGTAATCATGGACTTGTAACTCTACTTCCCTTCTGTGACATTTATTTACATTCAGTCTGTACCTATGATCTATCATTGTGTGACCTAATAAGCATGAGAATGGCAGTGCTAATATTTTTTAATTTTTGTTTTGGAATCAGTTTTTTGAACTGGTAAGAATATTTATGAACTGATAGTAGGGTGGGCAGCAGCAAAGACTTTTTTTATGTTCTGATGTGTTAGGTAAGGAAAAAATATTATTCTAATTTGTTATGTGAGAATTTAAAACCCCAAGATACCTATGAACAAATACTGTAAAAAAAAAGTTGATGATAATTATCATATTAGAAATAAAATTTTCCAATGTTTGGTGCAGCATTTGGTACTGTCTACCAAATAGTTATTGTTTTGTGTCTAGGAGAGGATAGAGTGGCCAGTTTATTTATTTTGCTTTCTTTTCCAGGTCATCCTGTATCAGGGTGGACAGATGTTTGATGGTGCCCCCCGGTTCCACGGTAGGGTAGGATTTACAGGCACCATGCCAGCTACCAATGTCTCTATCTTCATTAATAACACTCAGTTATCAGACACTGGCACCTACCAGTGCCTGGTCAACAACCTTCCAGACATAGGGGGCAGGAACATTGGGGTCACCGGTCTCACAGTGTTAGGTGAGTGACACAAGAGTCCTTGGCTGTTCGGGCTTTACTCACGAAGCTACTCTCAAGCATACTTGCTTCTGCCCTTGTTTCTACACCTTCAGTCTGCTTATGTTCTTTTTCTGTCTTCTCTCAGTTCCATCTCTTCTCTCCTTCTCCATGCTTCTTACAGATAGTCTCCCCCTCCTTTCTTCATTTCCGGCGGTCTCTAAAACTTACTTATTTAATGACTTTCTTCTGAAGGTGAAGAAAGATGGTATCAAATACCATCAGAAGTGGTCTCTCACTTTTCTTAAGCTTCTACAGTACAGAACTTATTGTTGAGAGCAAATTAAATCAAGAATGACTTATTTTAGTACAGAGCAGAAGTTTTAGCATGTGTGAGAATAATACTATTACTTCATATCTGTGTAACACCGAGTAGGATCACCACAGTTCTTGGCTTGCACGTGTTGTCCTGGCATAATTGTAATAATACCTCCTTTTACTCCCCCAAGTATCCTTGTTTGAAGAATAAATCATATTATCACCTTAATACTGAGACCAAATAGATTTAGGTTTTTTTTCCCCAGATTGCATAGAAAATAAACAACAACGTTTAGATTAAAATTTAGATCTCCTTACTCAAACCAGCACTCTTTCCATTACACCATGTTGTTAGACTGTCTCACACTAATATCCATTATAAGCATGTTTTATTTTTCAATTCTTCTGTCTCTAATATAAAATACTGCTTTCTAAATGAATACTTGTGGTAGAGGTGGCTAAACTCAGTTCATCTGGGGAGATGGAAGACGTTTTGAGAAGGTTGATGTTCTTGATTCTCCTCCATCCTACTCAAGTCTCAGAATCTACTCCCGCAGTCCTTGTCAAACTCCACCCCCGCTTTCTTTTTCCTTCGTTGTTGTTGAGTCACTTAAGAATACAGGTGTTGGGAATTCTTGTCATTTTCCCTCGGCCTTTGGTGCCTTTTTCTCCCAGCCTTCAAACAGAATAAAAAAACTGATGACCAAGTCGGGGATTTCTATTCTCAAAACCATATTCATTGTATTATATTAAAAATTGTATAGATTATAAAATACTCTGAGTACCGAGTATAGTGTACTAATGGAATTAAATATTCTGATACTTAGACCTGTAAGTTAGGTGACTGGCTTCCCATATTATCCAACCTTATTTCTTTTTTGTTTGTCCAGACTTAACTTCTCAGCATCATTTTTAAAAAGAAGATAAAAAGCCCTTAATTTATTTTATAATTAATGCTACCTCCAAAGAATTATTTTGGGTTTCTCTTCCTGGCATCACAGTGGCAATGACAAAGGCAAACAAAGATTAGTTTGCCCCACCGCAGTAGTTAGGATTCTCTAAGATTTTTACTCTTCCTACCTATATCCTTTTATTGTTCTCTCTTCCCCTACCCACTTTTTTTTTTCCTGATTCCTGTGTATACTCTGCATTCATTTTTTCATTCATTCATTTATTCATTTTGGAAAGGGTGAACATATTTACTGAAAAGTCATTAGCATTACAAATAAATCATAAATTAGACTTAAACTCTACCATCTGTATTCCCCAGCATGAAACTTCAAGCCATGGGCTTAGTTTATGGTTTTGTTTTGTTTTTTTCCTTGTTACTATATATCACCACCTTCTTCCTTTAGTGTTCTTTTTGGTAATTTTTGTTCCATGTTTTTTGTGTCCTGCCTTAATGATTGTGAAATGTTCACTACATTATTATCCACTCTGCTTTTACCTGAACCTTAGTTTAACTTTCTCCACCATAAAGCAGAATTTGGTATAAAGTGGGTCTGCCCAGTTTTTGTTTGTAAAGTAACAAAGGGCCTTGTTAAAGTGGTTTTCGCCAGGGCAGGATAATGGTTGTTTTTCCCTGAAATCTTGAAAAGTGGCCTCTTTCAGCAATGTTTTTAAAAGCAACATGTTGATACAATGGATCTTAAGAATTCTTCTTTAGAGGAAGCAGAGTGAAAGGAAGATCTTAAGATACCTTGGAACTATAATCAAAGAGTGAAGCCCCTTTGTACATATTTGCCCCCTGCTTACCAAAGCTGCAGGCCTGCTCCTGTGCCTAAGCCTCGTGAATTGGTACATGCCTCCCCTGGGTTCAGGCGGTGAGTCTGTCTCCTGGTATATGTTCCCAAAACAGTGTAATCTAAGGGTCCAATGTACTGAATGTTGATGTCTCCTCCATCATCACATGGCTCACAGTAAAATGTGTACTTTATTGCTTATTCTTCCTGTTATAGTTCCCCCTTCTGCCCCACACTGCCAAATCCAAGGATCCCAGGATATTGGCAGCGATGTCATCCTGCTCTGTAGCTCAGAGGAAGGCATTCCTCGACCAACTTACCTTTGGGAGAAGTTAGACAATACCCTCAAACTACCTCCAACAGCTACTCAGGGTATGTACAGTGCTGCTTTACCCATTTTATTAGTTATCATGGACAATTCTAATATTCAAAAAGTAATTAACTTTAATAGGTTTTGAAAAATAACACCCTATAACTGCTGAAAAAGCTTTCTGGATCATTTTGTGTTTTCAAATTTAAAGTGAATAAAAGATTTTCTCTCTCTTCTCTATATTGCCTTTATGAAATGTATTTCATCCAGTGGTAACTATATATGGAAACTGTTCCCATTCACGTGAAGATTTAAAGCACCTAAATGATAGCTTCTTTGTGTTAACTGTAAGATAATCCTTGAAATTTATATCTGAGAATACACTTCCTGCTTGAGGTAGAGCTGCCTATTTTACTAGGAGAAACGTGAGCATAGTGTCAGGAGGGTTGATCCTCCTGCTTTCAGCCTCAAATCTGGTTAGAGGAGGAAGATAAGAAAGAGTAAAGGAAAAGGCCTCAGGTCACAGGAGATCCAGGAATTGGTCACACCAAACAGGTAATAATGGAGGAAGACTGAGGGTCATGGATGATTTCTACGTGTAAACCCAGCTGCTTAAATTTAGTTTTAAATAGGACATCCTTAAAAAATTGAAGAGATTTTGTCAAATAAAATGAGGGGAAGATATAGAATTTTATTATAAAATACTCTAGGTCAAGAAAATGAAATTTAGCAGCTTCGAATATTACGTCATCTCTAATACAGAAAATGTTTCTTGTAGTATTCTCAGGGTAGATTTACAAATCTGAAAGTTAACCATAAAGTGTTGGCAGTTAATGGAGAGGCCACAAACAACCTTAATTATGCCTTGTAAGTCTGAATCATGTTGATAGTCCACACCTGTCATGGAAAAGGAAAGTCCTAAGTTGTAGTAAAATTATTCACATTAAAGAGCCAGCGCCACAAGCCTCTTAAGAGCCTATAAATTTCCGCTAGTAATCCCAGCAAATGTTGATGGACCTTACAATAGTCTTTTAATTAACCTAGCCTCAAATTCATCATTTAAAAAAAACTTCTTTTCAACATAATAACTTTTATTACTTTAAGAGTGATTCCTGCAATACTGTTGTTCATTGCTAAATGTTTCAGCCACATTGTTGGCTAAATAGCTGCTTTTGTGGAATGATTTGTCAATCTCACCATTGTAAGTGACATGATTAAAATAGCCCTTGTCTTGACATACTGAAAACTATATTCAAATTTTAGATTTTCCACTGTTTCTGTAACAGTTCACTTCTCTGGGCCCTTGTTGCTTTTTTTTAAACAAAAATAAAGGGGTATCATCCTCAAGGTCCTCTGTGGCAGTATTTTCTTTTTTTATTTATAATATCTCTGTGAAATATTGGTTGGAGTTTGGAATTTTAAGTGAACAATTGACAGTGGTTATTTGTATGTAAGTTGAGAAATAGCTGTAGAAAGAGCCTTCCATAACCTCTTTATTTCTGGATGAGTGTATATCAGTCAGATTTCTTGATATCATATCCTTTTTTCAACTTGAATACTCTTTGCAACTTTAGGTATAAAAGTGAACTTGAATGAGACGGATGAAAACTTTGTCTTCTATAAAATCTGGATTGATTATCAAAGTTACTTTGGATAACCATATCTATTAATCATGTACATTAAATGGTAATATTTTTAATCTAAATTTATCTCTTGATACCCATATTAATAAAGTTGATCTCAAAATAGAATATTGCTCCAAAATAATTTAGATTTTTTTCAGAAGATTTACTTTACTAATTATGTTTAAAATTATTAATATAAACTCATGATGCATTTTCTGAAAAAAGAATATTTGACACCAGGAAAGTGAATCCCGGAAGTCTGATTGGTGACAGAGGAATAATATTTTGAGATTTGAATTTCTCTTATATGTAGAGACTAGCTTGAGGGAACTCGCTCTGGCCAAATCTAGGACAATTCAAACATTAAATATATAGTCCATAGAATAAAATAAGAATCACCAAATCCCTACTGATAAATAAATGGGGTCAAAGGGCAAGCTGTTTTTTTTCACAGTATGATGCCAACTAATGTGTATACAAGGAATCATGGAGTTAGAAAATCATCATTGAGGTGAAAACAGCAAAAGTTTGATGGGAAGCAGGCTATTTAGTTACAAAGTATGTCCCCACAAATTGCTTATTAATGACAAAAAAGTAACTTCGTAAGGGAGAGACCTGTTGGATACCACTTTAACCAAGTGATCAAAGTAAACTTCACCAATATTGTGACAAACTGCTATCACGTACCTCCTAATATATGTACTGAGAAGGACACATCATTTCTGTGATATTGCTGTCAAAAACACATAACCTAAATCTCATTATGAGGAAACCTCAAACAAACAAACGTGAAGGCAAAACTGTTCAAATTGAAAAAGACTAGGGAGTTAACCCTGAGGTTGCAATTTTTTTATTTTTTGCAATCAGACCTTGGCGATGACCTTGAGCAGTAGGATGTAAATAACTCCCACATGCTTAGCGTTCCAATAATGGAACACTGGGCATAAGTGGGTTAAGATGACTAGATGTAATGAAGAATCTTGGCTTAGAATCTGAACAGGAAAAGAAATAGCTATAAAGGACATGGTTGAGATAATTGATGAAACAATATAAACTATAGATTAGCTAATACTATTAGATCAGAGTTAAATTTCTCGACTTTGATACGTGTACTGTCATTACATAAAATGTGTCTTTGTTCTTAGGAAGTATTCACTAAAGTACTTAGTGGTAAAAAGGCATGATGTCTTCAACCTTATAAAAGAGACTGAGCGCACTAACTAGTTCCTTTCACCAAGTAAGGACTGTGAAGCAAGTTTACTGTGCACTGGTTACTTGCCCGAGTCTGGTGAGACAGAGCATTCATACACAAAACAAGTTTCATGAAGTGGATTTATTATTTAATAGGCAGCAAAGGACAACAGAAGCCTAGCATTCATTGAAAGCCAGTTCCCCAAGGCTCAGAAAAGCTTCCTGGAACAGATAGAGTCTCTTATGCACATGTCCACTTGCACGTCAGCTGAGAGAACCCGGAAAGCAGCTCACTCTGAGTTTTATACCTGAGTATCACTGCATTAAAGTGTTTAAGGACATCCTGTTTCTAGGAGGGTCTGGAACAGAGCCTGAGGTGTTCCAGTCAGTTCCTTCTTAACTCAGGATGTTGCATTCCCAGCATGTTCTATAGTTATTCTTGAGAACAGCAAGCAAGAAAGTGGGAAGAACTGAGTTGGTCCCAGACCACCCAAAGAACTGTCCTGAAAGGGCACAGCAAGAAGACATCATCATCTGGAAACCAGGAAATGGGCTCTTACCAGACACTGAATCTGCTGGGGTCTTAATCTTGGAGCTCCCAGCCTTCCAGAACTATGAGAAATAAATTTCTGTTGCTTATAAAATACCCAGTTGATGGTGTTTTGTTATAGCAGCCTAAACAGATAAGACAATGAGGAGTCTAAAATAGTTGAACTGGTAGAAACAGAGAATAAAATGGTGGTTTCCATGGGCTGGGGAGTGGGGGAAATGGGGAGATGTGGGTTAAAGGGTACAAAGTTGCAGTTATTCAGGATGAATAAATCCTGGAGATCTAATGTACACTATGGTGCCTATATTTAGCATTACTGTATTGTATGCTAGAAATTTGCTGGGAGGAGATCTTAACTGTTCCCAGCCACACACACACACACACACAAAGGTAGTTATGTGATGTGATTGACATGTTAATTAGATTGGTTGTGGTAATCTTTTCACAGTATATATGTATATCAAAATATATACCATAAATATATACAATTTTTGTTAGTCAATTGTGCTTCAATAAAGCTGGGGAAGAAAGAAAAACAATTGCATAATGCACAAGGAAAGCCCTCGCAACAAATAATTATCTGGGACCAAATTTCAATAAATAAGTTACACTTAACGTTTTCTATTGCTAAAACATCCCTGCATTTATGGAATAAAGTCTTTTTGATTGTGATTTTTAAAAATAAATTGTTCCATTGGGTTTGCCAATATTATAATAAAATATTTGCATCAGTGATCACCAGTGAGAATGGCCTATGGGTTTTTTTTTTCTGTCTTCTATTGTCCTGGTTCAATTTTAGTATCATATAATACCAAATAATTTTATGAGTTTGGCAGCTTTTCCTTTTTTCTATTCTTTGAAATAGTATGAATAAGTTGGGCATCATGATGATTCTATAGAATTTGCCTACTAAAATTTGCCTTGCTCTTATGTTTTTTGGTAGATTTTTGACTACTGATTTAATTTCTCTAATGGTACAGATTTTCTCTACCCTATTTTTCTGGAAAATGTGTTTTTTGTCCAAGTTATACATATCACCATCAAGATGTTCATAGAATTCTCTATACAAAAACAGAATAATGTATGTAAGAGTGTAAGTTCTGGAGACAGTGGACATAGTTTTGAACCCTGAATCCAGGAATCACTGGGTATGTGCCCTTGTGTCTTAGTTTTCTTATATGTAAAATGGAGACAATCATCGTGACTAACTTATGGTTGGATGAAGACTGAATGAATAAGCATGTAAGATGTGCAGAACAGCAGCTGGCATGTGTAAGTCCCTACTAAATATTAATATTTAAATTACCATCATTATTCTCTTATGAAGTTTTAAACTCTGTATTTAGTCTCCTTTTCATTCCTAATACTGTTTATATGTGCCTTTCCTCTATTTTTAAAATCTATCTTGCTAAACTCAGATTTTGATTTTATCTAACCTTTTGTAACTTGCATAAATTTCCTTCCTCCCTCCCGCCAATGTTTGTTAAGCACCTATCAGGTGCCAGAAACTGTTCTAGGTGCTGAAGATACATTGCTGAACAGGATAGATATTCTTCCCTTTGTAGAGCTTACATTCTAATGGTTGGAGATGGAATATAATCAGCAAATTGCAGAATTTGTTACAAGGTGAAAAGTTCTGTGGGGAAAAATTAGATCAGGGTAAGACAGATTAGTTAGGGGATGAGGAGCAGCAATTTTGAGTAAGGTGCTTAGGGTAAGCCTCATTATATTCTAACAAATATTTAAAGATAATGAAGGAATGAGCCATGTGAATATGGGGACTGGAGAGCATTCCAGGTAGAGGGAATGGACATATGAAGGCTTTGAGGCAGGCGTGTGCCCATGTACTTGATGAATATCAAAGAGGCCAGTGTGTTTGGAGTGCAGCCAGCAAGGTGGAGAATTTAAGAGCCATTATATTGCAGGTGTTAGGGTATTTGTACATGCATTGCATAGGAAGCATTATAATTGTATTATTCAATATGCTATATCTTTAGCAATATTTTACATGCTTCAGCTATGTTATTATGAGAAATATGTGTTTAAAAATCACACTGTAAGACTGTGGATTTGTCAATTTGTTCTTATAATTATGCCAATTTTCTTTACCCATTTTGAGTGTGTGTCATTAGATGCTTACAAGCTTGTTATATTTCGTTTTTCTCTGTGTTTAATAAGCTTTTTGTGTTATTTTTAATTATTAAAATTAAAAGATGCAGTGGCTTTCTTTGGTCAATTCTTGTTGGTACGTTACTATTGTATGGTTCATTGGCATTCAGTTCTCCATGCTTTATGTTTTAGGTGTATTGCTTATAAACAACATATATCTGGATTTAGATGGGTTTTCAATCTGTCATCTGAGAGCTTCTGTCCTCTGAAATCATTGATTATGGGTATGGTTCAATGTCTAATATTTTATTGGAGGTTTTCTATTTATTTATTTATTTATTTATTTAATTTATTTATTTTTTGATATTTAAAGAGGTCTTTTATTTAAATCATCTTGTATCATGTCTGACACATTATTGTTTTTTTTTTTATACTTTAAGTTTTAGGGTACATGTGCACATTGTGCAGGTTAGTTACATATGTATACATGTGCCATGCTGGTGCTCTGCACCCACTAACTCGTCATCTAGCCTTAGGTATATCTCCCAATGCTATCCCTCCCCCCTCCCCCCACCCCACCACAGTCCCCAGAGTGTGGTATTCCCCTTCATGTGTCCAGGTGATCTCATTGTTCAATTCCCACCTATGAGTGAGAATATACGGTGTTTGGTTTTTTGTTCTTGCGATAGTTTACTGAGAATGATGATTTCCAATTTCATCCATGTCCCTACAAAGGATATGAACTCATCATTTTTTATGGCTGCATAGTATTCCATGGTGTATATGTGCCACATTTTCTTAATCCAGTCTATCATTGTTGGACATTTGGGTTGGTTCCAAGTCTTTGCTATTGTGAATAATGCCGCAATAAACATACGTGTGCATGTGTCTTTATAGCAGCATGATTTATAGTCCTTTGGGTATATACCAAGTAATGGGATGGCTGGGTCAAATGGTATTTCTAGTTCTAGATCCCTGAGGAATCGCCACACTGACTTCCACAATGGTTGAACTAGTTTACAGTCCCACCAACAGTGTAAAAGTGTTCCTATTTCTCCACATCCTCTCCAGCACCTGTTGTTTCCTGACTTTTTAATGATTGCCATTCTAACTGGTGTGAGATGATATCTCATAGTGGTTTTGATTTGCATTTCTCTGATGGCCAGTGATGATGAGCATTTTTTCATGTGTCTTTTGGCTGCATAAATGTCTTCTTTTGAGAAGTGTCTGTTCATGTCCTTCGCCCACTTTTTGATGGGGTTGTTTGTTTTTTTCTTGTAAATTTGTTTGAGTTCATTGTAGATTCTGGATATTAGCCCTTTGTCAGATGAGTAGGTTGTGAAAATTTTCTCCCATGTTGTAGGTTGCCTGTTCACTCTGATGGTAGTTTCTTTTGCTGTGCAGAAACTCTTTAGTTTAATTAGATCCCATTTGTCAATTTTGGCTTTTGTTGCCATTGCTTTTGGTGTTTTGGACATGAAGTCCTTGCCCACGCCTATGTCCTGAATGGTAATGCCTAGGTTTTCTTCTAGGGTTTTTATGGTTTTAGGTCTAACATTTAAATCTTTAATCCATCTTGAATTGATTTTTCTATAAGGTGTAAGGAAGGGATCCAGTTTCAGCTTTCTACATATGGCTAGCCAGTTTTCCCAGCCCCATTTATTAAATAGGGAATCCTTTCCCCATTGCTTGTTTTTCTCAGGTTTGTCAAAGATCAGATAGTTGTAGGTATGCGGCGTTATTTCTGAGGGCTCTGTTCTGTTCCATTGATCTATATCTCTGTTTTGGTACCAGTACCATGCTGTTTTGGTTACTGTAGCCTTGTAGTATAGTTTGAAGTCAGGTAGTGTGATGCCTCCAGCTTTGTTCTTTTGGCTTAGGATTGACTTGGCGATGCGGGCTCTTTTTTTGTTCCATATGAACTTTAAAGTAGTTTTTTCCAATTCTGTGAAGAAAGTCATTGGTAGCTTGATGGGGATGGCATTGAATCTGTAAATTACCTTGGGCAGTATGGCCATTTTCACGATATTGATTCTTCCTACCCATGAGCATGGAATGTTCTTCCATTTGTTTGTATCCTCTTTTATTTCATTGAGCAGTGGTTTGTAGTTCTCCTCGAAGAGGTCCTTCACATCCCTTGTAAGTTGGATTCCTAGGTATTTTATTCTCTTTGAAGCAATTGTGAATGGGAGTTCACTCATGATTTGGCTCTCTGTTTGTCTGTTGTTGGTGTATAAGAATGCTTGTGATTTTTGTACATTGATTTTGTATCCTGAGACTTTGCTGAAGTTGCTTATCAGCTTAAGGAGATTTTGGGCTGAGACGATGGGGTTTTCTAGATAAACAATCATGTCGTCTGCAAACAGGGACAATTTGACTTCCTCTTTTCCTAATTGAATACCTTTTATTTCCTTCTCCTGCCTGATTGCCCTGGCCAGAACTCCCAACACTATGTTGAATAGGAGCGGTGAGAGAGGGCATCCCTGTCTTGTGCCAGTTTTCAAAGGGAATGCTTCCAGTTTTTGCCCATTCAGTATGATATTGGCTGTGGGTTTGTCATAGATAGCTCTTATTATTTTGAAATACGTCCCATCAATACCTAATTTATTGAGAGTTTTTAGCATGAAGGGTTGTTGAATTTTGTCAAAGGCTTTTTCTGCATCTATTGGGATAATCATGTGGTTTTTGTCTTTGGCTCTGTTTATATGCTGGATTACATTTATTGATTTGCGTATATTGAACCAGCCTTGCATCCCAGGGATGAAGCCCACTTGATCATGGTGGATAAGCTTTTTGATGTGCTGCTGGATTCGGTTTGCCAGTATTTTATTGAGGATTTTTGCATCAATGTTCATCAAGGATATTGGCCTAAAATTCTCTTTTTTGGTTGTGTCTCTGCCCGGCTTTGGTATCAGAATGATGTTGGCCTCATAAAATGAGTTAGGGAGGATTCCCTCTTTTTCTATTGATTGGAATAGTTTCAGAAGGAATGGTACCAGTTCCTCCTTGTACCTCTGGTAGAATTCGGCTGTGAATCCATCTGGTCCTGGACTCTTTTTGGTTGGTAAACTATTGATTATTGCCACAATTTCAGCTCCTGTTATTGGTCTATTCAGAGATTCAACTTCTTCCTGGTTTAGTCTTGGGAGAGTGTATGTGTCGAGGAATGTATCCATTTCTTCTAGATTTTCTAGTTTATTTGTGTAGAGGTGTTTGTAGTATTCTCTGATGGTAGTTTGTATTTCTGTGGGATCGGTGGTGATACCCCTTTATCATTTTTTATTGTGTCTGTTTGATTCTTCTCTCTTTTTTTCTTTATTAGTCTTGCTAGTGGTCTATCAATTTTGTTGATCCTTTCAGAAAACCAGCTCCTGGATTCATTGATTTTTTGAAGGGTTTTTTGTGTCTCTATTTCCTTCAGTTCTGCTCTGATTTTAGTTATTTCTTGCCTTCTGCTAGCTTTTGAATGTGTTTGCTCTTGCTTTTCTAGTTCTTTTAATTGTGATGTTAGGGTGTCAATTTTGGATCTTTCCTGCTTTCTCTTGTGGGCATTTAGTGCTATAAATTTCCCTCTACACACTGCTTTGAATGCGTCCCAGAGATTCTGCTATGTTGTGTCTTTGTTCTCATTGGTTTCAAAGAACATCTTTATTTCTGCCTTCATTTCCTTATGTACCCAGTAGTCATCCAGGAGCAGGTTGTTCAGTTTCCATGTAGCTGAGCAGTTTTGAGTGAGATTCTTAATCCTGAGTTCTAGTTTGATTGCACTGTGGTCTGAGAGACAGTTTGTTATAATTTCTGTTCTTTCACATTTGCTGAGGAGAGCTTTACTTCCAACTATGTGGTCAATTTTGGAATAGGTGTGGTGTGGTGCTGAAAAAAATGTATATTCTGTTGATTTGGGGTGGAGAGTTCTGTAGATGTCTATTCGGTCCACTTGGTGCAGAGCTGAGTTCAATTCCTGGGTATCCTTGTTGACTTTCTGTCTCGTTGATCTGTCTAATGTTGACAGTGGGGTGTTAAAGTCTCCCATTATTAATGTTTGGGAGTCTAAGTCTCTTTGTAGGTCACTCAGGACTTGCTTTATGAATCAGGGTGCTCCTGTATTGGGTGCATATATATTTAGGATAGTTAGCTCCTCTTGTTGAATTGATCCCTTTACCATTATGTAATGGCCTTCATTGTCTCTTTTGATCTTTGTTGGTTTAAAGTCTGTTTTATCAGAGACTAGGATTGCAACCCCTGCCTTTTTTAGTTTTCCATTTGCTTGGTAGATCTTCCTCCATCCTTTTATTTTGAGCCTATGTGTATCTCTGCACGTGAGATGGGTTTCCTGAATACAGCACACTGATGGGTCTTGACTCTTTATCCAACTCGCCAGTCTGTGTCTTTTAATTGGAGCATTTAGTCCATTTACATTTAAAGTTAATAGTGTTATGTGTGAATTTGATCCTGTCATTATGATGTTAGCTGGTGATTTTGCTCGTTAGTTGATGCAGTTTCTTCCTAGTCTCGATGGTCTTTACATTTTGGCATGATTTTGCAGCGGCTGCTACCGGTTGTTCCTTTCCATGTTTAGCGCTTCCTTCAGGAGCTCTTTTAGGGCAGGCTTGGTGGTGACAAAATCTCTCAGCATTTGCTTGTCTGTAAAGTATTTTATTTCTCCTTCACTTATGAAGCTTAGTTTGGCTGGATATGAAATTCTGGGTTGAAAATTCTTTTCTTTAAGAATGTTGAATATCGGCCCCCACTCTCTTCTGGCTTGTAGGGTTTCTGCCAAGAGATCCGCTGTTAGTCTGATGGGCTTCCCTTTGAGGGTAACCCGACCTTTCTCTCTGGCTGCCCTTAACATTTTTTCCTTCATTTCAACTTTGGTGAATCTGACAATTATGTGTCTTGGAGTTGCTCTTCTCGAGGAGTATCTTTGTGGCGTTCTCTGTATTTCCTGAATCTGAACATTGGCCTGCCTTGCTAGATTGGGGAAGTTCTCCTGGATAATATCCTGCAGAGTGTTTTCCAACTTGGTTCCATTCTCCGCATCACTTTCAGGTACACCAATCAGACGTAGATTTGGTCTTTTCACATAGTCCCATATTTCTTGGAGGCTTTGCTCATTTCTTTTTATTCTTTTTTCTCTAAACTTCCCTTCTCACTTCATTTCATTCATTTCATCTTCCATTGCTGATACCCTTTCTTCCAGTTGATCGCATCGGCTCCTGAGGCTTCTGCATTCTTCACGTAGTTCTCGAGCCTTGGTTTTCAGCTCCATCAGCTCCTTTAAGCACTTCTCTGTATTGGTTATTCTAGTTATACATTCTTCTAAATTTTTTTCAAAGTTTTCAACTTCTTTGCCTTTGGTTTGAATGTCCTCCCGTAGCTCAGAGTAATTTGATCGTCTGAAGCCTTCTTCTCTCAGCTCGTCAAAATCTTTCTCCATCCAGCTTTGTTCCATTGCTGGTGAGGAACTGTGTTCCTTTGGAGGAGGAGAGGCGCTCTGCATTTTAGAGTTTCCAGTTTTTCTGTTCTGTTTTTTCCCCATCTTTGTGGTTTTATCTACTTTTGGTCTTTGATGATGGTGATGTACAGATGGGTTTTCGGTGTGGATGTCCTTTCTGTTTGTTAGTTTTCCTTCTAACAGACAGGACCCTCAGCTGCAGGTCTGTTGGAATACCCTGCAGTGTGAGGTGTCACTGTGCCCCTGCTGGGGGGTGCCTCCCAGTTAGGCTGCTCGGGGGTCAGGGGTCAGGGACCCACTTGAGGAGGCAGTCTGCCCGTTCTCAGATCTCCAGCTGCGTGCTGGGAGAACCACTGCTCTCTTCAAAGCTGTCAGACAGGGACATTTAAGTGTGCAGAGGTTACTGCTGTCTTTTTGTTTGTCTGTGCCCTGCCCCCAGAGGTGGAGCCTACAGAGGCAGGCAGGCCTCCTTGAGCTGTGGTGGGCTCCACCCAGTTGGAGCTTCCCGGCTGCTTTGTTTACCTAAGCAAGCCTGGGCAATGGTGGGCGCCCCTCCCCCAGCCTCGCTGCCGCCTTGCAGTTTGATCTCAGACTGCTGTGCTAGCAATCAGCGAGACTCCGTGGGCGTAGGACCCTCCGAGCCAGGTGTGGGATATAGTCTCGTGGTGCGCCGTTTTTTAAGCCGGTCTGAAAAGCGCCATATTCGGGTGGGAGTGACCCGATTTTCCAGGTGCGTCCGTCACCCCTTTCTTTGACTCGGAAAGAGAACTCCCTGACCCCTTGCGCTTCCCAGGTGAGGCAATGCCTCGCCCTGCTTCGGCTCGCACACGGTGCGCGCACCCACTGGCCTGCGCCCACTGTCTGGCACTCCCTAGTGAGATGAACCCGGTACCTCAGATGGAAATGCAGAAATCACCCGTCTTCTGCGTCGCTCACGCTGGGAGCTGTAGACCGGAGCTGTTCCTATTCGGCCATCTTGGCTCCTCCCCGATTTTCTATTTATTAAGCTTTTTTCTTTATGCCCCCTCTTCCCATATCTTCTACTGATTATTTGAATATTCTTTATAATATTTTTTCTCCTCTACTTTCAGAGTTATAAGTGTATTTCTCTTCGTGCTTATTCTTAAAGTTCTCAAATGCATACTTGATTTAATGTAGTCTAGAAGTAAAAAAAAACTCTACTCTCTATCCAAATAATAGGACCATAGAAAGCTGTCTTTCTTCCATTTTCCCTAATCCTTGTGAATATTTCGTCTCATCAGTTCTTTCTCTTCTCTCCTATTAGCCATTTTTTGGACCTTTTCATTCAGTCCACCATAACTCTCAGCTTCTGTCTGATATGTTTAATTTCTGTGTTTGTATTGTCTGCATTTTAGTTATTTTCTTGGCTTTAGTATATTTGTTCCACCTTATTTTTAACTTTTCTCCTTATTAATCATCCCCATTTTCATCATCGTTTACGTATACATTACGGTTTTATTTAGATTTACCCACAAGTTTGCCATTTTTTTTGCTCCATTGCTTCTTTCATCACAGTCATTTTTTCTGTGTTCCATTTTCTTATAGTAAAGTACACACACCCTTCAGTAGGTATTACATTGATGATCTATGAGTGTTGTTGTTCTCATGTTTGTTTTTCTGAAAATATCTTTTTTCCCTACACTCTTTAATGCAGTTTAGTGAGTATAAATGCTAGGTTATCAGTTATTGTTTCTCAAGAATTTGAAAATGTTTCATTTTCTTCCCACCTTTCTTGTTTCTGTTGAGAAATCTGCTGGTAGTCTGTAGGCATTTGTGTTTTCCTTCCTTTGCTTTTTGCAGTTGTTTTGTACTTGGTGTTCTGTAGATCCTAGAATATATTTTAGGTATGTGTTAATTTTTATTAATCCTGCTATGGGCTTGTGGTGCTTCTTAAATTGAGAGATTGTATTTTTTGTCACTTCTGGAAAAATCTCTGTCCTTATATTTTTGAATATAGCCTTTTCTCTTCTTTCTTTATTGTTTCCTGTTAGCTCTTGGTTTAGTCTTTTAATTCTGTAAACCATGTTTTTTTAATCCTTTGCTTATCCGTAAATGTCTTTACCTTCTTTACCTTTCTGTGTGGCATTCTGGTTTTTTTTTTGTTTTTGTTTTTTATTTTTCCAGATCACCTGTTCTCTCTTCTACTCTGATGGCTGTTCAGCTTATCCATTGAGTTTTGAATTTATTTTCTTCTTTTCTTTCCTTCTTTTAAGAGATGGAGTCTCGTTCTGTCATCCAGGCTGCAGTGCAGTGGCACAATCACTGCTCACTGCAACTTCAAACTCCTGGCCCTTAAGCAATCCTCCTACCTCAGCCTCCCGAGTAGCTGGGATTACAGATGTGAGCCACAGCACCTGGCTATTTCTATGTTGCCTTTGTCTCTTCATGGCATCATCCTCTTTTATTATGGTGACTATTCTGTATATGTTTAATAATTGTAAGCATACTAATTTTATAGTGACCTTCACATAACTTTATGCTCTTTGTATGCTAATCCTCCTGTTTGTTGTGTAGTTAACTTTTCTTCATGGTGATATTCCTTTCCTGTTTCCCTCATGTGAACGCTTCACCTGGATTGTTCTATAGTTTCTCTAAGCTGTAGGTTATGTTTTCTATTTGTTTCTGCCAACAGCTCTAGAGGTTTTGGGAAGATGAAGGGATGAGCAAAACAGGAAAGGGATGATTGTCCATACAGTGAGTGTGGTCGGGCGGCTGGGCCCTGTACTGGTGAGTGAGATGATTGGAGATGTGAGGCAACACGGGATTTGTCCTGCAGCAATTGAAAATCCAGGGCTGGAGCTAGCTCACAGGAGCTGCATATCAAGCCATGGAGTGGAATTCCTTCCTGGAATGACACCCACTCTCCAAGTCCTGCAGCTTCTTGGCAACCAAGGATGGAGATAAGCACAGTTGTTTCTCACAATGGTCAGTAAAACTTGAACTCAGAAAGGAAAGCTGAGGGATAATTAGAAAAAAAACACCTCCCTTCTGACTTAAAGGGGAGAATAACCTTCACACTTTAAAGATGCACAGAGAACTTTAAAATGTGTTTTTAAAAATTATATGCAAATAATGGCAATTCATTTTCTATCCATTCTTTTATCTTGGTAAATATAAAGTATAGTGTATTTATTTTCATTATTAATGGTTAACATTTTCTGAAACTAGATTATACGTTTTTCTTTCATGGTTTGTAAGAAATCCTCTGTTTTCCTCATCCTTTCATAATTTAATACAGTGAAGAGAGATGATTATCTCTCGTGCTTGCCTGTGAACTCTGTGTAGATCTTTAGAGATCATAGCTATAGCAGGAGAGTATCTTAAATATCACCATGGTCCCACTCTCATGTTACAAGGGAGAAGACTGAGGCTCCTAGAAGAGACCAGGTTTGCCCAAAACTGATAGGAAGGACTAAAATTCTTTTGGCGTGGTTGTAACACTCAGGAATCTTGATATTCTCTCTCTCTCTCTTTCTCTCTCTCTCTCTCTGTGTCTCCTCTCCTCTCTCTCACTTTCTATCTCTTCTCTCTCCTCTCTCCTCTTTGTTCTCTCTCTCTCTCTTCTCTCATTTTTTAGAGACAAAGTCTTGCTCTGTTACCCACCCAGGCTGGAGTGCAGTGGCATGATGACAGCTTACTGTAACCTCACACTCCTGGGCTCAAGTTATCTTCCTGCCTTAGTGTCCTGATGGGGCCTTGCTATGTTGACCAAGCTGGTCTCAAATGCGTCGGCCTCCCAAAGTGCTGGGACTATAGGTGTGAGCCACCACACGCAGCCTGATTCTGTTTCTTGAACTGACACTGCTGTTTCCCCTCCCAGTAAGAGTGGTTCCATAATTTTTTTCATGGGGAGCAGAAAATTTTCACCCACTAAAAGTGCTGAATAAACAAGTGCTTATTTCTCCTTCATCAAGATGTTATTCTAACTGAAGTTGAGTTTTTTCTCCCTTTTTTTTTGCCCTCTGACATGAAGCAAACCCCATATAGTGTTCAGTACTTCCTCTTTTTTAAAAGATTAAATGTCAACAGTTATAACTGTATTAATTTGTGTATATATTCATTCATTTTTACATATATGTGTGTGTGTGTGCACACACACATAAACATACACCTTACTCTGCAACTGCTTCAGAGTTGAGTGTTGGGGCAGGTGGAGAAATACAAGGAAACATATCTCCATCCTAGAGCTCACTGCCTAATGGAGGAGACAGATATAAAGAGAAAATCATAGCACTACATGTTAATGCTATGAAAATGTATGCAGTGCTATAAAATTTAAATGATAGAAATATTACTTGTTCCTGAAGAGTCCAGGAAGAACTTTGTAGGGAAAAGGATTCCCAAGCAGGAAAAGGTTCTTAAATGATGGATAGAAGTTTTACTGGTTAAAAGTGGGTATTATAAATACAGGGAACTATGCTTGCAAAATCTTGCAAGTGTAAAAGTTTGACATTTTTAGTGAGAAGATCTGTGAAGCTGACATAAAGGTTCGTGGGGATTTGACCAGAGAGGAGCTGGAAAAGGTGAAGTCCAGATTGTGAAAGGCTTTATATAATATGCAAGGAGTTTGGATGTTATCTTTAACTGTAGAGATGCACTGACATTTATAAACAAGAGATCACCAGATACGCATTTTAGAAACTGTGTCAGTAATCAGGCTGAAAGATTGGCAGCCAGTCATAAATGGAAGGCTTTGTTAATAGCCCCATCAAGAAATGACAAGGACCTGAACTAAGTCCCTAGTGACAGGGGTGGAGAAGGCACAGTGGGGGAGGGTAAGATTCAAGAGAGATTGAGGAAAATATTACAATATATGGGGCTCGATTAGATGTTTAAACTCAGAAGAGTCAGAGTTAACTCAGATTCCTGTTGTGGGGCACTGAATCAACAGTAACCATCTTAACTCAGAAGAGAAATTTGTAGAAGTTTGCTTGAGGAAAGCAGTGAGTTAGTGGTCTCCTGGGACCTCTATATGGGGATTGAAATAATGATAATGGTAACATTTCTTGAACACCATGTGCCATTCTTTGAGAATTAAAGAGCAACAGTCAACATAGAGATATACTGATTCAGAAGAATCTTGATGTCCAGTTAAACCTAAAAGCAGAGTCAACAGAAGTGGGTAGGAGAGAAGCAGTCAAAATCTAATTAGTTGGTCTTGCTTGTAGCTTTTGCCATGTGATAAGTGTGTGGTCATGGCCTTCTTGTATGTTGCTAATGATGAATCATTCTTGCAAAGAAATACTAATGTATTTATACACACTACATTATTCAAATAATGCTGAGTAATGTTCATTGGTATTTTCACAAGTTTGAATATTTGCTATAAGCTTCAGCTCCTTGTGAATACTTGAATGGCAGAAACACAAATAGAAGAGGGTGAGAATGTTGCTCTGCAGTATACTAACATGACATCAGAAATGAATCTAAAATCTGATTTGGCAAAAGCAATATCTGTTTCAATGCCAAACCAAAATCAGGGCAAACAGACAAAATATTTTTATCATTGTCTAAAGGCACTGAGCTGCTGTGAAGCAGGATGTATCCTAACATCCATCTGGACGGTGCCCTTGGAAATTCTATTAATGGGAACAGGTTCTTTCCCTGTCCCTTCTCCATCTATGCCTTAATTCAGCCAGCATCAACACAAAATGAAATAAAATTTTCTGTGTCCAATGTTATATTTTAAATTTATCTTTAATAGAGTTTGATATTAAGTATTTGTGATGTCATCTTTAAGTTTTTCCACAGATTTTTGACATTTATTTTGTATTTCCCTTTATTTACAATTTTTAAAAAATTAAATATCTTTTTCAGGTTAGGATCATTTTTACATATTATTGAAATATATAATTTTGATGTAACATATTCATTCAAATAACAAGTATACATCCATTATTATATAGCCTACAGAATACTTCTGAAACTTTTATATAAGAAATGTTCAGTTTATTATAGTTACTCATTATTTAAAATATATAAGTCATATGAAAATATATAATTATGATTTAAGAATTCTTATCTAACTCTTCAAATCCTGAAGATCAATATCTATTGGGAATTAATATCCATTGGGAGACACTAGACATTTTTCATATTTCTTGACTGAATTTTTTTATGATTCGGAAAAATATATCAGTTCCCCTAGAAGTACCAGGAAGGAATTCCCACATGGAAACATTACCATATACTATACTAACCTTTCATTTAGTCCTCACAGTAATCTACAGTTTGTAGGCACTTTGGTAGCTCCATATTACAGATGAGGAAACTAAAATATAGATGAAGAACAGGGAACACACTCAAGACCATATGACCAGTAGTAGGTAGAATAGACTCAAACTTAGGCTGTCTAACTGGAACATGCTCTTAGCAGATACATCAGCTACTAGGCAGCCAGAGGCAGCATTCTGGAACTAAGGAGAAAGGATGGAACTGGAAATGTACACTAACATTTGTTTTTTTCTAATTCAGAAGGGCCTTCTGTGCCAGATACGTAGCTGGTGAACCAAGTGCATAGTTGCTATGAACTAAAACAGTGGAGTGTGAGGTCCTTTGAGTTCCCCAAACTATGTAGTTTCATGCCATTGAACTTTCCCTATTCTTTAAAAGAAGCTAAAAAATATATTTATTCTCTATTTCAGAAAAATACTTCCCTGCCTGAGCAGACCAAGTGAAATGACAGATGGCAGAATTAGCCTGCTAGTTTTGGGAAGGGCTATGTGCTTTGTGGCTGCAAACAGTCTGCTGTTTGCTGGAGTTGCTCTCTTCTCTATTTTGCCTTGTCACATAAACAGGGCTGTTTTGTTCTGGTTAATCTTCTGTTATCAATGTACCTGTCTCCTTCCCTGATTATATTCCAAGTTAAATCTACCATGGTATATCAACTTCATTTAATAATATTATCTTACAGAAACATGGTCATAGTATTGGCATCTATAGAGACAAAAGGAAGACATTGACTTCACCTTTTAAAAATAACTTTTCAAAGCAAGAGTCTTTACAGTTTACCTCTTTCTACATGCCAGAATGCTGCGTAGAGGAGCTGTTTAAAATTTCCCAAATTGTCTCTGGAAATGTCAACAAAATTACCAGTTTGGTGTGAGCTCATCAAATTTTTAGAATTCCAGAGCTTAGGGGAAAACCCACCACCACCACTACCAACAACAACAACAAAAACCCCAGGAACACAAATTATGTGGTTGATTGCCCAGAGATTATGGTTTTCTTGCGTTGATGATATTAGTACATGTGTACATGAAGAGGGAGATAGGCACATTGCTTAGTTTATATTACTAACAGCATTGGAACATTTATTGGTCAGGAAATATTCTATAGGTGCATCCTCTAGAATAATGTGGTTTTAAATGCCTTACTAGAGTGCCAAGTGTATGTATGGTGAGTATAAGCTTTGGACTTGGACAAACCTCATTTTATAGATTGCTGCTACTTGTGTACTCTGTGATCTTGGACAAATTTCATAGCTTTTTTGAGTTATCTTTGAAAAGTAGGGAATATAGAACATAAGCTTGTTACGAACATTAAATGAGGCATATTTAATGCTGTTAGTGCAGTGTATGTGGTACACAACAGACGCTAAAGAGTAGGCAGCACTTTTATTTATTGATCACTTTTATTTAGCACCTTTCTGTGTGCCTGGCAATTTCTGAGACAGCAATTATTTTCTCCTCCCCTGTAGTCTATTTGATTTCTCAATCCCTCATTAGATGTCCCTCCTGTATGCTCCCCTATCCCCCTCTGTTCTCTAGCACTGGCTGGCACTTATTCCATATATTGTAATTGTGTGTATACTTGTCTCATTAGGGTAAGGGACTGGGCCTGTCTTGTTCATTATTTTATCACCATCCTCAGAAAACCAAGCACAAAGGAAGATGCTCAATAAATATTTATTTATTAAATGAATGAATTAATAAATGCTGCACACTTTACTCAGATCTGCTTTTGCTGACTCCTCGTGTCTGCTTCTGCCTTTGATCTAGATAGAGATGATGATTGCCAGCAGAAACCAGTTAACTAAATCTTAGTTCCATGTAAAAATAAGTAACCCAGGATGGGGATAGCTCTAGGTGTTGCCCCAGGCATACTTGGACTTTGTGTCAGAATATTTTTTTACTTGTCCTGTTAGGAGGCTTTTCCATTTACTTCTAAATTTGCAGCTATTTTGAATGGTTGAGATGACAGAATGTATTCTCTTTCCTGCATAAGGAGGGCAGTGAAGCCTAGAGCTTAGAGGTGAGACAGCCCCTTCATCCAATTGAATTTCCTAACAACCAGCTGTGTAATCTTATTAAACATCTAAAGCTTCAGTCTCCTTGACTGTTCAATGAGATTAATAATAAAAATACCTCAGGGTAATTGTAAAGATTGAAATAATACATATAAAAGCTTACCCAATGCCTGGAACATACTAATAACTATTAACTTTTTAAAGTTATTCCTGTAAGTCATTTGTATTTTATAGGAATAAATAATCAAACTATGCTAATGTTGATGAATTACTAAAATGTGAACTATTGAAGCATTTCTTGGCAATACCAGTGCAGTGGCCTTGAAAATTTGTTGTTCAAACTCCTGATGTGGGGAACATAATTGACTGAAAGCCATGCTGCTTCCCCTGTAGATCCACCACTGCTTTGCACCAAGACCAAGCTTCCCCTGGGCTGCTCCCAGCCAGTGATGAGGAATTAGGGTTAGGGTTAGGGCCTAATGCAGGCCTATTTCTGCAAAGCATGGGACTCCCTTAACAGGTGACTTTGGCTCAGGGACTCCCCATCTGCCTGGTGGACACTTCCATAAAACTGTGTTGCAGCCTGAGACTCTTCCTACCCAATCTTCCTTGCTTCCCTGTCCCCTTGACAGTGAGTGGTGAGATCTACACCGAAGTCTGAGGCTCTCCCTGCCTTCTGCAGCTTCCTCTCACATTTCCTTTACTGGTATTTCCTCCAGGCAACCTCACACTTGTCTTGGTGTCTGCTTCTTGGAGGATCTGAGCTAACACAAACAACTGTAATTGTTGTTGTTAGGGAGTAACAGTCTATACCTTAGAGCACAGATTTGATATTTTCTTCATCAGGTATGAAGTTAAAGTTATTATAAGTTTAACATGATCTTTATGTTATTGCAGTTCCTCAGAACTAGAATTTGGTGTTACCTTAAATTCCCTAGGATAAGTATTAGCTACCATTTCCTCAGGGAAGTCTACTAACATTTAGGACTTTACATGCTTACCTGCAGATTCAGTTTTAAGATTGTTCTGATTTAGGACAGCGCTCCAAAGTTCCAGGTCTTTAAAGTGATATAGTAGTTTTAGTCTTTAACATTCATGAACCAATAATTTCTCACCCTACCCCCACAAAAAAGAAATTTATTGATAGCTCTCCAGTGTTCGTCTGTTTTTATGGTCTTCCGCTGATTTCTTTGGTTTTGCTATTAGTCCCGCCAAATCCTCACTCGGTTATTATTTTTGTGACAGACCAGGTCCAGGGAACAGTCACCATCCGGAACATCAGTGCCCTGTCTTCAGGTTTGTACCAGTGCGTGGCTTCTAATGCTATTGGAACCAGCACCTGTCTTCTGGATCTCCAGGTTATTTCACGTAAGCATATGGAAATTCTGATGTCAACCATGGGTCTGAAACTCTAAGATCTTTGTTATACCAGAAAATGAAGGGTTCTGCTGAATTGTCTTAAGGTTATCTGAAGATTAAATAGAAATTGTTTTGGTTTTAATTATTATTGAAAATTGTTTATAAATGTTTTAGTATACTTTCCAGCCTCAGCAATATGATAATCTTTATGAAAAAATATCTTTCTCCTCAGGATCAATAAAGTTGGATAGTTTCTTATTGTATAATGCTATAGACATTATAAAAATGGTAATAATCTTATGAGTATAGTAAGACTTTCTTGTGTTTTTTCCTTGTTTCTTTTATCTGCAAAATTTTGGGGTGTCTAGGTTATAAATGGCAGTGTAGAAAACTTCTCTTTAGTTGAGAATTCTGGGATATTTGAATTCCAGTTGCAAAAGGGAGTGATCTGGCTGGGTTGAGGTAGAAGGATATCCCCTAGTTTCCAGCATTCATGTAGGGTAGACCAGGCAAGTTAGATTGGTGCTGTCTGTTACCTAATGTGGGTATTGTTCTCCTAAAATGTGCAAGTCATTTAATTGTTTATTCATTCAAAATATGTTCAGAGCCTACTATGTGTTAGTCCTAGCCACTGACAATATAGAAAGTTAATTGAGGTTTAACTTTATATAGATGAAAGATTTTAGAGAGTTTTATACGTTTTAAGCAGATTATTTAGTAAGCTTATGTGCTTATTACAGTTGCATGGGTATATGCTATTTCTCTCTTTCTCTTTTCTTTAAATATATCTTAAATATATTTTGCAGCCCAGCCCAGGAACATTGGACTAATAGCTGGAGCCATTGGCACTGGTGCAGTTATTATCATTTTTTGCATTGCACTAATTTTAGGGGCATTCTTTTACTGGAGAAGCAAAAATAAAGAGGAGGAAGAAGAAGAAATTCCTAATGAAATAAGGTTTGTATGTCAGATTTTTAAAATTTGTCCTGCATAGCCATTGTGTACTTCTATTCATTTGTGTCAGTTAAGATATATCTACTAATCATAAAACTCTGATGGCCGAGACTATTAAAGTGGCTAAATGGTATTTTCTTGTATATCACTTTTCTTCATGGTACTACTCAGCTTTATTCACTGGATCATGAAGGAGGGAAAGGTCCAGCATGTGCCCAACTAGGAGGATACAAATGAAGAGTTCTCCTTATCTTCCGTGTCTCCAGGGTAGGCAGGGTTAGGTGGCTGCCACAATGGGAAAGGTAGTGTCTAAAACGTGTTTACTATTGACATTTATAATAGATGTGAACATAAAGCAAGAAGGAACTCCGTAAGAGCATACCAGTGCCTGTACACAGTCAGACCACAGCACTATGGCTCAGAAAGGTAGTTCAGACAAGAATATGAACATCTTAAGAAAACAATGCCAACATCATCTTTAAAGAAAAGTGACTCTAGTCATACTGGGGAGATTTGAGGGTTCGGGCTCAGTCTCAGATTTCATCATGGCATATCTTTATTGAAAATGCTGTAATGACTCCAGTCTCCATAGTGAGACATACCACAGCCTTACAGGATCTGATTCTTGCCTGCGTATCTTCTCTCTCATCACTCTCAGCTCACTTTGCCTTCCAGTCTGTCCTGCATTTTCCCATTGCTCAGGGCTTTTGCTCAAGCCTCTGCTCTCTTCCTGGACCATGCTTTTCATTTGATCCATCTCTTTACTAAATTCCTTGATCTGATTCTAGATTAGGCCAGGCATCACCTCCTCACATAAGTTGTCTTTAGCCCCTTGCCTAACCTTTCAGACTCGTAAACATTCTTGCACTGATTACTACCCTCATTGACTATAGGTTTCTTAGGTGTAGGATTTGTGTCTTTTTTACATGAAACATATTGTAAAGTGTACCCAATAAATGTTAAATGAATTGGTTAGCATCTTAAATTAAATAAATGACTTCTTTTAGACTGTTGTAATTCTTAAGCGTTTGGGCCATATGCAGGGATAGAGTCTACCCCAGGATAAGATTACTGAGGAAAACCTCTCATCAGCACCCCACAGTGATTTCTCAAACTCCAAAGGGTAATACAATCAGGCCAACTCTGATTATTTCTTTAAGTTCTGCATACCTATAGTTTGATTTCCCAGCTATTTTATGGCACCTAGTTTAGTAGATTTCTTCATGGACTAATTTCCTACTTACAGTAAATATTTATGTGTGAATAAATATTTACTATATATGAATACTATATATATAAAGCAAGATACTAAATATTTACTATATATATAAAGCAAGATTTGTTATATATTTACTATATGATATATAAACATATTTATGTGAATGTTATTTACATATATGTTTAAAAGTTGTATTGGAAGAGACATTCTCTGAGAGATCTGAGATTTCCTTTTCTACTGTTGGAGACTGAGAAGCTGAGGAGAGATTTTCTTGACCGTTGTCTCAAAGGGAATGGATACCAAAGCTGAGGCCATCCAGGGTTGCCATGCCTGCTTTCACGATAGAGTAGTCTCTCCTGGATTTGTTTTTTGGATGTATAAGCCCTGACATGAAAAGAAAGATTCCAGGGTAGGAGGATAGGATTAACTTGAAGTAAATCCTAACAACGACTTTATTTTGTTCCTTTCAGAGAGGATGATCTTCCACCCAAGTGTTCTTCTGCCAAAGCATTTCACACTGAGATTTCCTCCTCGGACAACAACACACTAACCTCTTCCAATGCCTACAACAGTCGATACTGGAGCAACAATCCAAAAGTTCATAGAAACACAGAGTCAGTCAGCCACTTCAGTGACTTGGGCCAATCTTTCTCTTTCCACTCAGGCAATGCCAACATACCATCCATTTATGCTAATGGGACCCATCTGGTCCCGGGTCAACATAAGACTCTGGTAGTGACAGCCAACAGAGGGTCATCACCACAGGTGATGTCCAGGAGCAATGGCTCAGTCAGTAGGAAGCCTCGGCCTCCACACACTCATTCCTACACCATCAGCCACGCAACACTGGAACGAATTGGTGCAGTACCTGTCATGGTACCAGCCCAGAGTCGGGCCGGGTCCTTGGTATAGGACATGAGGAAATGTTGTGTTCAGAAATGAATAAATGGAATGCCCTCATACAAGGGGGAGGGTGGGGTGGGGAGTGCTGGGAAAGAAACACTTCCTTATAATTATATTAGTAAAATGCACAAAGAAGAAGGCAGTGCTGTTACTTGGCCACTAAGATGTGTAAAATGGACTGAAATGCTCCATCATGAAGACTTGCTTCCCCACCAAAGATGTCCTGGGATTCTGCTGGATCTCAAAGATGTGCCAAGCCAAGGAAAAAGATACAAGAGCAGAATAGTACTTAAAATCCAAACTGCCGCCCAGATGGGCTTGTTCTTCATGCCTAACTTAATAATTTTTAAGAGATTAAAGTGCCAGATGGAGTTTAAATATTGAAATTATTTTAAAAGGTAGGTGTCTTTAAGAAAATAACAAGCAACCCTGTGATATGTTCCGTCTCTCCCAATTCCCTCGTTATATAGAGGGCTTAATGGTATAAATGGTTAATATTGGTCCCAACAGGGCTGACTCTTCTATCATATAATCAAAACTTTTTACATGAGCAAAATTCAGTAAGAAATGGGGGAAGACAAAGGAAACGTCTTTGAGAAGCCCCTTCATATTTATTTATTTATCTCTTCCTGAACCATGAATTTCATATGTGGAATATTGCTATATTGACAGATTCTTGCCTGTCTGTGTTATTCTAGGATCTGTTACAGGTCCATGGCAATTACTGTTTATTTTTTCCTGGAAAAATATTTTTTTATAAAAGGCTTTTTTTTTTTTTTAAATACATGAGAGGCATTGGGCTAAGAAAGAAAAGACTGTTGTATAATACCTTGTTCAATGGTTGTATTTAGTGAGCTCATAGAGGTCCATCATATCATGACCGAGCTAGGTTGTGTGGGCAGGAAGGTAGGGCTAAGGGGTTGTAGCCTTGCTGGGCAGCCTCTCAGAGCAAGGTTGTTCAGATCTCCCTTGCTATTACAGTAGGTTACTATTAATGAGGGCAGCACCTGATGCCTTTTGTACTGAGGTATGTAACTTTCTCCTTATTTGACAAGTAGAAGTTAACTTACTTGTCAGGGAGGGCAGACGTTTTTTTGTTCTGTTTCGTTTTTCAAAATAATGCTTTTTGCAAAAGAGGTAAGACTGAGACTAAAGGTGTTATCTTCTGGTGTGCTCCTGGAAGTGTCTACCCTACATTTGTGTCAGCTCAGGGTTGCAGTGTTGCCCAGATGCATTTTACATCACTGTAAAGAGATTACTTTTGTGGTTACTACCTGGCTTGGCTGGCCTTGCGGTTCACCAGATTAATTTACAAACTCCCCCACTTTATTTTGTGCTATGTAGATCTGGCCATACTTGCATTAGTGACTGTCTTGCCTTAACCACACTTAAGCAACCCACAAATTTCTTCTCAGATTTGTTTCCTAGATTACTTATGATACTCATCCCATGTCTCAATAAGAGTGTCTTTTCTTTCTGGATGTGTTCTCTTACTCCCTCTTACCACCATACTTTTTGCTCTCTTCTCCTGCAAGCGTAGTCTTCACAGGGAGTGGCTTCCTGACATTTTTTTCAGTTATGTGAATGAATGGAAACCAACAGCTGCTGCAAACACTGTTTTTCCAAGAAGGCTACACTCAGAACCTAACCATTGCCAACCATTTCAGTATTGATAAAAAGCTGAATTTACTTTAGCATTACTTATTTTTTTTTCCATTTGATGGTTCTTACTTTGTAAAAATTTAAATAAATGAATGTCTATACTTTTTATAAAGAAAAGTGAAAATACCATGACACTGAAAAGATGATGCTATCAGATGCTGTTTAGAAAGCATTTATCTTGCATTTCTTTATTCTTTCTAATTATCTAAAATTCAATAAAATTTTATTCATATAAAATAAGTTGTCATTAATTATCAATACTAACGAGTATGTCATTTTAAAACTTAGTATTCTCTTTAATGTTACAAGATTTTCTCCATCCTGTTAAATAATATTTATAATTATTTTAACAGGCACATGCTATTCCAAAAATGACTTAATCTTTCTCTTAAATTTAGTTTGATTCCAGTTCTTACCCATATGACTGAAGATTAATGACCTTCTTCATACATTGAGCTATTTTCCCATTTCCTAGAGTGAAAGTTCATGAAGACAGTCTCTATGCTTGCCTTTTTCACCGCTGAATCTCCATCACCTACCACGGTGCCTCATGTGGGTGTTGAGTAGATAAATGCTGATTTCTGAATTGAAATTGCTAAGTCGAGTTATGAGCATGATTGTAGCTCTTGATGTGTACTGGATCATTCCTTTGTTTTAACTTTTTATTTTGAGATAATTATACTTTTACATGCAGTTGTAAGAAATAATAGAGAAGTCATATACCTTTTACCTATTTCTCCCAATGGTAACATCTTGCATAATTATTGTGCAGTATCACAAGTTGACATGGTTATAATTTATCAGCCATATTCAGATTTCCACACTTGTACATGCACTCGTGTGTATACATTTATTTATATACAGGTTTATCACACGTGTAGATTTTTTTAAAACTTTTATTAGTTTTTATTTATTTAAAAAGTAATACAGAATACTGAAAAAAGATTTAAAAATCAACAAGTAATATACTCCCACCTACAGAATGCCACTCTTAACATTTTGGAGTATTTACATTCATTTATTTACAAACAGATTTTTTTTGTTGTTTATTGAGGCATATTTTGCATACAGTAAAATTCACCATTTTAAAGTGATGTGTGTGCGATGTATGATGAATGTAACAGCCACTACAATCAAGATACAGAATATTTCCATCACCCTCAAAAATCCCCTCCTTACCTTGTAATTAAACCACTCTCCCCAACCACTCTCTAGCAATCACTGACCTGATTTCTGTTCCTAGGGTTTCAGCTTTCAATAATGTCATGTACATTTCATGTGACCAACACCACAGTCAGGATATAGGATTCCTTATGCTACCCTTTCATAGTCATAGCCACCACCCTCCTTCCCAAGTCCCTAATTCCTACCAATCACTGTCTGTTCTTCATCTCTGTAATTTTGTTATTTTGAGAATGCTATATAAGTGGAATGCAGTATGAGGACTGGCTTTTGCTTTTTTAAATTTTTTTGCTCAGAATAATTTCTTTGAGATCCATTCAAGTTGTAGCATGTATCAATAATCCATTCCATTTTATTGCCGCGTAGTTTCCCATGGTACAGAAGAGGTAGCACGGTTTATTTTACCCATTGGATGATATGAAGGATATTTGCGTTGTTTCTAGTTTTTGGCTATCAGGAATAAATCTGCTATAAATGTGTGCATAGGTTTGTGTGTGAACATAAGTTTTCATTTTTCTGGGATAAATGTCCAGGAGTGCAGTTTCTGGGTTGCATGTGGGAAGTACATGTTTAGTTTTGAAAGAAAATGACATACTATTTTCCGGGGTGGCCATATAATTTTACAATTCTTTCAGCAGTCTGAGTGACCCAGTTTCCCTGAATCCTTGACAGCATTTGATATTATCAAAAATTTACATGTAGCCATTTTGATAGGTATGTAGTGATATCGTATCTTATGGTGGTTTTAAAAACTTTTATTAAGTTATTATTGGTACATAATAGTTATATATATTTGTGGAGTACATGTGATGTTTTGATACAAGCACACAATGTATGATACATTGGGATAATTGGGGTATCCATCACCTCAAGCATTTATTATTTCTTTGTGTTAAGAACATTCCAATTTTACTCTTTTAGTTATTTAAAAAGATAACAGTAAATTTTTGTTGACTATAGACAACCTGTTATGCTATCAAATACTAGATCTTATTCATTCTAACTATATTTTTGCACCTAAACCATTCCCACTTTCCCCCACTACCTGCCACCCTTCCTCTGATCATCATCTGATCATCATCGTTCTACTTTCTATCTTTATGAGAACAATTGTGTTAATTTTTAACTCATTTTGACTCCTGTGAGTGAGAACATGGGAAATTTGTGATAATGGTTTAAATTCACACTTCCTTGATGGCTAAGCACATCTTTTCATGTGCTTGTCATCTCTACACCCTCTTCAATAAATATCTGCTTGTGTCTTTTGCCCATTTTCTAGAACGCTTTTTTTTTTACTGTTGAGTTTTGAGAGGTTTTTACATATTCTAGATACAAATCCTTTATTGAATATATTGTTTGCAAAAATTTTCTCCCAGTTTATAGCTTTTTCATTCTCTTCAGTTTTTCATAAAGCAAAAGTTTTAAATTTTGATGAGGTGCAATTTAATTTTTCCTTTTTTGGGTTGTACATCTGATGTCAAGTCTAAATTTTTGCCTAGACCTGCCTGGGTTCTGAAGATTTTTTGTTTTTTTTCATAAAAATTTTAGAGTTTTACATTTAATTCTGTGATTCATTTTTAGTTAATTTATAAAATAATAAGGTTTAGGTTGAGGTTTATATTTTTGTCTACGGATGTCCAGTTGCTCCAGTAACATTTGTTGAAGCCTGTCCTTCCTTCAGTGAATTGCTTTTGCACCTTTGTAAAAAATCACTTAGACATATTTGTGTGAATCTCTTTCAGAGTCTTCTAGCTGTTCCATTGATTTGTGTGTGTGTGTGTGTGTGTCAGCCCCTCCATCAATACTGTGGTGATAACTGTAGCAATTTAGTAAGCCTTAACAAAATCTGGTGGAGTGGTTTCTCCCACTTGGTTCTTTTTTTTTCAAAGTTACATTAACTATTCTAGGTCTGTGCCTTTGTAAATTTTAGAAATAAGGTGGTCTGTGTCTACAAAACACCTTGCCATTTTCATATGTGAATTACATTGAAGGCTATAGAATCCATTTTGAGAAGAATTGACATCTTTACTATGTTGAGTTTTCTTAGCCATGAACACAATGTCTCTTCATTTAAGTCTTCTTTAATTTTATTTCATTCGCATTTTATAACTTTTATGACACAGATATGATACATGTTTTATTGGACTTACACGTAAGTATTTAATTTTTTGAAGCAATTGTAAATGATTCTGTTTTTTAAATGTTGGTTTTATGATTGGATTAAATGATTGGATTCTATGTGGTTGGTTTTGTATTTTGCAACCTTGCTGATTTATGTCTTCTGAGGTTTTTTTTTTAAACTTCTTTATAGATTACTTGGGATTTTCTACATACAATATCATGTCATTTGAAAATAGGTGTAGTTTTATTTCTTCCCCTTCAAACTGTGTGCCTTTTATTTCTTTTTCTTACCATCTTGCAATGACCAGAACTTAACAGTACTATGCTAGATAAAAGTGATGTTCCCTTTTTCCAATCTTAGGGGGAAAGCATTCATTCTTTTACCATTAAATATGATGTTAGGTGTAGGTTTGGGTAGATGTTTTTTATCAGTTGAGGAAGTTTCCCTCTATTGGTTTTCTGAGAGTTTTAGTCATGAATGGGTGTCGAATTTTGTTAAATGTTTTTTTCTGCATTTATTTACATAATTATTATTTTTTTTCTCTGGTGTGTTTATGTGCTGGGTTACATTGTTTGATGTTTGAATGTTGAAGCAGCCTGGCATACCTGGAATAAATCCCATTTGGTCATGGTGTATAATTCTTTTTAAACATTGCTGGATTTGATTTGTTAATATTTTGATGAGGATTTTTGTGTGTGTGTTTATGGAAATCTTGAGTGAAATCTGTGCTTGGAGATTTCTATTTCAGGTTTTAAATGACTAATACCATTTCTTTAGTGGTTATAGGACTATTAAGGTTGACTATTTCATCTAGTTTGTGGTTTGTGATTTTTTTCTAGGCTGTCAATTTTATGAGCATAAAATTGTTTGTATTATTTCCTTATTGTCTTTTTAATCAGAGCATGATCTGTTTTTCTCCCTCAGTTTCTCATTATCCATTTTGCTTTTCTTGCCTTCTTGTGGGTTACTTGAATAACTTGTAGGATTCCATCTTGATTTATTTATAGTGTTTTTAGTATATTGCTTTTGTGTATATACATATGTATTTTTAGTGTTTGTTCTAGGTATTAAAACATGGACACATAATATACCCCAGTCTATTTGTATCAATGTTTTACCACTTTGATGTGTGGAAACTTAATTCCATTTACATCCCTTTTCTTTCGCTATTTTAAATATCTTTTTCTTTAGTATAAGATGTTGTATAATTTTTGTTTTAATGATCAGGGATGATTTTTAAAACTGATGAGGAGAAGTCCAGTGTATGCATCCATACGTCTGGGTTTATTTTGTTCTTCCTTCCTTCCTGATTGTCTGAGATTTCTTTTTCTGTCATTTCCTTTGAAGAAAACCCTTCAGCCGATCTTTAAAAGTAGTTATACTGGCAACAAATTCTATTAGTTTTTGTTTGTCTGAGAATGTCTCTGTTTCCCTTTCATCCCTCACTGGATATCATAATCATGGTTGACAATTCTTTTCTTTCAGCAGCTGAAAAATTTGGGAAGTGTTCAGCCATTACCTTTTAAAATACTCTCTCATATCTTTCCTCAGACTCCAATGATGGATCTTTTGTTATTATCCCTGTTTATTTTTTTTCAGTCTGTTATATCTCTGTTATTGAGATCGTGTAAATTCTGTTGAGCTGACTTCAAATTTGCTGATTCTTTCCTCTGTTTTTTCCATTCTACTGTTGAACCCAGGCAGCAAGGTATTATTTCAGTTACTGGACTTTTTAGTTTGATGACATTCCTTTTTTAAATAAAATATGACTATTAACTTAAATTATACTGAAATATAGTTTACATACCATAAAGTTAATTCGTATACAGTATACATTTCAGTAGTTTTTGATATGTATGCAGAGTTGTAGAAGCATCACCACAGTTTAATATTTGAACATTTTCAATACCCCAAAAAGAAAACTGTACCCACTGACAGACAGTCCTCATTCCATGCCACCTTTAGCCTCAGAAACTACTAACCTACTTTCTGTCTCTGTAGATTTGCCTATTCTGGACCTGTCTTATAAATTGTATCATATAATATGTGAGGTTTTGTTTTTATGTGTGTGTGTGGCTTATTTCACTTAGCATAATATTTTTACATTTATCCATATATAGTAGCATGTATTACTTCATTTCTATTTATTTACTGACATTTTGTAAATTTTCTGTTTGTTTTAAGAGAATTTATAATTGAAGCACTTTATGGCTGCATTAAATATCTTGTCAGATACTTTCAACATCTGATTCATCTTGATGTTGGCATATGTGGATTGTCCTTTCTCACTGAAGTTGTGATTTTTCTAGTTCTTGGGATGAGTGACTATTTTCTCTTTGACACTTCGGATATTATGGGACTCTGGATCTGTACATGTTGAGTCTACCATTGGGTCTCACTGACAGCACCCCCTCAGAAGTGGAATGTTTATACTGCCTCAGTGCAGATGAACACAGTAGAAGGATGGCTTCTCCTTTGGCTCTGCTTATACCTTCTTGGTGAAAGTGGAGCACCAAGTTGCACCACATTGTTGCTCCTAAGAGGAAATACAAACTGGGCCCTGGTGACACCACACCACTTGTTGTCATAGGGTAAGGGTAGAAACCCAATGTCCTGATTCCCTGCTGACACCAGTGGAGCAGGGAAGGGAAGTGGAGTGCCCCTTCATTTGGGCTTATTGATGGTAGGTGAAGGGTGAAGGGTTTCTCCCCATTGGCAGAAACCAGAGGAAGGAGGAAACAGTGTCACCTGCCCTGCCTTACACCACCTCTTTCCACCTTGTTAATGCTAAGTGCAAGTAGTGGCTCAGCTCCCCACTGGGGGAATCCCAGCTTCCTCAGGAAGTCTGCCGCCTCTCTACGGTTTAGGGTCTTCCCATGCTCGCTTGTTGTGTTATGTCAATTTTGTGTTAATTTTAAGAGGCTAGACCGTCTTAAAATGGAGTTTGTAATGGGCCTATCCCATCTTGGCTGGAACCGGAAGTCCTGAATCATTACTTTTTGAAATAATCATCAGTTAAACAAATCTCATAGTACCCTACTATTTGAAAGCTTTAAGGATTCTCAATTGTGTATTAAATAAAATTGTTACTCCTTGCCTTGACTTACTCAGTTTCTTCCACAAATAGTTCACTGCCTCTTTCATTCTTAACGTCTGCGCCTCCTCTACATGCAAACTTTGCTCCAGACCTGTTCACCTTCCCTTGAAGTAAATTTTTTTCTTTTTGTTTCCATTTTTCCCCCCGCTACAGCTTCCAGCTATAATCTCCACCCAAATCTTCTGGTACCACAAGTCCAATTCAAATACATTGTCCTCTATAAATTCTCTTTTTCAGTCTAATGAGAAGTGACTGTCCTCTCTAAAGAGGTATAGCGTTTACTACCTGTAATGGAATTTCCACAGTTTGTATTATATTTCTGTATTTGTGTACATGATTGATCCCTCCTGCTGGACTATAAAATGAGTTATTCCACAATCATTTTTGATCCTTAATTATGTGCTAAACATTGTTCTGGGTGTTGAAGGTAAAAACAGAGAAGTAACTGCAGCCATATTCTCAAAAAGTCCATATTGCAGGAGGGATCCACATCTGTGAGCAAGTAGTTGCAAGTCGTGTAAGTATATGAGTGGATGTTTATGCAAGTTCAAGCATATGGGACTACTACTTCTATATCTTGGTTGTGGTCACAACACTTAACACGTTGCTGTATTCAGAGAAAGTGCTTGAAGGATGCGCTAAATTCATGAAACTGAAAATATATGATTTGGTCTCTTAACTTCAGTGTTAAAAGTAGCAGTCAAATATTAGAATATTCCCAAAGCAAGGCCACATCAGAGTCATTTACTCATGTGGCAAATGATTGTGCCAGTTCCTTGGGGGCATTTGATGTTATATTAGAGATGCAGTATTGTTTGGGAAAGCTGTGGAGATAACATTCTTAATGCAGTGGTTTGGAAGAATCTTAAGTAATTATGAAGGGTTTTGTGTGAAAATATCTGTTATGCTTATTACATGGCAGTACATGAAAAAATGCATTTCAAGTACTAATTTATTTAATTTTATCACACTTCTACATGGACGCTATCATCACTCATATTTTACAAGTTCAGAAACTGAGGTGGTTAAACATTTTTCCCAGACTATTCAGTAATCTGTCAGTTGCTTTTCTCAGTAGATATTTCTGTCTGACTGAACCAATGTCTAAAAAGAAAGATCTGGGATCCTCGTCGTTTTGCCTTCAAATAGCCCTCTTTTGGACAAATCACTTGTGTTAAGTAAGATGATATTCAACTTCACAGAAAAAATGCTGAGACAATAAATGCAATTCAGAGAAAAGTTGACTTGTAAATTCTATGTGTATACAGCTATTTATAGCTTTTCCTCACAGCTTCCTTGTGAAGAAGGTATTATTTCCCTATTTTAGGTAAAGGCAAGGCACAAAATTCTGACTTAATCATAAGACATTAATGATAGAGACAAGTTTATTAAACAAAGCAATAAGTATAGTGCCTACTATGTATTTAACACAGTGAGGTCAGTTGATACCTGATTAATTTTAGGAGGTCAGATTAGAATAGATAATTTAGCTTATTATAACTTACATTGAAGCCATATTTCTCTATCATCCATCAGTTGCTCCCTCAGTTTATCAGATTTGCAGCAGTTTTGCATTTGAGGCTTGGACAAGATTGTATGCCTATATATATATATATATGTATGTGTGTGTGTATATATATATATATGAATGAGCTTCAGTTGTCCATTACATTGGACAAACTACAAAATTCTCTAAGGCTCAGTTTCATCTACAAAATAGAAACAATATAATAGTTATCTTTGAGATTGTGAGTACTAAATGAAATAATGCACATAAGATGAATATCATGGTGTCTGGTGATAGTAAACACTTGATATTTGCCATTATTCGTAGTAGTTCAGAAGCTTTAAATTTCTAGGCAATAGCTATGTCATTTACACCTACTCAGTATTTCAACTCTTTTTGCCAGAAGTACTATTTGAGTGCTACTGCATATAAAATAGCAATTTGGGACATTTTTTTGTTTAAGAGAAAGGAGAAGCCTCGGTAATTATTGTCTACCCAAATACTTTCTCCTATTTCCCTTTTCCTCACATTTTGTTCCAAAATAACACACTTATCTTCTGATTACTATCAATTTCAAATCGCTGAGGATAATTAAGAGGGTGGGAGAACATCAGCATTTATAGAGCACCTACTGTATGCTAGACAGCATACTGGACACTTTGTGTATATCCCATAGAATCCTCAACACTTTCAATTTTAGTACTGTATTATGCTAATTTTACAGATGAAGGAACAGGCTTTCATGGGTTAAGTACCTTGCTCAAGGTCATAAAGCTTGTAAGATGTAGAGCCAAGGGCATTGCTCATCTGTTGCCATATACTGTCCTTCCATTAAGATAGCCAATAAATAGTAAAGGTCTTGGTACTGCCTCAAATTTGGCCTGGCATAGACAAGAGTTCTTTATTCTTTCTAGTCATTCTTTGCCCATTAAAAAAATTATTTAATAAAATTACCATCTCTGACTTATAAGACTATTAGAATAATTTTTTCCATGCGGTCAAGCTTTTTGAGTTTTTCTCCTCTTAATTTCTGCACACTCGGGGGGGTCTCACAGCCGTTTAATTCTTTCTCATCACTTTCCTAGGGCATTTGCAATTTGTGTAAAACACTAGTTCCCTTACCACCTTCAGCTCTACAGTCAGAGCTATTGCTAGGGGAGGATGCGTTTGAGGAAATTCCCGTAGGCGAGAAGTTTTGAGGGGAACACAGAGGTCTTTGAAGACATGGTGAATTTGGAGGAAATTCTACGTAGAAGGATGCCTTTTGCTACCCTGGGCCTGCACTTGAGTCCCAGCTCCGTCACTTCCTACTGACTTGAGGCAAGCTGTTTAGCCTCTCTGGGGATATAACATGGAGATTATAATTGCTACATCATAGGTCTGAGGATACCATTAGATAATGTATATAAAATGGTATAGATAAATTGTAGCTGTTACTGGTTTACTTTTTAAGTCATGTATTTGAATTTTATAAGGAGAAAAACGGAAGTTCTACTGGAGAGATTAGAGAAGACCTGAGTCTCACATACAACCAGGTTGTAACTCTTTTCTTCACCTCCCCTCTCTCAGTCATCCAGAGATCAAGGTGTGTTCACCCCTCCAACTTCACAGTGCTGATCCTGTATTATGATGTAAGTAGAGGCGAGGCTGTGATTTCTGAGCCCCAATCCCTTTAGTATAGAGATCACAACCTGAAATGCCTGTGAAGGTAAAGTAAATGAGAGAACTGGGCCAGATGGGGAGCATGGTGACTTGGAGATTTATGCCCTGCCTAAAGAGGTTAGCAGCTACTCAGCTCCCACCAAGAGTGGTCAGTAGGACTTGGGTCCAGGATGGCCAGGTCTCTTGAATCTTCAAGAGAAGCCAGAAATGCTTATTTGTATCTCTCTTGGATTGTATATGTCGGCAATGAATTTTTTTAAGTTAAATCCTGCTTAATTATACATTCCTGTGGGTCTGTGTGGCCTGTGGTCCAGTATTTACAATATCTGTTATTAAGCAGACTTGTTTCCAGCAGCTTCATGGGTGGATCCAGCTTGGAGCTCTCCTCTTCTGAATAGTATCGAGTAACAGGAAACTATGTGTCAGGTGCTGCTCTAAGCATTTTACATCTATTAAATCATTTTAATCCTCACAACCACTGTATGAGATAGGTACAAACACTATCCCATTTTGCAGATAATAACACCGAGGTACAAGTGATAAGTAACTAGCCTAAGTTTATATGGGAAGACCTGGGACCTGGATTCAAATATAGGCAACCTGGCTCCTAATTGCTATATAGTATTTTCTAATGTTTGTGCTTTCAGAAGAAAAAGAAACGGTGCATTTCTGGTAATTTTAAATTTTCAAGGAATATTTCAATGATTTAGATCAGTACACTGCTCTCCCTAGTTCTTGAAACAATCCGGGCTGACATTTTGGAAAGGAGGGGAAAAGGGCAATTCTCTCATCAGGCTTCTTGGGCAAAGCTCTTCTGAAGTAAATGGGGCTGAAAGCCCCCATTGTGTAAACTCAGCCCACACCTCCCCACAGCGAGAAGTCATAAGCAAGTCTTGAGTCTCCACATAACTCTAGAGTTTTATAGAGGAAACTCTTCATTAACAATGCATTGATTTGTGACCACACTTCTGTAAAAAGAACAGCTTTCATAGAGTCCTCTGCAGCTTGCTTGCTTGCTTTTTTTTTTGAAGTGTAGTGTTTTTGCTTACTTGCAAAGCACTAAAGAGGAGTTAACTTTTAGATGGGTACAAGGAATCTTCAGATGTGTTGCTGCTAGTACTTTTTTTCCCCCATTGAGTATAAGGATGAAAAAAAATATTACATTTCAGAGAAGATTATCAGGAAAGAGAGTTTCTTCTCAATTGATGGAACACAGCAGAAAGGGGAAAATCCTTCATCCAGTTCTGACTTTATTCCATAGGATTAAAAAAAAAAAATCTTGTCTGAGAAAAAGTGAAATCTTGTCATTTTAGTCTTGCACTAGAAAACTTATAAATATGTTTGAGAGGAAAACAGAGCTGGGTAGAAATTTTTGCTCAGGCAAGGGGAGGGCTTGGGCTTCAGTCACTCCCTTCCAGGAAAAGGAAGTGATTTTTTGAGAGCCTACCATGTGCCAGACACAATCCATCCATTATCTTATTTTTTCTCACTCCTTGAGGTAAGTATTACTTTCCCTGAAGTGTTGGAAAGGCAGTCATTCTTAATTCCTTTCCACCTCTATGTCTCCTTTCTTTGCCCCCAGACACTAATTATGACTTCAGAAAGAAGAACTACTTAGAGGCAACAAGTTATTGGAAAGTGTGGAGGATGGAGGAAGGGAAGGCGGGGGATTTTTCCTGTGATTCTTTTAGCACAGAAAATATCTGTTTTTATTTTACCTGTGCATTTAGGAGGGATGCAGGAGATCATGGGAGTTTCAACCCCATGATCCAACCCACGCTTTCACACCATCCCTGCCTCTATAGTAAGTCTGGACTGTGTACTTGACATTTCAATATCCTTCCTCTCCTCTGTATTCCACCTGCATTTTTTCTAGCCTGTGTTTTTGCCCTTATTCACTTGGGCCACCATGATGGTCTCTTTAGTTGGATCTCTTGCTTTCAATCTTGTATACCTCCAATCCATTCTCCACACTGTAGCTGATTGAAACTGTGATACTACACCTCTGCTTATTGCATTCCTTAAGTGGCCCCTCACTGCCTACACAAAGAGGTTGAGTAAAAAAATAAAACATGGCAAATCTCACCAAGGGCCAACTAATTAGTGTTACTGGGGGTGAGCTAGGCACCTGCCGTCCTTAAAGCTGCACAGGCTATGTGTATTGTAAGAATCAGTGGCTTAGAGTGTCCAGAGTCCTTGGCATTGCACACAAGGCCCTCCGTGATTCTGCCTGCACTCCATTCTCCAGATTTCACTTTTCAGCCCCATCCCCACCTTATCTTGTGCTCCAATCATGGCAGTATGCCTGCTAAGCCCTGAATTTACCACGAAGATTCACCCTTCTCTGTGCTCCTTCTTTCTACCTGGATTGCTCTTCGTTTCTTCCTTGACTTCCTGGTGGAAACCTATGTTTATTTAGTCTCAGGTCAGGCATTATCTCCCAATAGAAATGAGCACTCTCTTTCTCGTTTTTGGCCCCCACTGTACATCATCCATCCATCATCTGAAACACTAGTGCATTTATTTGTTTAAATGTCTGCCTTCATGTGATAGATTTGGAACACCTTCACATTTTTTAGTTCTGAGCACATAATATTTATGGCCAATGGTGTTTATTGAATAAAATGAATACTTTTATTTTTCTTTAAATGAGACAGGGTCTCACTTTGTCACCCAGGCTGGAGTGCAGTGGTGCGTTCTTGGCTTACTGCAGCCTTGATCTCCGAGGCTCAAGCGATCCTCCCACTTCAGCTCCCCAAGTAGCTGGGACTACAGGCGTGTGCCACTGTGCCCGGCTAATTTTTGTATTTTTTGTAGAGGTGGGGTTTTGCCATGTTGCCCAGGATGGTCTCAAATTCCTGGACTTAAGTGATCTGCCTGCCCCGGCCTCCCAAAGTGCTGGGTTTACAGGCATGAGCCACTGTGCCCAGCCAAGTAAAATGAATACATTTTACAGTTAATCCAAGAGCACACAGGACTCCAGGACTGTCTGAATGCTATGCTCTTCTGTTATGCTCCCTGCAAGAAACTGCGACATAGAAATATTAGGCAAATTGTTGACCACAGTGGAGTACCCTCTGTCTTAGCAATGGCCCCAGAGAACTATCCCAATGCATATATACTTCAAAAAATATTAAAATCACGCTGTGTAGACAGTTGGTACCTCGCTGGTTGTTTTTGTTTTTGTTTTTGAGATGGAGTCTCACTCTGTCACCCGGGCTGGAGTGCAGTGGTGCGATCTTGGCTCACTGCAGCCTCTGCCTCCGGGGTTCAAGCGATTCTCTTGCCTCGGCCTCCCCAGTAGCTGGGATTACAGGCACCTGCCACTATGCTTAGCTAATTTTTTGTATTTTTAGTAGAGACTGGGTTTCACCATGCTGGCCAGGCTGGTCTTGAACTCCTGACCTCGTGATGCACCCACCTCTGCCTCCCAAAGTGCTGAGATTACAGGCGTGAGCCACTTGCCTAACCAGTACCTTGCTTTCTATAACTATTATATTCTTGGGCGATTATTATTTTAAGAAATATTTATGTAACTAAGTATTATTCCATTATACTACGATCATATTTTAAATCTACTGTTTTCCAAACAGTGGCTCACAACATATTAATTGGTAGGTTTAGTGGGTTGTAATCAACATTTTAAAAAATGAAATTGTATGCATTATATGTAGTTAACAATATGTATTGTCTCATGAAGATTTTACTTCAGATCTCTCCACACAGACACACACACATAAATGTATGTTTACTGTGTGGATATAAATGAATAGTGTAATTGGATTATAATACACCTTTTATTTCTTATTGAGGATCATGGTCAAAAAAGTTTGAAAGTTGCTGTTTTAAACATTCTTCAACAGGAGGAAATTTGGGTCATTGTATTTTTTACTATTATAAATAACACTGTAATGGATTTCCCAGGGGATAATTTCTTAAGTTTGTTTCCTTAGAAAGGATAGATAGGGAAAATATTTGGGCCAGAGAATATGAGCTTTTAGTCTCCTGATATCTATTGCCAAATTATTTTCTAGAAAGATTATAGCAAGTTATACTACCAGCAACATCATATGTGCTCAGGTGAATTTTTTAGTATTGGGCTCTGACTAGTGAACATTCTCAGGCATTACAGGAGGGAGCAATGCACATTCCAGGGCAGAGAAATCAGAATAATCAAGGAACTGAGATGGGGTTGTTGAAAGTGTTTATTAACTTTGATTATAGCAGGTAGTGTTGTTCATGGATAGTTGGTGAAAGAGAGCAGTAATATAGTCAAATAGTTTAGGGCCGGAGATCAGGGGTTTTACATGCACTGCTAAGTTTTTGTCCTTTATTCTTGGGAACTGAAGCACCATAAGGTTTGAAAGCAGAAAGTGAAGTGATGACGTCAGCCCTATATTACAGAATGAGAAAGTGGAGGAGAAACTAAGTTTCATAAGCTAGCTGGGTGATTATTTCAATAATTCAGGCAAGAAATGCATGTGCCTGGGAACCCAGTCTTGCTTTCCAATGGAGAAATCAGATGACAAACTGCCCAGTATACTCCATGAGACTCTAGAGTGCTCTCTAGCCTCTAGCCCCAACGCAGTGGTTGAAATCCTCTGATGGCCTGGGTTTGGTGATATTTCTGGAGCAATTTGATGATGGGATGGGACACAATCCAAGTATAGGGCCATTGAAAAACACACGTAAAAAATCACAGTATATTCTGCTCAAAACTCAGCCATTTCTGATGGACAAAACTTGGAAACTATTAACTTGACTGAGGGGTGAGAGTCGGGGCAGGAAATCCATTTGTGGATTGAAGATTCTGATTTGGATGACTGTGAATGACTTTAATATTTGAATATGGCATTTATGAATACTGGGGAAATAACAAGGGCTCAGGGAAAATGCAGGGATGCCAACTGCTAAATGTCTCATTTGTTCTGTAGTTCTGTCTATTGAACAGAATCAGATATAAAATGGAAGATATATACCTCTATATATTAAGTGACTGAGGCAAACCTGGAAAGCTGAATTGTGCAAAGCCACAGTGCACACATTTTCACTATTTTTCCTTTCTGCTTTGCTTTTCTCCGGATTTTATTTTTTCAACAAATATTTAAGATTTTTAAATATTTAAAACTACAAATTAAGCACTTACTATGTGCCTGGGACTGTTCCAGGTGCTGAAGATGTGGAAGCAAACCAAATTCTGTCCCCTCAAATAAACTTACATTCTAGAAATCCTAACATAGATCAAGATTAGGATAGCCACTCTAGCAGTATCAAATCATAGATATATGTGTGGCACTCTAACCAGAAAGTTCTATTCTTTACCATCCTACACTGTAGATAAATGGGAGATTATGATTTTGCGGCTATTGAGACTGTTGAAGCTGATTATTCTCTTTCAGTCAAAATCTACTTAGTATGGAACACACCTAAGTTATGCTAATATGCATATTAGACCCTGGTTCCTCTTTAACAATAGCAGAATGTGTTCTGGGATTGGATTTGGGAAATACAGTACTTCCTTCAGCTGACCAGCTGTGCAATCTTAGTCAATTGACTTAACCTCTCTAGACTAGTTCCACTTTTCTGAAATGAGTACAATATCTGCCCTACTCATTATACAAGGTAGTTATAAATTTCAAGTGAGATTACAGATATTTAAAAAAATTTCTTTGAAAAGTACAAGGAGTAAAACAAATACAAGGTTACTGTTATCCCCCATGTTTTTAAATAGTCCTAAAACACGCTTGTCCAGCTATAAGGGCAACCAAGTTCATCATGACTGTTGATCCGGGAAGGAGCAAAGAAGGTAGGGAGAGGACAGTGTGCTGTTAGGGGCAGCTTTGCATCAAGAAGATCCAACTCTGAGGGATAGTCATAGGACTTGGGGGATATCAAAACAACAGAACAAGTAACGCTTTTGAAAATTCTACTTTAACAGTCTGCCAGTCTCCAGCAATTAGCACATAACCATGTCCCAAAGACACTTCCTGACAAATAGGGAGTCAAGGGGATGCAGTGGGAAGAAATATGCCGCAAAAACAGTCATCTGCAATGTAACATGAAATGGTGCAATGTTTTTTGTTTTTTTCTTTTTGCTTTGTGTTGTTTTATCTAGGTTAAAATGTAGGTGATGTTATAGGATGTGCATTACACTTTTTCACTTTCTTGTTACTTTTAGATCTGGGGCATTGATTGTTCAGTAGCTGTAGGGTGACACTTACTGCAAATTCTATGAAACTGCAACCCTTAAAAATTCAACATTTGGGTTGAATATTTGAAGCGTGATGAATTAGTAATGACAGATCCTACAAGCCCCACATGAAAATCAGTTTCACTGTGCCATGGAATACTCATTCTTCTTTAATTGATGTGCTTCTGTAAACGGAAAGCCAGTTATGAATTATACTTGAGTGCTCACACTGTGCCCTGTGCTGCCCCCAGGTGGTGGAGGAGGCAGTGGGCCGACTGGGTGGTGCACTGGATTGGAATCATCACATTGCCAGCTGTGTGCCACTCTCTAGCTCTCTAACTAAACCCTACCTTGCCTACACAACTGGATTGTTATGTGGATTAAATATTGTGTATGTAAAAGCTCTGTAAATTCTGTGCATAAAGTGGTTTGCATTTTGCATATATTTATAGATCTAACTTACACCACAAGCCTGGTAAGTAAGTTGTCTTTTATCCATATGTTGAAGACAAAAAAAAAAAAAAAAAGCATAGGAAGGTTAATTGGCACAACATCACAGAGACACTAAGTGGCAGAGCTGGGATTTGAATCCCAGCTTCAATATGGCTCCATAGTCTTATGTTGTTGTTATTTATACTATACAATCTCTGTGTAATTTTTTATTGCTATGTAAATTATCAGAGTTTAGTGTCAGGAAAGCACCATGAGGACTGAGGTTGCCTCTCAAAGGCAACTATAGTTGAATGAAGGAGCTGAGCCTAAGATTACTAAATCTGAGCTTCAGAGCAAATGTGAGCTCTACAAGGGAAAAAGCACAGGGCATGTGGTTAAAATTAAATCTAAGCTCCAAGGGGCCTGATGGAGGAACAGGTTAGACCCTCAGAGGAATCCGGGATCTGGCCACAAGCATTGAGAAGCTGGCTAAATGGACTTGCAGATTCAGAAGTGGGAATCCAGTGGAATTCCACTCCTGTGATACTATGATTATGGTGTAAGTAGAAAAAGAACTGGTCATCAAGGTGTGACTGGATGGACAGCTATTAGTACCTTCCTAATCTCCCTTGCCTTGGGATTGCATGGAATCCAGGGTTTCTGGGCTGTTTAAATCTACAAGTGGCAGTTAAATGGATGTATGTGATGTGTGCCACATCCCTTCTTTTGGAGACCCATCTTCCTTCATTCTGTGTGGCTCGGGTGGGGCTGAACAGCCTCTTCATTCTACCCTCAGGTCCAGAGAGGAGCATGTGGCCAGGCCTGGGCAATCAGAGCTTTGTTTGCCTGAGCTATTGAAAACAATGTTGGTTAGAGTTGGTTCCATTCCCCTGGCCTCAGTGATTGATTCATGGAGGATCATGTGACATCATCAGGACCAATCAAAGCTATTGAAATTGCATTGTCTTTTCTTCTGTGACTGTGAGGTGTAAGCACAACATAAGCTGCAACTACATGTGGGCCATCTTCCCCAAAGTATCTTTTTGGAGAGGATGAGCCCAACATGCAAAGAAATGCAAAACTTAGCACACACCATACTATTTATTTAAGTTCCTGGATCCAGCCCTATGTCAAGGGTCTAGCTTTAGATCTGCACTGTTTAATATGATTGTCATTGGCACATGTGGCTATTGAGCACATAAAATATAGCTAGGCCAAGTTGAGATGGCTGGAAATGTAAAATGCATACCACATTTTGAAGATTTTGTACACAAATTTTCAAATGTCTCAATAATTTTAACATTCTGATTACATATTCAAAGTAGAATAATTTTGGATATACTGAATTTAAAAAATACATTCCTAGAATTAATTTTACCTTGACCTTTCAGCTTTCCAAAGTGTGTCTACTGGTAAGCACTTTTAAAATTATGTATGTGTCTCACACTATATTGGCTAGTGCTTCAGAGACAAAAGCCAATCGCCTTTTTCACTAATTCTAATTTGACTTGAGTTTTTGTCACTTGCAAATGACAGAGTTAGGACAGGCCCATATTGGGTCCCAGCTTGGGAAGTTAGGAAGACACAGGACTGGGAAGCAGAGTCTTGCCTAAGTCATCAGGTGGAGATCGCAGAACATTTGGCTCTCCATGTAAGTGGCTTTTGTGACCTCCCAAATCACATTTCTTTTCCTCATTTTTCTTCTGAGTTCTAGGCACAAATTTCCAGATACCGGCTAGATCTTTCTCTTTATCCATTCCATTACCACACAATCAATATGTGCATAAGCAAGCCTCCAGGTCCCTGTGCTCAACCGTACTGAAAGATTCAGTCATCCTTGACCTCACCACCCTCCCCTGCCTTTTGATTTCCAATCAAAAGACTTTTGCGCCAGGATGAACTTTAAGTTCCTCTAGTTGGGTATAATCTCATTTCACAGATATAAAAACTGATGAGTCAGAAAGCCAGTGGAATCATTCTCCATGCTCTTTGCCTGCCATGGCCCTTCCCCAGTGACAGAAGCAGGCAATTTCTTGATTTCTGCCTCTACCTTTCCCTGCCTCCTCTGACTTCTCTTATAGCTGCTTGGGTTAAATAATCTGCTTGATCACACTGCCCCCTTGTGGCACCAACAAATGTTGGTTAGTAGTGCTGAGCAGAGGAACCCAGGAAAAGTGGAGTCAAGGATTAGAGAAGCTATGTTAATTTTATCTCTGTTTGCTTATTTGTTGTTATGCAAGAGGAGGCATATATTTTGGACTCATTTACTTATCAAATTAGTATTAGAGAACAAGCCATATTCAATAAGTTAAAAATAACATACTTCAATGTTAAGGGTGAAAGAGAAGAAAGAAATAGAAAGGGAATCATTAGGAGTAAGAGATGAGGACAGACCTCAAGAGTGAGACAGAGAAAGAATAACAAAAGGATATTTTCAAAAGAAAGAGACAAGGAAAGATGCTGTGAGAAGCACAGAGACACACAGGAAAAGAGACCTTTAAATGAAAAAAGCAGTCACTGCAGAGTGAGTGTTCCGCAGAGGCCAGTGTTGTCTTCCCAAGAAAGATTTCTAGAGGGTCAAGAGAAGGGCTGGGGTCCTTTTTGGGTGGTGATAGAATAGATGGGCCAGCTGAGGGAAATCGTGAATTGGACTTAGGGAACTTACAGCTCAGACTCTGGACAAAGCTAGGCAGGCAGGGCAGGGTGGATGGTTTCAAATACAACTTGATGTTCCCTCTCATAGCTCCTGAGGCTTAGTGCCAAAGGGCTGTCTCTCAACTTCCTGTGGAAGGCACTGTAAGAGACTGAAGATGGAGGTTACCAATGGAAGGGTACACTAGAAGCCAGTGACAAAGCATGTCCCTCCTGTGTCAGACCATATTTGTCAGCTCCAGCTGCCATAACAATCTGCTATGGACTTGGTGGCTTAAACAACAGAAATTAATTTTCTCACAGTTCTGGAGGCTGGAAGTCCAATACCAAAGTGGCAGCAGGATTGGTTTCTGGGGAGGCCTCTCTTTCTGACTTGCATGTGGCTGCCTTCTCCTGTGCCGTCTCATGGCCTTCCTTCTGTATGCACATGGAAGGAGAGTGATCTCCAGGGTCTCTTCCTCCTCTTATAGGGACACGAGTCCCATCCGATTAGGGGCTCACCCTTAAAACTTCATTTAACCTTAATTACCTCCTTAAAGGGCCTGTCTCCAAATACAGTCACATTTCGGTTAGGGCTTCAACATATGAATTGAGGCAGGGGATGCACAATTTATTCCATACCAGGACCATGTTAGAACATTGGAACCTTGGTGATAAGAAAGCCTCTCCCACCTCCACAGTGTGGCAGGCACGGGAAAGAGCAGCAAAACACCAAGGGATGGAGGGATATGACAAGGAGGTAGCAAGGGGCTGGAGCAGGTGGCTGGGGGGACGAGGTCTGCTCCTTCGGAGGTTGTCAGGTCTTCTCATCATCTGCCATGCAATAGTGATAGGAAGAACAGGGTAACTTCAGTCCTGGGGGGATCAGAGGTGGAATTTTCTCCATTACCATAAAGATGAACTTGTAGTGACTCTCCAGCACAGTGACCCACTCATAGAGCTCTATCATGGAAAGGGAGGAGCTCTGGCAGAGTGGGGCTCTTAGCATTTTCACTGGCAGAGGCTTGGTTTTGTTTTTAAAATTATTCATACCTTTCTCAGGCTTGTGAGAGGTAATCCTCTGCACCACTATCCTTTTGTCTCCCAGTCCGCTTCAATCCTCACCTGTCTATCAGCCCCCATCACTTGCTGTTTGTTTACCTTACAAGTGATGGGGGCCGATAGACAAGTGAGGATTGGCCAAGGGGAGTAGGAGAGAGAGAAAGAGTCAACCATGCCCCCGACCACAGCCATGCCCCCCCCAGCACACACAGATGAGCCCCACATAGATAGGCTAATGAGCCTGAGGTACTTTCCGTAGCAGAGAGTCTTCATTACCTGACCTTCTGGTTTAGCGTTGTTAAAGTCCCTAATGCTAGGTGGTGTTTTCCCTGTCATGGTGTGGGGGGAACTGTGGCTCTTGTTCCTTGCCCCTGAGATATAGACAGCATTGAACCGAATACTGGGATCTACTTTTGGGACTGGGAGTTCCTCTGCATTCACTCGTCATGCAGCAAAGTTGGCATAAAACCAGCTGGAGGACCCTCTCATGGTGAGAAGTGGTTAGTTCCAAATGCACCCAAAAACCAGCCTCTCCTCAAACCTGCGAGGAACGTAATGGAGCAGAATTATAATTAGTGTGATTACATATCAGATACAGTTGGTAGAAGAAGAGAAGCAGATGGTGACTGGCAGCTCACACTCAAAAGAGGCTGGGCCTTTTTGCAATTGGAAGAGGAGAGGCAACAAAGGGGCTGAGAACTAGTGAAAATAATCAAGTTGCCATTTAGGTTCAAACACCTTGAAGGTTATGCCTAATCCATTTAGAAAGCAGGCACATCCAGATGAATTTCACAGAGTTTGGGGTCCCCTGGCCGGTAGCCACCTTTAGTGGATATACATAGCTACTTTATCAGAGGCAATGATAGGAGAAGACGCAGCAGGAAATTTTCAGAAGTGCAGCATATCCACAACAAAGTAACTCGTGGACACCCCTAAGGCTTGTCTCTTCCCTCCCTCACATGCAGATGCATGAGCTAGAATGTAAGCAAAACCCGTTCAGTAGCAGAATGACCAGAGTAATCCACTCTACTCTGGAGGGTTTGCATCCAAGTAGCTAAGAGCCACTGCACAGCTGACCAGCAGGTGGAAGAAACAGGAGTTTAGAGATTTCCATGAGAGAAAAGTAAGGGAATCAGTACTGGGCATTTCAGAGGAGCTGTCCTGCCCAAATGTGAAAAGTAGAAATGGCCTTTCTGCCTTAGTGGTCAGCGAGCTCAGAGAAGCAGCTGGGCTCCTCTTTCCTGGGCTGTCTGCTTCCCAGAGTTCTCGCCTTCTGAAAGTCCCATTTGCTGTTGCTGTTGTCTGAGATAGAGTTGAAAGCCCAACACTTTGGGGAGAAGGTTATTTCTTTGCAAGGTTTATGACAATTAGTTTTAGTGGTTGTTAAGTTGGCTATCACAGTGTTCAGAGTTTCAAGGTTAACATGCCTTTAGGTCACACTCCACATGCCACAACTGCTTATGAGACTGGCAACCAGTCCTGGGTCTCTGAAATTGTGGGTGGTGCCTCTGAAGACACTTGTCTCCTGAGATTCGGCCAGCCAGATGGTTCTGCCTTTACCCTACAATCGCAGCAACCCCAGAGACTCAACTGACTTTTTGTTGCTTACTTATATTGCAGGAGAAGCAATTCATCAGGACCTGCACACCGAACTAAACTGTCACAGAATTTTACAAAGTTCAAATCCTTTTTTACTTTAGGGTAGGAGTTGGCATACCTTTTTTGTAAAGGATCAGGTGAAAAATAGTTTAGGCTTTGTGGACCAGTTTCTGTTGCAACTACTCATTTCTAACATTGTAGCATAAAAGTACCCATAAACAATATGTAAATGATTGAACATAGCTATGTCCCAATAAAACTCTATTTACAAAAACAGGGAACTGGCTGGATTCAGCACACAGGCTATAGTTTGCTAACCCCTGATGTGTAACATTAAAAAAGAAATAATGCTCTTCTTTACCTGATACCATCACCAGAACAGCCTATATTCCATAATTGCCAAGAGAGATGTGAGAAACTTGAAAATTAAATGTATTTTGGCTGGGCACAGTGGCTCACACCTGTATGCCCAGCACTTTGGGTGGCTGAAGTGGGAGGATGGCTTGAGCCCAGGAGTTCAGGATCAGCCTGGGCAACATGGTGAAACCTCATCTCTATAAATTATACAAAAATTGGCTGGGTGTGGTGGCTCACGCATGTAATCTCAGCACTTTGGAAGGCCAAGGCAGGAGGATCACCTGAGGTCAGGAGTTCGAGACCAGCCTGGCCAACATGGTGAAACCCCGTCTCTGCTAAAATAACAACAACAAAAAACTAGCCAGGCATGGTGGTGGGTGCCTGTAATCACAGCTACTTGGGTGGCTGAGGCAGGAGAATTGCTTGAACCTGGGAGGTGGAGGTTGCAGTGAGCTGAGATTGTGCCAGTGCACTGTAGCCTGGGTGACAGAGCGCAACTCTGTCTCAAAAAAACCAAAAACCAAAACACAAAAAGTAAATATACAAAAATTAGCTAGGTATGGTAGTACACATCTGTAGTCTCAGCTACTCAGAAGGCTGAGGTGGGAGGATTGCTTGAGCCCAGGATGTGGAGGTTGCAGTGAGCTATGATTGCACCCCTATCCTCCCACCTGGGCCAAAGAGTGTGACCCTGTCTCAATTACTTTTTTTTTTAAATTTTGTGGCTCAATAGGTTTTGGCCCTTGATAAGAAGTGGTGTGTATTCCTGATCAATTAGCACTTGAAAGCCCTTTTGGGAAAGAGTTACTGAACAGCGCTCTAAGTGTGCTCCCTGTTGTTCTTTATCAATAGAAAAGTCAAACACCAAGATTACATGCCTCTACCTCGTAAATATGGGCACGATGGAACAATCCAGTTTCAACTGTACCCTATTTATAAAATGAGTCTCAAAAAGGTTCGCAGGTAAAAATAGAAGTAAGGATATCATGAAGTATGTCTTTGTCATTTCTCTGTCTAGATATCTGTCCAGGCTGAGTGTGTGGTGTTGAAGTCTCCAGCTATTACTGAATTAGGGCCTGTCTCTATTTTTAGCTCTAATATTTGCTTTATATATCTGGGTGCTCCAGTGTTGGGTGCATGTATATTTATAATTGTTATATCCTTTTGTTGAATTTACTGCTTTATCATTATATAGTGACCTTCTTTGTCTCTTTTTAAAGTTTTGTCTTGAAATATATCTTGTCTGATATAAGTATAGCTATTCCAGCTCTTTTTTTGTTTCTATTTGCATGGAATATCTTTTTCCATCCCTTTATTTTCAGTCTGTGTGTGTTTTTATAGATGAAGCGTATTTCTTATAGGCAACAGATCAATGGGTCTTGCTTTTTAATCCATTCAACCACTCTGTCTTTTGATTGGAGAGTGTACTCCACTTACATTCACTGTTACTACTAATAAGTGAGGACTTAACTCCTGCCATTTTGTTATTTTCTGGTTGTTTTGTGGTCTTCTTTCTTTCCTTCCTTCCTTCCTGTCTTCCTTTTAGTGTAGGTGGTTTTTCTCTGGTAGTATGCTTTAATTTCTTGCTTTTTATTTTTTTGTGTATCTGTTGTTTTAAATTTTATGGTTACCATGAAGCTTACAAATAATACAGAGTAGAATAATGGTTACCAGAGGCTGGGAAAGGTAGTGAGTGTGGTAGGTGGAGTGGAAATAGTTAACGGGTACAAAAATATAGTTAGAATGAATAAGATCTACTATTTGATAGCATAACAGGTGACTGTAGTCAATAATAATTTATTGTACATTTAAAATAACGAAAAGAGTATAATTGGGTTGTTTGTAATAGAAAGGATAAATGCTTGAGGTGATGGATACCCCATTTACCCTAATGTGATTATTATGCATTGTATACCTGTATCAAAATTTCTCATGTACCCCATAAATATATACACCAACTATATAGCTACAAAAATTGAAAATAAATAAATAAATAATAAAAAAAGATCCTCAGTTAGACCATTAATACAATGGTAGCTTAAAAAAAAATAGAACCCGAACAAACAAAAAACCTGCTTTCAGTATCCTGCAAGATCCTGAAATCCTCATCTGTGGACTTCACTTCAAATATGTCTTTCTCCCTACAGAATCTCTCTAAACTATTTCAGCTACCACCTTTTACCTTGGAGATTTGGCAGCTTGTTACATTTGCTTCTGAGCTTGTTGTTATGTTGACCCTCAACACTTGAGGGATTCTTTCCTGGCCTGACTTCCCTCTAATCTCAGACCTACACTCTAAAACTTGTGCTACAGCTGTGCCCTTGTCTAGTCCTTATGTTTGGGAATACCATGAGCTGAGGCAGGAATCAGTTATTCATAGCATAGAATGAGAGACGTAAGGACACCAGTCTCTAGAGTCACTGTAGTATTCTGTAGTTCATGTGAGCATGGCCTGAGAATTCAAGCTAGCAGCTCTAGGGGTTGTTGTTGCTGACAGCACACCCTTTGTGGCAAACCACATAGGAATTAATAGTGACTTCCACTCTGAAGCTTCTACCCTTTGCAGCAACAAGGCTGTTACTTCCCTGGAATTATAGGTTTGTACACTTAATCTGCTTAATTCCCATAGAGAACCAATGTGGTTTCTCACTGCCGTGCTGAGATCCTCTTTCCAACGCCTTTACAAAGATAGCATCCCCATTCCCAGACTTCTTTTCTCCTCGACCAGGCAGCCTGGTGAAAATGTGCAACAGTTCTAGAAAAGGGGCGTAGAAACACAGATTCCTTTTATTTATTCTAGACCGAAACTGGGGGCTCATAGTGACATCCAGTCACAATTTTATTTTGTCTTTTTTGGCTTACCAAAGGCTTAGCTTCTCTCGATTTATTTATAGAAATCCACATATCGAAGGAGAGAATAAGGGTAATTTTTATGTGATACAGGTCTTTGCAAGAATTTGCAGATGGTACATACTTTTGTCTCTCATGGAAGATATGCAGTTTTTCTTTTGGAAAGGGTACAGAAAGACCTGGCTACACCTTTCTAACAGATAACGATTACTTTCTATTTGTTCAATTTAGTCCCATCAGAACTCCTTATATGACAGTGCCAGGAGATCTAGGCCCCATTTAGGATATTTTTTGGAGAATGTCTTATACGGCATTTAACATAAGTGTGTTGTGACCTAATCCAGAGCTCTTTTACAGGAAATTCTCAGGCAATTAATTTCATTGTCCATGACTATAGTTGGTTCATTTTCTCCCTTTCAGCACTCTAAGAATTATGGCGATTTCTTATCAAAGAAATAGTTAATTTGAAATTTTACTTGGAAACAGCACACAACGAACATAAATTTCATATAGAGGCCCAAATGTCTTGTGTGGCCAACTGTGATGTTTTTTACCTTGTCCATGTAGCTGACGCCTTGGCAAATATTTCCTGGGCCTCCGTGAGGGGCATCATCTAAGTCATCTGGAATCTATTCTTTTCTCCAACTCTACTGCCAAAAGCACATCTTTAGATCTTTAGTTGTTGTTTGGGATTCTGGGTAATATAGAAACCCACTGCTTACATCACATGGCTTTCTATTTAGGACTTAAAAGAGAAAGGAACTGCAGTTCATTTTCTCTGTGTTACACTATTTTTGATTCTCTTTGTTTTTCACCAGCTATTTTCTTCCACTCATGTGCACAGTATTTCTTTTATGAACCAGCTGCCCTGCTCATTTTAAATTGAGATTGTTTTACCCAATTATTCACCTTCTGCCTCTCTTTACAATGCTTCCTACATTGTAGCCACATTGCATTATTAAACATTTTCATGATAAGCAATTCAGAGCAGTATTCAAAATTAAAAACATTCATCCTGAGCCAAATAGGAGCTCTAGTTTATTGGAACGTGCTTTAACAATAATCTGATGTTTCTCAGAAGGTTATCAAATTCCAGTCTGAGTTTCTGGATGGTAGATCTCTTTTTAGGATCCCAGCACCTAGTTAACCTCTTCTAATTTGCCATTGGTTCTTAGCAATTTGGTTCATGCTAAAGCTTCTTTGATTTCAACAGCTGATTTTTTATTAGAAAGTTTTCCCTAACTTCTGTCTCTCTCCACACCTCTTTGAGAAATAGGAGCAAGTTTGCTTCCTACCTCATCCATTAATTCTAGGTGAACTACATTGTACTATTGTATTAATTAAAGTGGGCATTTATAATAATGCACCAAACTTAGCATTGTGTAAGTGAACAGGAAATTCTCACTATTGTTGGAAAAATTTAAAAAATATTACCCTTTGAGACACTCTCTAGGATAATCTCAAATCCTTCATTATGTGCTTCTTAAGTAAATGGCATTGCCTTAAAAGAGCTGTATTTCTTGTCTGTCCAAGTCTACCTTTTAAGTGACAAAATTGCAACAATGGTAAATGCATTGCTTCCCGTGTCCTCCAAGACTTCACAGCTCATATCTCAATACTTCAGTCTCTCAAGTGCAAAATGAGGATAATAGTTTACAGCATTTAAGATGTGAAGCACTTAGAACAGTCACTGAAACATTATTCAATGCACACTAGCCACTATCACTATTATTTGAAATGTCTCATTGTTATAAATACATATTTTAAAATGTGTGCAAAGTCAACATTGTATTTAAGACTATTGCATTCCCCCAGTGCCACAGTACCACTAATTGAATTTGTGATTTAGGTCTCTCCAGGCAGAATTCAAGGCTGTGGCTCGGCTTTAATACCATCTAGATATTGGATTCCTGACCTGACTTGTTGAGTCTTACCTATCCTGTATTCTTTTTCAATTGTCTCTGCCTACCAATTGAGATAGCCTCCGATTTTACCTGTGCTCCTCCTCCTCTTTCTCTCTCAGCCACTGGTGAGTATTTACATGAGCTAAGATTTAGGAGTGCTGTAGATCAGGAAGCTTTGTTGGCATTAGTGGCTGATTCAGTTTCCCCAGTGCCTGTCCCCTGTGGCTGTGCTGAGTGCTCTCCTGGACCCTCCTCTCTGGTCACATCCTGTTCTAAGTAATGGTCCATTCAGATGTGATCTTAGTCTCATCGTTTTAGTCCATTTGTGCTGCTAATAACAAAATACGACAGACTGGGTAATTTATAAACAATAGAAATTTATTTCTTACAGTTCTGGAGGCTGGGCAGTTCAAGATAAAGGCACCAGCATTCAGTGTCTGGTGAGGGCCTTCTTGCTGTGTCCTCACATATTTGCAGGGCCAAAAAGGCAAAAAGACCCTAAGCCACTTCCCTCCAGATCTTCTATAAGGCACTAATCTGTTTATGAGAGGAGAGCCGGAATGACTAATCATCTTCCTAAAGTCCCCACCTCATAACAACACCACCATGGGGATTAAGTTTCAACATATGAATTCTGAAAAACATTCAGACAATAGCACTTAACATTTAAAAGTTGCTTAATTTCAAGGCCAAAAATTAATCTTATGTTTCAGAATATTATTCAAAAATCCCTCACAAGCAGTTTAACCTCAATGTGATATGGAAGACCAGTGGTCATTACAAAGTATGTTGTTAGAAGTCTTTACTATTTCCCAGATGACTGGAAATATGGCCTTACACTAGAGTGACCCTATTACCAGCTCACTCAGGTTAGTCTCAGTTTATATTTGTAGCCTAGGAATTATTAATAGTGTCCCTCAATTACTCTCAGAGTGTCTTAATTTGGGCAATAAGTTTATAAGGTCACCACAGCTTGAAATGATGTCTAGTAGTCATCCTCCAAATTATTTTATGTCAGGAGTTCACAATCTAACATCAGTTTTCCGTAGATCTTCACATTCACATTACAGCTTTGTTGACTCTTTCAACATCTCTATTTTAATAGCTCTGAGACAAAACTTCAGGAAAGTTATGTTGCTTATCTTAGAAACCTAACTTTCATGGTGAAAGGATATGATGAAAATAGGAATCTCCACCACAGAAGAATAGAAAAATCTCTTCCTAGGAGATATCTTTTCCTGAAGCTTTTTTTGATTGCCCAAGACAGGAAAATAAATCTTCTGTGATTATATAAGATAATGTATACTTATCATAGGATATACATATCATATTCAAATTAATTTTGTCCTGTGACTATGCTCCTTGAAGATGGGAACCATTTTGTAATTATTTGCTTCTTGAAGGTGGTAACTATTTCATAATTATTTGTGTTTTTCCAGGCCTCACACATGGCACATAGTAGATGCTGAAAAAAGTTTGTGAATCTGAATATTGGAACTCAATTGAACTCAAGACTATTTTTATCAACACTTCTAGTGATCAAAGTTGATTAGTATATACTAGAAGTTGCTGATTATAAAACAAATTAATCTGATGTGTTATTGGTCATGCAGGCCACCCACCCAGTCTATCCTTCTATCTACTATGTGTGAAACATTCTCTTCCTTCCACTTTATGTGGAGATAGGTGAAACATTTCCTCTTTTCATTCTCTCAGTAAGTCTGATGACTCCCTATGTTCCTGATCATCTGATCCCAAGGAAACACGCTATTAGTCAATTCTCACACTGTTTTAAAGAAATACCTGAGACTGGGTAATTTATGAAGAAAGGAGGTTTAATTGACTCACAGTTCCACAGGCTGTATAGAAAGCATGACTGGGAGGTTTCAGGAAACTTACAATCATGGTGGAAGATGAAGGGGAAGCAAGGCACATCTTCCTATGGCAGAGCAGGAGAGAAAGGGGGGAAGTGTCATACTTTTAAACCATCAGATCTCATGAGAACTCACCCACTATCATGAGAACAACAAGGAGGAAATCCAGCCCCATGATCCAATCACCTCCCAGCAGGCCCCTCCCCCAACACTGGGGATTCTAATTTGACATGAGATTTGGGTGGGAACACAGAGCTAACCCATATCGTTCTGCCCTTGATCCCCACCCCCAAATCTCATGTCCTTCTCACATTTCAAAACCAATTATGCTTCCCAATAGTCCCACAAAGTCTTAACTCATTCCAGCATTAACCCAAAATTCAGGTCCAAAGTCTCACCTGAGATAAGCCAAGTCCCTTATGCCTATGAGCCTGAAAATCAAAAACAATTTAGTTGCTTCCAGGATACAATGGAAGTACAGGGATTTGGTAAATGCTCTCATTCCAAATGGGAGAAATTGGCCAAAACAAAGGGGCTACAGGCCCCATGCAAGTCCAAAACACAGAAGGACAGTCATTAAACCTTAAAGCTCCGAAATAATCTCCTTTGACTTCATGTCTTATATCCAGGGCACACTAATGCAAGGGGTGGGCTCCCAAGGACTTGGGCAGCTCTACCTCCGTGGCTCTGAAAGGTATAGCCCCCTTGGTTGCTTTCATTAGCTGGCATTGAGTGCCTGTGGCTTCAACGCTGGATCTACTATTCTGGGGTCTATAGGATGGTGGCTCTCTTCTCACAGCTCCACTAGGCAGTGCCCCAGTGGGGTCTCTGTGTGGGGTCTCCAACCTCACATTTCTTCTCTGCACTGTCCTAGTAGAGGTTCTCCATGAGGGCTCTGCCTCTGCAGCAGACTTCTGCCTGGACGTCCAGGCATTTCCATACATCCTCTGAAATCTAGGCGATGGCTTCCAAGCCTCAACTCTTGTCTTTTGTGCACCCACAGGCCCAACACCTTTTGGAGGCCACCGAGGCTTGGGGTTTGCACCCTCTGAAGTAATGGCTCTAGCTGTACCTCAGCTCCTTTTAGTCGTGGCTGGAGCTGGAGTGGCTGGGACTCAGAGCACCATGTCCTGAAGCTCACAGAGCAGTGGGGCCCTGGGCCTGGCCTGGAAAGCCATTTTTCCCTCCTAGGCCTCCAGGTCTGTGATGGGAGGGGCTATCACAAAGGTCTCTGAAATGACCTGGAGGCATTTTTCCCATTGTCTTCGCTATTAACATTTGGCTTCTCTTTATTTATGCAACTTTCTGCAGCCTTAAATTTCTCTCCAGAAAATGGATTTTTCTTTCCTACCACATAGTCAGGCTGCACATTTTTTCAACTTTTATGCTCTGCTTCCCTTTTAAATATAAGTTTCACTTCCAGACCATCTCTTTGTGAATGCATATGAATGTATGTTGTTAGGAGCAGCCAGGCCACATCTTGAACACTTTGCTGCTTAGAAATTGCTTCTGCCACATACCCTAAGTCATCTCTCTCAACTCCAAAGTTCCATGGATTCCTAGAGCAGGGCAAAATGCCCCAGTCTCTTTGCTAAAGCATAGCAAGAGTGACCTTTACTCCAGTTCCCAATAAGTTCTTTATCTCCATCTGAGACCACTCAGCCTGGACTTCACTGTCCACATGACTATCATCATTTGGTCACAACGATTCAACAAGTTTCTAGGAAGTTCCAAACTTTCCCTCATCTTCCTGTCTACTTCTGAGCCCTCCAAACTGTTCCAACCTCTGCCTGTTACCCAGTTCCAAAGTTACTTCCATATTTTCAGGTATCTTCATAGCAATGCCCCACTTCTCTGGTACCAGTTCTCTGTATTAGTCTGTTCTCACACTGCTATAAAGAACTACCTGAGATTCCATAATTTATGAAGAAAAGAGGTTTAATTGAGTCACAGTTCCATAGGCTGTATAGGAAGCATGGCTGGGCAGCCTCAGGAAACTTACAATCATAGTGGAAAGCAAAGGGGAAACAAATACATTTTATTATGGCAGAGCAGGAGAGAGAGAGAGCAAAGGGGGAGGTGCTACTCACTTTTAAACAACCAGATCTCATGAGAACTCACTCACTATCATGAGAACAGCAAGGGGAAGATCCACCCCCATGATCCAGTCACCTCCCACCAGTTCCCTCTTCCAACACTGGGGATTCCAATTTAGCATGAGATTTGGGTGGGAACATAGAGTCAACCCACATTAAACACCTACCTTGGCCAGAAATGTTTAGTAATGTCCAGTTATGGACTCTAACCAATTCTAGAGAGACATCCCCCTAAAACCCAAAAGCAGTCAATGACTTGGATAAGGAAGGTGATACTAGGTTACTCCAGCCAGAGTTACACAAGTCAGAGATAATAGCTGGTCTTGACAAAAGAGAATGATCAAATAAAGAAAAACTAATTAGAACTTGTTCTCAGAATAATTCTCATTCCCTGTCTGTAATTCTGTTAAAATATTTGAAAGTGGTTTCTCACATATGGTGTTTAGACTCTGTGGATTTGAATGACCCAAGCTATTCTTATCTTGCTTTACAATGAATAATTGAGATTTAGGCATGTAGTTGGATAAAAAAATTGTTTCAAAATCCAAAGTGACTATAGCAGTTTCCACCTTTTAAGTGGGGTAGAGATGACATACTTCATATCAGAGAAAAATTATATGTCTGTACAACTTCCTTCTACTCATAGAGGCCAGAAGGAAAGAAAGACAGAACAGGATGAAACTTCAAAGTCACTGTAAGTTTTTCTGGGGTACCAAAGGTTGAGAGCAAGAATAGATAACTCTTTTATTGGAGGACATAAATGAATCTTTATATATGCAAATGTGAGCATAGAGCCTGGTTGTGGGTGGAGAACTAAATTAGTCTGAAAACTAAAATGAGAGGAATTGAGATGTGAGATTTGAGAAAAAGAGATAGTCAAGCAACAGTCAAGATGGTCCAAAGAGACTATCATGGTGGATCATGCCTGTAATCTCAGCACTTTGGGAGGCCGAGGCTGGCAGATCACTTGAGGTCAGGAGTTTGAGACCAGCCTGGCCAACATGGTGAAACCCTGTCTCTACCAAAAAATACAAAAATTAGCTGGGTGTGGTGGTTGGTGCACACCTGTAGTCCCAGCTACTTGGGAGGCTGAGGTGGAGAATTGCTTGAACCCAGGAGGTAGAGGTTACAGTGAGCCGAGATTGCGCCACTGCACTCCAGCCTAGGCAACAGACTGAGACCCTGTCTCAAAAAAAAAAAAAAAAAAAAGATGGCTCAAGGACTTCTAAATTTAGGGGCAGCTAATATGCAATTATAAAGTATAGGCATTGCTTCTGTATAAACCCCTCCACTGCACCAAATCTGTAATAAAACCTGTTATTCCTACCATGCTTTTTCTGGGAAACCAAGAAGTAACTGTGTTCCATACCTAGATTGTCTGCATTGATTATAGTAGAGCTTCTTAAACTTTAATATGCATGAAAATCTCTGGGGATCTTGTTAAACTTGCAGATTTTGATCTAGTAGGTCTGGGGTGGGGAAGTCTGCATTACTAACAAGACCCAGGTATTACCAATACACCAATCTCAAGACCATACTTCAACTGTCAAGGAGAGAGGCAAGAATTACAGGCATGAGAAATGCAGGAGAAACATCATGTTCAGCAGATTGAGAAACTTAGAATGCAAAAATTTTTGAGGGCATAAACCCTAGAGATTCTCAGATATCTTGCAATAAAGTATTACACTACCCAGAGAGCTCGTGAAAGAAGGGTGGAGCCACTTTTACTAAATCTCAAATGATAGGGAAAGGGAAGCCAATACCCGAGTTATAAGCACCTGAATTACATTTTGTGTTTTAGGATTGAAATTTTCTTGACTTGCTTTTCATGGTTATTTTCCCTTTTGTCGCTTTTTTGCCAGTCCTCTGCTGTTTCTTCTTTTCTTTTCTCATTCTGATCTGCATTTTGCTCACATCCAATGCACAGTTTCAACTGGAATCTGAAGAAGAAAAGTCAAACTTGCACTGAAAGTGTCACCCCTAATTAATATCCTAGAAGGCCACCCTTTCATTAGCATTCAAACCTTGTTTCAGCCCAGATCATTAATGGACTCTTTTCTCTGAGGATGATAATTATGTGTGATGCTGTTGTTTCCTGCCAGTCTAGGGATCTGAAGAGCTTTATCACTGTGGCAGGCTCATTGGAGAGTTAAATGGCATGGCTGAAAGCTGTTCCACCATGCAAACATCTGACACTGTAAGCAAAGTTTCAGCCATTACCAAAGCTGATGTTGCTGTATAACCTCATGTGAGGTTCATGTAATTTCTGAAAGCATGAGACCGCTAGATCTGCCATTTGCTTGAGTAGTATCTTATGAACACTATCTGTTGTGCTCAGCTTCTCTGTTGAATCACCCATGGGTATAAGTGCAACAAAAATGAGAGTTCTTCCTCTAAAAGCAATATTAATCTAGATGCTCTGCATTCTGACTTAGTTAATATGACCTCTGAAATTGTAAATCACATGATGCTATAGTCTGAATGTTTGTGTCTTCCCCCAAAATTTATATGTTAAAATTCAAATCCCCAAGATGATCGTAACAGGAGGTGGGGCCTTTGGGAGGTGATTAGATTATGAAGGCAGAACTCTCATGATTGGGATTATTGCCCTTATAAAATGACCCCAGTGACATCAGCATGATGGCTGACTAGAAGCCCCTTGAGCTCATCCCTCTCACAAAGCCAGAACAATGAATAAACAACTATATTTTAATAAAAATAACAGGGAGAGTGCTGGAATACTCTCAGAAGAGTTAAAAAAAAAAAACCCTAATGAGCATAGAAAGTTGAGATGGTCACATAGAAAACAGTAGGGAATGCTGGCCCTCCACCACCCCATTTCCCAAACAGGATCAGTTGGGAATGAGAAGGAACTTCTCCCTATGGTGATGAAGTAAGCAAGATAATCCCAGCAACCCCCATCAACATCTTGGACACCTGCAGACCTCACCACTGGGATCTCCTGCAGCTTTAGCTATTCAAGGTCTTTTGTGATTCCATATAAATTTTAAGAAAGCAATCTCATTTACAATAACTATGAAAAATAATTAAATATCTAGAAATAAATGTAGCAAAGGAGGTAAGTGGTTTCTACAAGGAAAACTATAAAACACTAGTGAAAGACATTGAAGAGGACACAAAACAAAAAATGGAAAGATATATTCATAGATTGGAAAAATATTGTGAAAATGACCATACTACCAAAAGGGATCTACAGATTCAATGGAATCCCTATCAAAATACCACTGACAGTCTTCACAGAAATATAGAAAAAACAATCTTAATATTTATATGGAACCACAAAAAACCTTGAATAGCCAAAGGAATTCTAAGAAAGAGAATAAAGCTGGAGGCCTCATACTGTCAGACTTCAAAATATACTACAAAACTATAGTAAGCTAAACAGCATAGTACTGAAATAATAATAGGCCCATAGACCAGTTGAACAGAATACAGAAGCCAGAAGTAAATGCATTTATTTACAGCTAACTGATTTTTGATAAAGTTGCCAAGAACATACATTGGAGAAGAAACAGTATCTTCAATAAATGGTGCTGGTAAAACTGGACATTCATATGCATAAAAATGGAACTAGACCCATATCTCTCAGCATACACAAAAATTAACCAAAATGAATTAAAGACTTAATTTTGAGACCTGAAATGATGAAACTACTAGAAGAAAACATAGGAGAGAGATTTGTCAGGAGCAAGACAGTAGAATAGAAGGATCTGCCAATCATCATTCCCTCAAGAACACCAATGTAACAACTATCTACACAGAAAAAAACACCTTCATAAGAACAGAAAATCAGATGAGCCCTCATGGTACCTGGTTTTAACTCTGTATCACTGAAAGAGGCACTGAAGAGATAGAAAAAACAGTCCTGGAGTGCATCACCACCCCTTTCCCATCCCTGGCAATGGCAGGTGGTGCCCAGGGTAGCTCTGGAGGAAAAGGGAGGGAGAGCACAGCAATAGTGAGACATTGAATTCAGTGCTGCCCTGTTAGAGCAGAAAGGACAACTGGACCAAACTCAGCTGAAGCACATGCAGGGAGGGAGCATTGAAACCAGACCTAGCCAGAGGGGAATCACCAATCCCAGCAGTCTGAACTTGAGTGCCCACAAACATTGCTACCAAGGGCCAAAGTGCTCTCAGTCTGTAAACTTGAAAGGCAGTCTAGGCTGTAAGGGCTGCAACTATTAGATGAGTCCTAGGGCTGAACCTGGCACAGAGACAGTGGACTGGAGTGGCATGTGACCTACTGAGACACCAGCCGGGCAACTATGGGAGTGCTGGCATCACTCCTCCCCTTACCCTAGGCTGCACTTCCACTTGAGGAGAGGAGAGGAGAGGAAAGAGTGGGGAGGACTTTGTGTTAAATCTTGGATACCAGCTCAGCCACAGCAGAATAGGCCACCAGTCAGAGCCATGAGGTCCCCATTCCAGGCCCTAGCTCCCAGATGACATTTCTAGACACACCTTGGGCCAGAAGGGAACCCACTGTCTTGAAAGGAAGGGCCAAGTCCTGTCAGCATTCATCATCTGCTAACTGAGGAGCCCTTGGGCCCTGAAAAACCAGCAATGATACCCCGGTATTGGGAAATTCAGCCAGATATCGGGCAAAATTCACCCCCGATATTTCATGAGGTATCAGGGGAAATTCAGCCAGATATTGGGTGAAATTCACCCCTGATATTTCATGTAGGTTCTTTTCTATTTCCCTAAGTGTCGACCGGTCTGAGAAATAAAGGGACAGAGTACAAAAGAGAGAAATTTTAAAGCTGGGTGTCCAGGGGAGACATCACATGTCAGCAGGTTCCATGATGCCCCCTGAGCTGTAAAACCAGCAAGTTTTTATTAGTGATTTTCAAAAGGGGAGGGAGTGTACGAATAGGGTGTGGGTCACAGAGATCACATGCTTCACAAGGTAATAGAATATCACAAGGCAAATGGAGGCAGGGCGAGATCACAGGACCACAGGACCGGGGCGAAATTAAAATTGCTAATGAAGTTTCGGCACGCATTGTCATTGATAACAATCTTATCAGGAGACAGGGTTTGAGAGCAGACAACCAGTCTGACCAAAATTTATTAGGTGGGAATTTCCTCTTCCTAATAAGCCTGGGAGCGCTACGGGAGACTGGGGCTTATTTCATCCCTATAGCTGCGACCGTAAAAGATGGCCGCCCCTGAAGCAGCCATTTCAGAAGCCTACCCTCAGGGACGCATTCTCTTTCTCAGGGATGTTCCTTGCTGAGAAAAAGAATTCAGTGATATTTCTCCCTTTTGTTTTTGAAAGAAGAGAAATATGGCTCTGTTCCGCCCGGCTCAACGGCAGTCAGAGTTTAAGGTTATCTCTCTTGTTCCCTGAACATTGCTGTTATCCTGTTCTTTTTTCAAGGTGCCCAGATTTCATATCGTTCAAACACACATGCTCTACAAACAATTTATGCAGTTAACACAGTCATCACAGGGTCCCAAGGTGACATACATCCTCCTCAGCTTACGAAGATGACGGGATTAAGAGATTAAAGACAGGCATAGGAAATCATGAGGGTATTGACTGGTGAAGTGGTAAGTGTCCATGAAATCTTCACAATTTATGTTCAGAGATTGCAGTAAAGACAGGCATAAGAAATTATTAAAGTATTAATTTGGGGAGCTAATAAATGTCCATGAAATCTTCACAATTTATGTTCTTCTGCCATGGCTTCAGACAGTCCCTCTGTTCAGGGTCCCTGACTTCCCGCAACACCCCGGCACTACTTCAAGGGCCTTGGGTGAGCCTCTGAGACTTGCTGGCTTCAGGTGAGACTCAGCATATTACCAGCTGTGGTGCTACCAGGTCAAACTCCTGCTTGAGAAAAGCAGAGAGAAAAGTAAAGTGGATTTTTTCTTGCACCTTAGGTACTGGCACAGATACAGAGGGGTAGAGCACCAAGTGAGCTCTTGGGGCCTCCAAGTCAAGAACTTGACTTTTGGACAGCTTCTCTGGACCTGCCCTGGGAAAGAAGGGAGCCCACTGCCCTGAGGGGTGAGTCCCAGGCCAGGCAGCATTCACTACAAGCTGACTTAACAGCACCGGGGCCTTAAGGAAACATCAGCAGTACTCCTTGTGGCCTGGGGTGGCAGCAGTAGTCTGGCAGTACTCCTCATGACCTGGGGTGAAGCTCCTCTGCCTTTGGAAAGGGGAGAGAAGAGTGGGAAGGACTGTGTCTTCTGGGTTTGAGTGCCAGCTCAGCCACAATACAATAGAACACCAGGTAGACTTCTAAGGTTTTTGATCCTAGTCACTGATTGCCAGGTACCTCTGGACCCACCCAGGGCCTGACAAAACTTGCTACCCTGAAAGGAAGGATACAGGCCTGGCTAGCCTCACCACCTGCTGAATATAGAGCCCCAGGGCCTTGAGCAAACAGGCAGTAGCCAGGGAGTGGTTGTAGCAGGCCTTGGGTGAGACCCAGTGCTGTGCTAGCTACAGGTTTGACCCAGCACAGTCATAGTGGTGATGGCCACAGGGGTGCTTATGTCACTCCACCCCCAACTTTAGTTGGCTCAGAACAGAGACAGAGATTCTGTTTGTTTGGGAGAGCATAAGGGAAGAGAACAAGAGTCTCTGTCTGGTAATTCAGAGAATTCTCATAGATCTTATCCAGGACAACCAAGGATGTACCTCTAAGAGTCTATAAGAATCACAGTGTTACAGGGTTTGGGGTGCCCCCTAAGTAGATATGACTTAGATCACAACACCCAAGTCCTTTTAAATACCTGGAAAGTCTTTTTAAGAAGGACAGGTACAAACAAGCCCAGACAGTGAAGACTAAAATAAAAACCTAGCTCTTCAATGCCCAGACACCAAAGAACATCTACCAGCATCAACACCATCCAGGAAAACATGACCTCACTGACTGAACTAATAAAGGCAGCAGGGACCAATCCTGGAGAGACAGATATGTGACCTTCCAGACAGAGAATTCAAAATATATGTGTTGAGGAAACTAAAAGAAATTCAAGAAAACACAGAGAAGGAATTCAGAATTCTATCAGATAAATTTAACAAAGAGATTGAAATAATTTAAAAGAATCAAGCAGAAATTCTGGAGCTGAAAAATGCAATTGGCGTACTGAAGAATGCATCACAGTCCTTAAATAGCAGAATGGCTCAAGCAGAAGAAAGACTTGCTGAGCTTGAAGACAAGCTATTTGAAAATACACAGTTTTCCTTGTTTTCATATGATATGATCTTATATTTTAAAAAACCTAAAGCCTCCACAAAAAAACTATTAGAATTGATAAACAAATTCAGTAAAGCAGGATACAAAATCAACATACAAATATCAGTAACATTTCTAAATGCCAACTGTGAACAATCTGAAAAAGAAATCATAAAAGTAATCCCATTTATAATAGCCACAAATAAAATTAAATAACTAGGAATTAACCAATGAAACTAAAAGTCTCTATAGTAAAAACTATAAAACCTGACAAAAGAAAGTAAATAGATGCCAAAAAATGAAAAAATATTTTATGTTTATAGATTGGAAGAATCAATATTGTTAAAAAGTTTATACTACCTTAAGCAATCTACAGATTCGATGCAATCTCTGTCAAATTCCAATGACATTCTTCACATAAATAGAAAAAACAATCCTAAAATTTATACAGAACAACAAAAGACCCAGAATAGACAAAGTTATCCTAAGCAAAAGGACAAAACTGGAGGAATCACAATACCTGACTTCAAATTATACTGCAGAGGTATAGTAACCAAGACAGCATGGAAATGGCATAAAAACAGACACATTGACCAATGGAATAGCATAGAGAACCCAGAAACAAACCCACGCAATATATAGTGAACTCATTTTTGACAAAGGTGCCAACAACATACACTGGGGAAAAAGTCTCTTCAGTAAATGATGCTGGGAAAATTGGATATGCATATCCGGAAGAATGAAACTAGACCCCTATATCTCACCATATACAAAAATAAAATCAAAATGGATTAAAGACTTAAATCTAAGACCTCAAACTATGAGACTCCTAGAAGAAAACATTTGGGGAAATCTCCAGGACATTGAGCAAAAAATTTTTTGAGTAATACCCCACAAACACAGACAATCAAAGCAAACATGGACAAATGGGATTGTATCAAGTTAAAAAGCTTCTGCACAGAAAAGAAAAACAACAAAGTGAAGAGACAACCCACAGAAGGGGAGAAAGTATCTGTAAACTATCTACAAGAGACTAATAACTAGAATACATAAGGATCTCAACCACCTCTGTAGGAAAAAAATCTAATAATCTGTTCTAAAAATGGGCAAAAGTTTTGAATAGACATTTCTTAAAATAAGACATACAAGTGGCAAACAGACATATGAAAAGGTGCTCAACATCATTGATCTTCAGAAAAATGCAAATTAAAACCAGAATGAGATATCATCTGACCCCAGTTAAAATGGCTTATGTTCAAAAGACATGCAATAACAAATGCTGGTGAGGGTGTACACTGGAGGCTCCTCAAAAAACTAAAAATAGAGCTACCATATGATCCAGAAATCCTCCTGCTGCATATATACCAAAAAGAAAGAAAATCAGTATATACAAAAAAACTTCCCTCCCATGTTTTTTGCAGCATTGTTCACAATAGTCAAATTTGGAAGCATCCTCAGTGTCCACCAACAGATGGATAGATAACGAAAATGTGGTACATACACACAATGGAGTACTATTCAGCCATAAAAATTATGAGATCCAGTCATTTTTAACAACATGGATGGAACTGGAGATTATTACAAGTGAAACAAGGCAGGAACAGAAAGACAAACATAAAATGTCTTACTTATTTGTGGGGTGTAAAAATCAAAACAATTGAACCTATGGACATAGAGAGTAGAGGGATGGTTATCAGAGGCTGGGAAGGGTAGTGGTGGACTGGGGGCCAGGTGGGGATGGTTAATAGGCACAAAAAATTAGTTAAAAAGCGTACGACCTATTATTTGACAGCACAATAGAGTGATTACAGTCAATGACAATTGTAAATTTAAAAATAAGAGTGTAATTGGATTGTTGGTAACACAAAGGATAAATACTTGAGGGGATGGCTACATCATTCTCCATGATGTGATTATTTCACATTGCATGCCTGTATCAAAACATCTTATGTACCCCATAAATATATACACCTTCTGTATTAGTCTGTTTTCACACTGCTGATGAAGACATACCCAGGACTGGGAAGAAAAAAAAGGTTTAATTGGACTAACAGTTCCACATGGCTGGGAAGGCCTCAGAATCATGGTGGGAGACAAAAGGCACTTCTTACATGGCAGTGGCAGGAGAAAATGAAGAAGATGCAAAAGCGGAAACCCTTGATAAAACCAACAGCTTTCATGAGACTTATTCACTACCATGAGAACAGTATAGAAGAAACTTTCCCCATGATTCAAATTATCTCCCACCGAGTCCCTCCCACAACATGTGGGAATTATGGGAGTACAATTCAAGATGAGATTTGGGTGGGGACACAGAGCCAAACCATATCACCTACTATGTACCTACAAAAATTTAAAAAAAAGAAAATATGGGAGAAATGCTTCAGGACATTGTTCTAGGCAAAGGTTTTTATGGGTAGGGCTTCAATAGCATAGGCAATAAAAACAAAAACTACAAATGGGACTGTGTCAAAGTAAAATGCTTCTTGCACAGCAAAACAAACAAAAAATCAACTAAGCGAAGAGACAACATGCAGAGTTAAAGAAAATATTTGCAAACTCTTCTTCCAACAAGGGATTAATATTTAAAATATGCAAGGAACTCAAATGACTCAACAGCAAAAAAAAAGTAATTTGATTTAAAAATGGGCCAATTATCTGAATAGACATCTCTTAAAAGAAGACATACAAATGACGTATACTAACAGGTATATGAGAAAATGCTCCTCAGTAATCATCAGGGAAACGCAAATCAAAGCCATAGTGAGCTATCATCTCACCCTAGTTAGAATGCCTATTATCCAAAAGACAAAAAATAACAAATGCTAGTGAGAATGTGGAGAAAGGAGAATTCATATTCTGTTGATGGCAATGTAAATTGTTACAGTCATTATGAAAAACAGTATGGAGATTCCTCAACAAAACTAAAATAGAACTACCATATGATCCAGCAGTCCCATTACTGGGCATATATCCAAAGGACAGAATGTCAGTATGTCAAAAAGATTTCTGCATTCCCTTGTTTATTGCAGTACTATTCACAATAGCCAAGATGTGGAATCAACCTAAGTGCACATCAACAGATAAATTGATAAAGAAAATGTGGTGTATATACACAATGGAATATTATTCAGCCATAAAAAGAACAAAATTCCGGCATTTGTGACAACACAGATGGGCTTGAAGGACATTACATTAAGTGAAATAAGCCAGGGACAGAAAGACAAATATCTCATATGTGGAAGCTAAAAAAGTTGATCTCATAGAAGTAGCAAGTAGAATAGGGTTTCCAGAGGTAGGGAAGAGTGGGGGTAGGAAAGGATAGCCATAGGTTGGTTAATGAATACACAAGTACAGCCAGGTAAGAGGAATAAGTTTTAGTGTTTTATAGCACTATAGGGTGACTATAATTAACAATTTATTTTTTATTTTTAAATAGCTAGAAGATTGGATTTTGAATGCTCCCAACATGAATGCTTGAGGTTATGGATATGCTAATTACCTCTGGATTATTACACATTGTATACATATATCTGTACCCCATAAATATATACAATTATTATATTTTAATTGAAAATGGTAATAAGACAGAAAAGGGCCCTAGAGAGCTAGCTAATCTCACATGAGGACACGGTGAGAAGGCACCACTTATGAATCAGGATATGAGACCTCACTAGACACCAAACCTGCCAGCACTCTGATCTTGGACTTTCCAGATCTACAGAACTGTGAGAAATAAATTTCTGTTGTTTATAAGATACCCAGTCCATGATGTTTTGTTACAGTAGCTGAAATGAACTAAGATGCATGATGTTTCCCAAAACCTCATTTTTTTCTCAACCTTTCATTCTGTTGACCATTCTCCAATCTAGCATTTTAAAGCTTCACATATATCAAAGAACTTCTACATATACAGGTATATCTCAGAGATACTGACTTCTCAGTTTTAGACCACCACAGTAAACTCAATATCGCAATAATATGTCACACACATTTTTTTGGTTTCCCGGTACATATAAAACTCATGTTTACACTATATTTTAGTCCATTTAGTGTGCAATAGCGTTATGTCTAAAATAACAATGCAGATACTTTAATTAAAAATACTTAATGGCTTAAAAATGCTGCAATCATCTGACACTTCAGCAAGTCCTAACTTTCTTCTGATGGAAAGTCTTGCCTGAGAGTTCATGACTGCTGACTTATCAGGGTGGTGGTTGCTGAAAGTTGAGGTGACTGGCAATTTCTTTAAAAAAGACAATGGTGAAATGTGCTGCGTTAATGGTTATTTTCACAAAAGATTTCTCTGTAGCATGCAATGCTGTTTGATAGCATTTTACCCACAGCAGAACTTCCTTCAAATTTGGAGTCTTTTCTCTCAAACCCTGCTTCTGCTTTATCAACTTTTACCTAATATTCTCAATCATTTGTTGTCATTTCAACAATGTTCACAGCATCTTCACCAGGAGTAGATTACATCTCAAGAAACCACCTTCTTTTCTTATCCATAAGAAGCAACTCCTCATTTCTTAAAATTTTATCATGAGAGTACAGAAATTCAGTCACATCTTCAGGCTTCACTTCTAATAGTTTTCCTGCTATTTCCACCACATTTGCAGTGACTTCCTCCACTGAAGTCTTGGATCCCTTACAGTCACCTGTGAAGGTTGAAATCAACTTCTTCCAAATTCCCATGAATTTTGGTATTTAGACCTCCTACCATGAATCACAAGTGTTCTTAATGGCATCTGGGCATCTGGGATGGTGAATCATTTCCAGGAGGTTTTCAATTGACTCTGTGGAGATCCATCAAATGAATCACTATCTATGGCAGCTATTGCCTTATAAAATGTATTTCTTAAAATGTAAGACTTGAATGTAAAACTTACTCCTTGATCCATTGACTGCAGAATGGATGGCATGAAACAACATTAATCTTCTTGTACATCTCCATTAGAGCTCTTGGGTTACCAGGTGCATTATCAATGAGTAATAATATTTTGAAGGGATTCTTTTTTTCTGAGTAGTAGATCTCAACAGTAGGCTTAAAATATTCAGTAAACCATGTTGTAAAGAGGTGTGTTGTCATACGGGCTTTGTTTTTTCATTTATAGAGCACAGGCAGAGTAGATTTTACATAATTCTTAAGGGCTTAAGGATTTTTGAGATGATAACTGAACATTGGCTTCAACTTAAAGTCATTAGCTGCATTAGCTCCTAATAAGAGAGACTGTTTTTTGAAGCTTTGAAGCCAGCTACTGTCTTCTCCTTTCTAGCTATGGTAATCCTAGATGGCATCTTATTTCAGTGGAAGGCTGTTTCAGCTACATCAAAGTTCTGTTGTTGAGTGTAGCCACCTTTATTAATGATCTTAGTTATTTCTCTTGGATAACTTGCTACAGCTTCTCTATCAGTACTTGCTGTTTTACTTTGCACTTTTATGTATGGGACAGCTTTTTTTCATGAAACTCATCAACCAACCTCTGCTAGCTTCAGACTTTTCTTCTTTAGCTTCCTCACCTCTCTCAGCCTTCATAGAGAGTTAGGGTCTTGTTCTAGATTAGGCTTTGGCTTAAGGGACTGTTTGCTGGTTTGATCTTTTATCCAGACCATTAAAACTTTCTCCATATTAGCAATAAGTCTCGATATGGTTGAGCTCTGTGTCCCCACCCAAGTCTCATCTCAAATTCTAATCCCCACATGTCAAGGGAGGGACCTGGTGGGAGGTGATTGAATGATGGGGGCAGTTTCCCCCATGCTGTTCTCGTGATAGTGAGTTCTCCCAAGATCTGATGGTTTAAAAGTATCAGTTTGCCCTTCACTCTCTCTCTCTCCTGCCATCATGTAAAACATGCCTTGCACCTTGCTTCCTCTTCACCTTCCACCATGATTATAAGTTTCCTGAGGCTTCCCCAGCCATGTAGAACTGTGAATCAATTAAACCTCTTTTCTTTATAAATTACTCAGTCTCAGGTCTTTCTTTACAGCAGTGT